>NC_000003.12:54252424-54555454 GCF_000001405.40 Homo sapiens
AGCTGATGTCCAATAGGTTTTATTTTTACTCATTCTTTCCTTTGTTTTAGAAGTGTTTTAGGGACTTCTGTAAAGACTTCAACTGGCCAGTGATTATGTCACTAGGACTCAGCTGCAGTCTCTTAAAATTAGAATTGTGCACACTCTGTGTGAGGACTTTGGTTGTCTCTCTCCTGTCTTTGGTCTCTGCAGGCTGCCTGCCCTGGCACATGGAACTGCCTTTCTGTGCTCTCTGCTCTGTTCTCCCCAGGGACCAGCCGTATGATATAGTTCCCCTGCCATCTCCCTGTGTCCCCCCAGCTTGTTTGTTGGGCATCTGGTGAAAGCCTGCAGCATGCTTCCTGTGCTCCTACCATCCTAGAACCTGCAGTTGACCAAGGGCACCATGAGAGGGGTGTTGAGGCCGGGAAGTAGAGAGGTAGCAGAAAGAGAAGTGCAGCAGGATTAAGCCCCCCGGGAAACACATAGTCCATCTTTGCTTTCATCAATCTTGGTCTTCATCTGAAATCATTTCCTGGCTTTAGCAACCTGCCCACACTTTCAGAGACTTTGCTGGTCTTTTAAAGTCAGTATTTGATTTAATATTCTTCCTGAATCATTCGGTGCCCATTTTGTTTACATGTGGCTCTGAAATTGGTCCTTTAATATTAAAGATTCAAAACTGCCCTGAGTTTAACCAACTCTTTTTTTTTTTTTTTGCTCAGATCATCTTTGTTTTAAAATACTATAATGACACTGTATTTTTAATTAATGAGTCTTGTGGTGTTAATTCTTTCTGAGAGCAAGAGAGTATGGGTGGGTCTCTATTAGTGTGTTCTCACCTTGCTATAAAGAAATACCTGAGACTGGGTAATTTATGAAGAAAAGAGGTTTAATCGGCTTGTGCTTCTGTAGGTTTTACAGGAAGCACAGCGGATTCTGCTTGGCTTCTGGGGAGGCCTCAGGAAATTTACAGTCATGGCAGAAGGCAAAAGGGTAGCAGGCAGGTCACATGGCTGGAGCAGGAGCCAGAGAGAGAGTGAAGGGGGAGGTGCCACACACTTTCAAATGACCAGAGCTCACAAGAACTCACTATTGCGAGAACACCACCAAAGGGATGGTACTAAACCATTCATGAGTGATCCGGTCACCTTCCACCAGGGCCCACCTCCAACACTGGGGATGACAATTGGACGTGAGATTTGGGTGGGACACAGATCCAAGCCATATCAGTGTCTATTCCTGTCATATGTGTTTTGATTTGGAGGAAGTATTTGTGAGCTTGTGTACCCATATGTGCCTTTTGGAGGACTTAAAGGATAGTGAAATTGGGATAATGTACCCTCTAATCCAAGGACTATGTGATTCCCTGTTTTTTTTTGTTTTTTGAGACAGAGTCTATTGCCCAGGCTGGAGTGCAGTGGCACCATCTCGGCTCGCTGCAACCTCTGCCACCCACGTTCAAGCAATTCTCCTGCCTCAGCCTCCCGAGTAGCTGGGATTATAGGTGCCTGCCACCACGCCTGGCTAATTTTTGTATTTTAGTAGAGATGGGGTTTCACCATGTTGGCCAGGCTGGTTTTAAACTCCTGACCTCGTGATCCAGCCGCCTCAGCCTCCCAAAGTGCTGGGATTATAGGTGTGAGCAACTGCGCCCGGCCGATTTCCTGTGTTTCTTACAGTGAGCGGCTGGTTTAGGTGTTGGATGGGCTCAAAAATATGTATTTTTTCCATTTCCCTAGAGAATGTTGATGCTCATAGAGACCACTTGAGAAGCACTGCTTTGGGGAGGGATGCTCTCCCATCAGATGGCAGCTTTGGGTTTGCCAGTGGTGAGTTTGATCTCTGGAGGATCATCTTCCATTTCCAGATAGGGTACTGAAGATAGAGTGGTTCATTATCTTACAATCCAGTGCTTCCTCCCTACTTGTCCATTTCCCTTTCAAGGGGGCTGGCCTAGGGACCAGTGAGAACTCAGTCAATTAGCTTCTGATAAATTGTTTCTTTTTAAAACAATACATTATATTAACTCTGGAGGAGTGCAGTGAGGTATCCACCAAATGCAATCTTCCAGTAGCTTCTTTGTGGTTATGTTTGTGTGCCTGCCTGTATTGATGGGTGAAGATAAGGACTTGGTCAAATTACCTAACCTTTCTGAGCTTCAGTTTCCAAGTATGAAGATGGAGATGATAATAATGCCTAATGCATAGGGTTCTTCAGAGGATTAAATGCTAAATGCTAAGACTAGCACATAGCATGCCATAAGTGCTATATGAGAGTTAGTTGTTATGAGTATTACTGTTGTTACCAACCTATTTGAATCAAAGTAAAAATCTTCCTTGTCAGAAATTCACAGGAATCAACAAGGAAGATATGGGAAAATGCTGTGCACAGCAGCTTGTATACTCTAAGGGAGTTGGTGCAATTTCTGGGATGAGCGCTGTCCTTACCTGCAATGTGGAGGCTTTATCAATGGAATCTATTGTGAAGAGCATTAATAGGACATCTTCCTGTCCTCCAGCCCCAGCTCAAAGGTGCTGCCAAATGCAGATAAAAGCACTGGAGTAACCTCAGTTGATTATTGTCTACCTCCTGAATCTCTCCATCAGTGAAATTAATATTTGGTTGCTGAGGGGAGAGACAACATCTGTAACATTTCCCCTGTGGAATGGCTGTTTGGTTTCTATTGCACACATTTTTCTCTCAGGTTAAAAACTGTTGAAACCTGATTTCCCTCTTTTAAAAATGGAATCATGTTTGATTTTATAGTAATGTTTATAGAGCTAAGGAGAGTTAAGAGTCATTCTGGCGTTAAAACCGTCTAAGCCTTCAAATAAATATATTGTTGTTATCTTGAAACTTTCCAAACTGAACTTGGAATTCACTCAGGCATCTTATAGAGCTTTGATACATCAGAGGGGGACAGTAATGATCCTGTAAATTCCTAGCAACGTGGGACCACTCTTGCGGCTTGCAAAGAACAGAATGAAATGCGGCATAAAGACTTGCACTGGCAAATGTCCACACAAGTATTAATCTACTTCTACTTGAAGTAAGGTCCCAATTACAGAAGATTTATTTTGAAAGAATTTGGTGTATGATCATCATCTCTCCTCTGAGTGATTGCATTCACCTCCTGACTGGTCCATCTTTCACAATTCCTGGGCTATCTTTCCTGAAACTGTTCTCATCAGCTCAGTCCTTTGCTTGCAAGTCCAGCATGAGACTCCCATTGCCGGTAACAAAAGTACAATCTTTGGGCCTTTGTATTCCAGAACCTTCCCTGTCTGCTTCCCACCCTACTTTATTGTTCTCCCCATATTCCCCGCTGCAGGCCTTTGCTTATGTTGTTTACTCTACCTAAGAGCCTCTTCTTTACCTCTACTGCCACGTACTCTGGGAATCTCTCAAATCATCTCAAATGTCTTCCAGTAAAGTCTTTTCTAAACACATTACTTCCAGAATTAATCATTTTACCCCCCTGTATAGAAATGGATACATGAGGTTAAGCGAGGTTAAGTAACTTATCCAAGGTCACAGATCCAGTAAGTGTCAGAGTTGGGGTGGGCAATGAGACACATAATGAAAAAAAAAATGCAAAAGCATAGTTGGAAATAGGAAGTCATTGTTAAATTTAGGGACAAAAAATAGGCTTTGTGAGAAATGAACCACTGGGCTATAGCCTGAGAAAAGGTTGTATACACAGGATCTTGGAAAGGGAAGGTCCTTGAACCTGAAATTGGTGACACTTTTTCTGGGGGACCTGAAATCTTGTCACTAGGAAGGTGTGTGGTGTGGTCAAAAGTGCTATGTGAAGTCTTGTTGTACCTGGAAGAGGAAGTCCTCAGGATTGAATGCCTCCCCTTTCTCTGACTGCTGATTAATATGCCTAGCATTCCATTATTGGAATGCTAAGCATATGGGAATTATTTCTATCCTACTGCTCAAGGTCATCGCCAAGATCTGATTTTCAAAATCCAAAAAATTGCAACCTTCAGGCATAAATGGGCTAGGGGGCCATGTGATGAGGAATATGGGCAGCTTTTGTGATCTTCTCATGCCGTATAGGGGCTGTCCTGGATATGGCAGACCCTGATTATAAATCAATAGGCATTTGAGTGAGGTAAAAAGAAAGCAGTTTTATTAGGGTTATGTACTATTGTAGGTCTCCCCAAGTTTATGCTGCTTCCCAGAGGGTCCACATTTTTCTGTATGCACTAGAATATGATGAATGACACACACCTGAGAAGTTCACATTAATGGCATTGTGCTCTCTGTTACTGACACCATCAACATCGAAATAAAGCATGTTCTTCTCTTGTCAAGACCACTGTAAGGAGTGAGACTCCGTCTCAAAAAAAAAAAAAAAAAAACCACTGTAAGAGCAGCCTCTACAAAATGAGCTGTCTTCTTTCCAGTGCACTTTCTTATCCAGAAGGTCTGTAGAAAAAAATAAGGAGCCTCTCTGATTAACAGGATACAATAGAAGTATGGAGGGTAGTTTTCCACATTATTTGTCGCACTTTTTGGGTCAGTGCTGGCACTTTATAAATCTGCGTTTGGCCCTTCCTTCATCCACTTGGACTGATTTTCAGGGTACAGTTAGCAGGGTCTACTTATGACCACTGAAGCAGAAATGCAGATTCAATGAGTAATTATTAAGAACTTTCCAGAATATTAGCTGTTTCACTTGCTGCAGTGACTAGTGATGGAATAGTCCATTAGACATTTCTGTTCCCAGCAACTTCTGAGAATTGATTCCAATCTGAAGCAGCCAACTGCTTTGATCAATATCATAATTACTCTTATTGATGGATTGTTTTACGATGGTAGCCATCAGAGCAGTCCGTCAGCTCAGAAGGCACCAGAACTGTCCCCTGCAAGCTGTAATGTACGGCAAATATCTGATTCAAATCAACTTACTATTGAGGCCAGGATGACAAGCGTGAAATTAATTGTTCCACTTCATGTAAGACCTGCATTCTTCTTTTGAGAGAGTAATTGGTTGCTGCATGTAGCGTGAGAGCTAGGGGAGCTTTCCCTCTCTGAAATGTTTATAGACTTATTTTTTTCCCCCACCAGCTATTTTTTTTTCCCTACGCTTTTAGGTGTCAGCAATGTTGCACAGCTGCTGTTCCTGCCGTTGTTGTTTTTTTGTAGGTCTTGTCATGTCAGAGAGGATGGTTTTCTTCTAGAAAGGTTGATTGCAGACAGAGTAATTTTTTTTCATCTGAAAAGCTTATTTGTGAAAGAGGGAGTTTGCTGGCCAACATTAAAGCAAGAAAACCTTAAGAGTGTTTCAATGAGTATAAAAAAATAAATGGGCAAAGGGCAGTGGGCCCCCTGTTCTTCCATGGTTGCAATAGGCTAATTCAGAAGGTGTAATGGTCTTGCTGAGCATTTTCTGCATTCAGTTGCCTTCAGAAGCTTGTTGATGGAGAAATAATGAGGGAAATCCAGGTAGGAAGTCAAGAAGGACAATCGAAGAAATTAGAAAATGGGGATAGTCCAATAGTCCCTGGTTATTCAGTCCTCATCGACAAATTGACCATTACATTGGATAAAATCAAGATCCCGATAGAACTTGAGAGAAGTGTTTTGAGGTATTTTTATAAGTAAATTCAAGTTCATAGCTGGTGCTGGAAGATAAAAGGGCTGTAGAAACAGAGGAGCATCAAAGCATAGTAACCTTCACGGCCTCAGGGGCTTTCTGAAACCCTGGTTAGATGGCTATCCTAGTGGAGTTGGGGATTTCTAGTACACCAGTACTTCTAGGAATGGTAATACTTTTTGTTTTAATATTTATTTATTATGGCATTTCCAAGTTGGGCCCTGTGAGAATTGATTATGGAAAAAAGGATTCTGTGGACAGTAAATTCCATATCCAACCAGTATTTATTGAGTGCCTGCTGTGTGTAAGCACTGTTTAGGTCCTGGGGGTGACCCAAGTAAATGAGAGTCTGAACCCCTGAAGCTTACCTTCTCATGAAAAGCTTGAGAAGACAAACAATAACTGTATACCCAAATCTGTAAGGCAGTGTCAGATAGTGTTAGGGATGGTGGATGGCAGAGGATGGCAACCTTGTCTGATGTTGGAGAATGAAGTTCAAGTAAGAGTAAGGAAGGTAGATTTGACTTCAACCCAGCTCATGAGCCTGAAGCCACCTTTACCATTAAACTTAGTTTGTCTTTGAGATGTTCTAGCAGCAGAGCTTTCCTTTACACTTTGGAAGGAAGAGATTTGATGCTATCAGCATTCAGTGCAGGAAAAAGATCCAACATAAAATACATAGCTGAGAATGTTGGGGATAGTTTTAAAGGTAAGTGATTCTGTTTCTGCTTGGTCATGTAAGTGTTTGAAAGTATTGATTGAACACTTTCATAACACCTGAAGGGATCAGAAGTGATTAATAATAAATAACCTATGATAGCAAAACTCAGAGAAGTTTAAAGCCCCAGACAGTGCTGGCTAGGGAGGAAGATTCCGTATTACTCAGTTGCATGTGATTAGATACAGCACATAACCTTGTTAACTCATGTCTCTGCCATACTGGACTGAGGTAGCTAAAGTATTAACCTGATCACCATAATTTCCTATCTCCCATTTTCTGGTTTCTTTGGGGGAAACTTTTTCTCCTTCCATTTGATGCTGGGGTCCCATAAGCTTCAGCCACAATGTGGGCAGGGGCCCAGGCTTGGCCCACCAATGTCTCACCTTACCCTGGAGATAGAGTTGGCTAAAAAATGGGCTTGTGACTCAGGCTAGGCCAGTCAGAGCCTTCCCTGACTTCCCTCCAGGAGCTAGTGGGAAAGATGTTATTTCCACCAGGTTGGCTAAGCTGATAGGATGAGAGCCTGGCATGGTGACACGGACCTAACTGGCTTCTGGGATGGCTGCTGATGAAAGGAAGTCAAGCAGAGCTGAGAGTTTTGATCAAGAGAAAAACAAACACAGCAGGTGCAGCTCTGATCCACAATTGTGAGTTCTTAATTCTTTAGGTTTGCTTGTCTAAACAAGTATACAGATTTAATAGAAAAAAAAACCCTCAAAAAAAGAAAACTTGAGATGTGCTTCCACTTAATTAAGCCACACTGGTGAGATTTCATTTCTGCTGGATGGAGAGCCGGATAGAAATGCTTTTACCGTGTGGTGGGATTGAAAAGAACTCTTCCAGAAGGATACAGCTGAGCCAAAACCAAGCCGCTTGTTCCTAGGACTCATGAGGCTCATACCATCATCTCTGGAAGCACACTTATCATGACTGGAAGATCCCCTTAAGTAACTTTTATGATGACAGCATTGTAAATATATATCATAAATACTTTCTGTGAAGGAAACATACAAAATTAAACGTCCATTTAGTTGAAACAGAAGCCTGCCAATGCATTTATGTGGCTGCAAAATAGGGATTTCTGAGAAGAGTGACAAAATTTGCAGCTGCTGAAGCAAAGCCCTGCATTCTAGCTGTTGGCTTTTGCAATGCTCAGGAATTTTCAGGCGTGTTTATGGACCAGCTGCTCTGCTAAGATTCCTTAATGTATGGGCAGGGGAAACTTGAATAAATATGTTTCCTCCTCCTTCTCCTTGGGAATTCAGAATCTTTAGCCCTAACTTCTAAGAATTAAACCAAACAGTGTTTGATGTTTATAGACGTGGAGTCAGCTATTAGCCACTTGAACCATTTGTCAAATGGAACAAGATGTGACAAATTTTTCTACTTTCTAAACAGAAACTGTATTTGTTGTATTGTGCAGAGATGTCACACTTTGGAGCCTCTTCTACTGATCTCTTTTTTCTCTGGGAACTAGACCCCTAGAATTGACTGCCTCAAATTCTTAGCTTGGTTTTCAAGGCCCCAAGGATGTGTCTCTGTCTTAATCTATTTTCTGTTGCTATAAACAGAATACATGAGACCGGGCAATTTATAAAGAAAATAAATATATTTTTTATAGTTTTGGAGGCTGGGAAGTCCAGGGTCAAAGGGCTGCATCTGGCAAGGGCCTTCTTGCTGTGTCATAACATGGCAGAAGGCAGCATGCGGCAAGACAGAGGGAGCGTGTCAGTTCAGGTCTCTCTTCCTTTTCTTATAAAGCCACCAGTCATATAATGAAGGTCCCGTCTTGATGACCTTATCTAATCCTAATTACTTCTCAAAGGTTTTACCTCCAAATACCAGCAACATATGAACTTGTAAATTACATTTCCAACACATGAGCTTCGGGGGACACATTTAAATCATAACAGTCTCCTTCCCCTCACGTCTCCTACTATTCTCCGTAGTGCTCAACAAGGCTGTGGCCATGCTGGTATTCTTTTTTTTTTCCTTAAACATGCCAAGCCCTTTCAGCTCAGGAGTTTGACTCTCACAATCCCTCTGCCTTGAGTGCTCTTTCCCCACTTCTTTGCACACCTGGCTCATCACTCTAGTTTCAGCTCAGATATCATCTCCATTAGAGGAGCTTGCCATAACCAGGCAATCTAAAGTCTTTTGCCCAGTAACTCTGTATCATGTGACTCCGTCTCATTTCCTCCAGTTCAGCTTGTCTGAACTCTGAATTCATTTCCTGTTTGTTCCCTCTTTCTCTTCACTAGAATGTAAACATCATGAGAATGAGGGAATAGTCTGTTTTATTCCCTGCTATATCTTTGACACCTATGTCCTGGCGCATAGTAGATGCTCAGTTTTATTTCTATTAAGAATAAATGTCTAGATAGCCTACTCATTCCTCTGAGCCATGGCACCATTTAAGTAAGTTAAACAATTTATTTTAGCATCTCTCTTCAGCTTCTCTATTATACAGGGCAAGTGGAATGGAATATTCACATGGATGCTTTGATTCTTATTTAATCCTTACAAAACCTTTAGGAACCGAGAATACTCAAGCCCGTCTTCTCTCCACATCTGGTGTCCAGTTTTATTTTTTGGCACCCAGATTCCTTCTTGGCGCTTGTTACCATGGGGAGGAACTAAATTTGTCATTATGTGTTTACTATCTTCTTCCTCTACCAGACCCTTAGTCTTGGTCCTAGGACTGCTTTTATTAATTGCTGAATGCTCCCAGCCTGGCAGAGTGCTTGGCATGCAGTGGTTGCTCAAGGTGTTGGGGATAATCCTGAGGCCTAAACCCCTTATTCTGCCTGGTCTGGACATGGGATTTTGCAGCCACAGAATCTCCCTATCTGAACAAATATATGCTTCCCCATGGGTGGAAGAACACTAAAATTCCTCATTCACATGTGCCTTTGCAGGGATAGAAGGAGACATAAAGTCTTTCACACCCTTAGCATTGGCAGCTTAAATTCAGAAAGGTCTCTGGTCTTGTGTGTTCAGGGATACAAAGTCACATTCTACCTCTCACTATCCTTGGTGTGTAGAGGGGAAAGTTAGGATTGTGACCCAAAATACACAGTTATACTTTGAAGGACAATATGCTAGAGTGTTTGAAATCAGGTCAGTCCTGGAAAACATGGAATGCGTGGTCCCCATACTTCCCCCACTGGAATTGCACAGACCCCCCCATGGTGCCTGACTATGTCCCATCCTAATAAGCCAGTCAAGGCAGGAGGCTCTTTGCAGCCCCACATGTGTCTCCTGGGGGCTGTGAATGCAGTTGGGGATAGGGGTTTTGGGGGAGGGAGCAGGAGTTTTGATTTTTTGCTGCTGCTCTCTAAGGAATTCTTCCATATTTCACTTTAGCACGTTCCCAGAACCCACGACAGGCTGTATAATTGCTGGACTGACATAAATCTATAGCAAGGATGGGTAGATTTTGCTGATGTGTTTGCTTTGGCGGCAGGGCTTGGTAGACCATGTCTGCATATCATATCACAAACTCAGGCTGTGGTAGGACAGGGCAAGGAAAGCTATTTATTGTGTCTCCAAGGTCGTGATGTGAGATGGAAGAGGCATCATAAAAGAAACAACATTGAGGCACAGAGAGTTCCCCGAAGTGGGGAAAGTGGAAAGATGAAAGAAAACATTTCCTCCCACGATGGACCCACAAGAGGGAAGCTAAAGGTCGAAGGCAGGCATTTATTCCTCTGCATCACAAATATCTATAATTTAAACATGCTGGTTAAAACTCAGACTTTGGGAGTTTTTACCCATTGTTTCAAAGTTATGTAATTAAATATGTTCAGGCTTTCAAAAGAGATACAGAAAAATGAAAGACCTTACCAAATTGCTTAAAGAATTTTGAATTAAAAAAAAAATCCATTCATTCAATCTGCAGACATTTGCTGAGCATCCGTCGTGTGATTAGCACTATGATTGGAGCTGGGGGACACAGGGGTAGTGAAAAGGCAGATGGTTCCTGGCCAAGCGGAACCTGTGGTCTAGCCAAGAAGAAGCCATTACTCAAGTAATTATGGTTTCCTCCTTCCAGCAACCGCATGGCGAGCCACCTCCCAGTGCTGGGAGTGGAGACGATGTTTCTTTTTTCATTTCCTTTTTGTTTTTATGTTTGGTATACCTTTTACAAGTTTGCTTTAAATTTTTACTAATTATTTAAGTAAATCAGGAATCTGCTTGCTTATAATTAGAACATTACAGATCAGGATTCGGCTCTTGTTGATTCCCCTCCACCCCAGGTAGTCACTATGATGGATTTATACTATGACTTTGCAGAGAAATTTTGTTATACTTCCACATGTGTGTGGTGTGTGTGTATATACTCATAGACAGCTTCTACCACTGTTCTAATACAAATGAAGCACATGCTATGCATCTATTATTGTGCAACTTGCTTATTTTGTTGCATAATACCTTTTTTATTAGTTTTTGTTGATACCTATTAAGGTAGTTGGTTAACTTTTAATTACTGAAAGTTGTGCTTATTCATAGTCCTATTTGGAAGCTTGTATGGTGGCTACTGTGTAGAGACTTGGAATAGTAAAAATTAATAGTCAGAAATAGTATACATGTATTAAGTGCTTAATGTTTGCCAGACAGTGTTCTAAGTCTCTCACATGGATTGTATCATTTAATTATGAGAGCATCTCAGTGGAGTAAAGGCTATTTTTACTATGATTTTACAGAAGAGGGAATCTGAGGCATGAAAAGATAAAGTAACTTGCCCAGGGTCACACAGTGAGGAAGTGATGCCAAGATTTGAAGTGAGGTGGTGCATTGCCAGAGCCCAAGATCTGTTGGTTCTCTTAACTCCTATGATTTCTGGGATTTTAGTTGTTAAATTCAATCTATGAAGCAGTGTGTGACAGATGTGTGATTCACTGAGGGGCCAACTGGGCTGGTTTGTGGGTTTCTCAGTTTATTGATACAGCAAACACATGTTGTGCACCTTTGGTGTGGTGGATTCTGCGCTAGACCCCGGCAACACAGCAATAAGATGGAACACACAGCCTTGCCTAATGAAACTCACAGTGAGAGATGATAATGCTGAATACCATCTACATAAGGTACGCATGATGTCTGTACCTGGCAGGGCTGGAATCTCATCCCCTCTGGCTTTATATGGTCTTTGGCCTGTGTTTTCTTTCATTTTTTTCTTGCACTTTAGATGACATTTGTTAAACTTCATTATTAATAGGGATCCATTAGCATGGTTGGAGGAAAATATGCCATCTTGTAGTGACAATGTTGCCTTCTATGTTACATCCATACAGGCAGAAGGAAGAGACCCAGCAGCATGTCTTGAATGCCAGTGTTTTATCCCCACTTGCTGCCCAGCCACAATATGGCAAATTTGCTATTCATCCAGCCCAATCATAATTAACATAATCGGCTCTGGTGCCCACCCAGATGTGGTGGGTGGTGTCCTCGGCTGATTACAAAGATTGCAGCCCAGCATTTTGGGAAACTGCTCTTACTTCCTGTCCTTGTATCACTTCTGTGGGCTGATTTTTCTGCTCTTGTGTTGAAAAACGAAGTCATGGAAAGGTTCTCTTATATTGAATGTGTCTTGTGTAATGATGAAAGTTAACCACAGTGTCTGTGATTTTTTTCTTTGAAAATCAGGAGACTGGTTAAGGACAGAAGGAAGTGTAAGTCTCTCAGCTTTGAACTCTAAGCTGCATTCGTTTTCCTGAAGGCTCAGATCAAGGGAGCATGCTCATCTTTTCTTCTTATTTGGACCTAGAATAATCTTCCAGCTTAGCACTGGAAGAGGTTTAATGTCTCACTCGTTTCTTTTTCTTTAAGTTTTTTCTTGGCTATTAACAGTAAAATAGAAACGGAGACATAGAGGATGTTGGCCAGACTTTTTATCCAGTATTTAGGTTTGTAATAGGCTCAGTGCAGCTGGTGGCTTTATATTAGCTGCTGTGAAAGGTATGTGGTTCTTATTTATGTATTATTTATTTTGGAAACACTTAGGTAAATTACATGACAGCCTTTTACTTTTTAGTCAGTTGATCCAAACACTACCAAGTTTTCTTTCATTGCCACAAAAACCGCATTTTAAGAGATGCATTTGGTTTTCTGTTCTTGTGATACTTTGCTGAGAATGATGGTTTCCAGCTTCATCCATGTCCCTGCAAACAACATGAACTCATTCTTTTTTATGGCTGCATAGTATTCCATGGTGTATATGTGCCACATTTTCTTTATCCAGTCTATCATTGATGGACATTTGGATTGGTTCCAAATCTTTGCTATTGTGAACAGTGCTGCAATAAACATACTTGTGCATGTGTCTTTATAGTAGAATGATTTATAATCCTTTGGGTATATACCCAGCAATGGGATTGCTGGGTCAAATGGTATTTCTGGTTCTAGATCCTTGAGGAATCACCACACTGTCTTCCACAATGGTTGAACTAATTTACACTCCCACCAACAGTGTTAAAGCCTTCCTGTTTCTCCACATCCTCTCCAGCATCTGTTGTTTCCTGACTTTTTAATGATTACTATTCTAACACAGGAACAGAAAACCAAACACCACATGTTCTCACTCATAAGTGGGAGTTGAACAATGAGAACACATGGACACAGGGAGGGGAACATCACATACCTGGGCCTGTTGGGGTTGGGGGATAGGGGAGGGAGAGCACTAGGGAAATACCTAATGTAGATGACGGGTTGATGGGTGCAGCAAACCACCTTGGCATGTGTATACCTATGTAACAAACCTGCACATTCTGCACATGTATCCCAGAACTTAAAGTATGTGTGTGTGTGTGTGTGTGTGTGTGTATAGTGTGTATATATATAGTGTGTGTATATATATATAGTGTGTATATATATAGTGTGTATATATATATAGTGTGTATATATATAGTGTGTATATATATAGTGTATATATATAGTGTGTGTATATATATATAGTGTGGGTATATATAGTGTGTTTATATACGCACACACACAGATGCATTGTTCTTTTAAATAATGCTTTTACATTTTGGTATGCATATGAAGGCAAAAAAAAAAAGGAAACAAAGTATATCTTTTTCTCTCCAGTTAGAACCCACTACTTGAAGGATTTTAAATTTCAGACAGACTTAAAGCCTTTTGAGGTTCAAGTTTAGTGTGCTGTAAGCAAAACAGGCAGTTTCCTAGTTCAAAGAGGAAGGAAAATTTTAAGACTTATAAAGTGCTCAAAAGCCTTCTTAGGTATCAAATAGCTTTCAGAGGAAGCATTTGATGGATGAAGGACACAAGGATTAGAAAAATATGGGCCAATTTTTTCTTTATATAATCACATTTAAAAGCAGTGGAAAAAGTTCTTAGGTCTAGGGACTTAAATCAGTGACTTGGAAGTTTTTGGTTGTTGCCAAACCCAGAAAATGCCTGGTTTGGCCTGAGCTTTGTAGAAGTGAGAAGTCCTTTAGCCATCTCCACTGTGCATGAAACTAACATGAGGGATGTTGGAACATGAGATCTTAGTAATGCTTCTTAGAATTGGAGTTGGGTAATGTGCTACCTGCTGTCCATAATAAATTTACAAATATTTTTCTAGTTATTATCTCAGACAACTGAAATGGAAAATAAGGTTAAGAGAAATATGATGCGGCATCAAGGAATCATTTAAGAACTCTGATTTTCTGAATTCATGTGTTTTAGGTTTTGGAGTTTCATGTTGCCTGAAGTGTACTCTGCCCTGTGGAAAGAGAAAGGTGTTGGGTTATGGTTGTGGAGAACACAGGGCCCTCTTGTTGCATGGGTATCTTAGGAACGCAAGCCCTGACCTGGTTTGCATTAGGGTCTCCATGTTCACACCAAAGTCTGTCATGTATTCATATTTGCTGATGAGTGAGCGGGTGACTAGATGAATGAATGATTTCAGTAGCAGCCTAGTCCATGCAGAAGGACAGAATTCAAGGCCAGAGGGAGTGACCTCAGCAGGTGATGTATGCCCTTTCTTACTTTAGATTCCAATTTGGGTGTCAGCATCTGCTAGGTCTCTGCCAGCTCTTGGTTACTAGAGACTGGCTTACTCCACCATCACTCAGGTGGCCCTTGGCACTCATGTGGCAGCAGCTTGGGCACATATCAGTGGTTTACAGGAGCAGGCAAAGCAGGCCCTCTTAGGGAGAGCATGGAGGGGACAGTGGCTTTTTTTTTGCAACACTTCTCTGTCTTTTGTTGACTTTACCTTGGTGTGCCTTGAGCATGGAGCTTGGCAGTTTGTATACATTTTAATGTGAAATGGGGGGAGGCTGTAACTAGTATAACCAGGATGTTATTTTAGTCACTGGGGCTTAAGGATGAGGCAGTGAGAAAAAAATACGAGTTTTATTAAAAAGCAAATATTAAAGTTGATGTTTAGACATTTCCAAGTGTGACAGTGGGACTCAAATAATAGAAGTTTGAGAAACAATAGTTTTGTGTACTCATTTGTACTCAGTGTGTTTCTACCTTTTACAATTGACAGATTGTGTCTTGCAGTGTGATATTTGAGGTATGGAAAACATACTCAGCCTCCTTAAGTAACCCTTTATAAATGCTCTTTAGTGAAAGTGACTTGCTGAAGTTGCAAAGGAGGCTATGACAAACCAGAACCTCCTGTTCTGGGCTACTCGTTACAATTTAAATACATGGGTTTAGAGAGTTAATAAGTTTTCCATTGGAGGTGCAGGCTAGATTCTCTCTTCCAGTCACTGAGATGGGTGGTCATCAAGTTTCAGAAACATGGTTACTGTGTAGTAGATACCCAGTACTTCATCTTTTTAAGAGTGAAAAGTATCCTTTCTGAACCAGACAGAAGTTAGTCACTGTTTTTCAGAACCTCAGAGTTGGATGTAAGTCTAAATTCATTTGATGCTTTTCATACTGCAGGCTGATGTTAAGGTAAAAGAACACCCAATCCCTGGCTGTTTTAAGCTTTTCTTGTGCTATATATGACTGAAAACTTAGAAGATGTTTCCTAAGTGAAATATAGAAGATGAGGTACCTGTGATGTTTTGGTGGCTGTGGGACAGGATATTCTAAGTGATTTTTCCAGAGCCCACTGCTGAGTTATTTTTTCCATCCTAAACCCTTATGATTTTTCAGGGATTTGCAATTCATCCATATAATGATTTTGGGGCTTAAGCTAATGGCACTAAAACATTTCAGCCTGGAAGCATGTGATGTTTTGGGGGTGTTTTTTTGTAATGTTTAAAATATGAATCCCTTTGGTTGCTCTGAGTTAGAATTGATGAAAAAATAAAGAAGGGAAAGCAAAGAAGTTAATGGTCTGAAACCTATGGTTGGTATGTGGTTCATATTCAGAATCAGAACAGTGTGCTGGTTTTGGCAATTGGGAATATTAATATTCTGAGCTGTGGCATGGAAATTTGAAAAAGAGGTTTAAAGAAGCAGCTCATATGACAAATTTTTAATGGGAAAGAAGCTACTGCTCACGTGAAAGAACTGCTTGTCTGTTCTGGGTCATACAGCCTTCATGTGATGGCCATTCAGGGGTCGTTCGAGCTCTGCTGATACCATGTCCAGTGGCTGCCATTGCTGTGCTGTTACCACCCGCTGGCCACTGCACTGAGGTGTGGACCCAATCTCATTGTGCCTCACTAAGGCTCTGTGAATTAGGGGCAATTATTTGTCACCATTTTATTTTTTATTTATTGAGATGGAGTTTCACTCTTGTCGCCCAGGCTGGAGTGCAGTGGCGCAATGTTGGCTCACTGCAACCTCTGCCTCCTGGGTTCAAGCGATTCTCCTGCCTCAGCCTCCTGTCTAGCTGGGATTATAGGTGCCCACCACCACGCCTGGCTAATTTCTATATTTTTAGTAGAGATGGGGTTTCATCATATTGGCCAGGGTGGTCTTGAACTCCTGACCTCAGGTGTTCTACCCGCTTGGCCTCCCAAAGTGTTGGGATTACAGGTGTAAGCCACCGTGCCCAGCTGTCACTATTTTAGAGATGAGAAAACTGAGGCCTGCAGAAGGAAAAGGACTTGTTCAGGGTCACCCAGCTAGTAAGTGGCAGAGCCGGGACTTGAACTCAGCCCTCCCCTTGTCTTCTAATGATTATGTCATAGGAAATAGGAAGCAGAGCACTTGGGAACAGTCACCTTGAAGGCAGACTAAGTTTGGTTCTGAAACTTAGTGGCATGAGAATCTTCTGGAAGTATGTGGCTTCAGAAGGGAAAGCAGTGGATGGAGAAGCCCATGGAATGGGTTTTGGTTTCTCTCCTTGTTATTTTTGGGCCAGGAGGACCTGATGTGGAGAGAAGAGTTCCTGTGGCTTGGTTTGGTTCTTTGCTTTTGGGATCCATTGAGCCCCTGCTCTGCTCAGCAAGGAAAACAGCAGTGATTGGAGCAGCCAAACCACAGTTTGGGGCCTGGATGTGAGTGATCGGTACAGGTACAGGTGAAAGAGGCCCCACCTGGATTTGAATTCCACTGGTAGCGCCTTTTCTATTTCAGGGCTGCCATCCCATCTTGGAATTCTGTGGATGTCCGAGGGGAGGAAATATTGCTGGATCTAGTGTGTGGGCCCCTCTTTTATGATTTAGCATTTCTCTATCTCTTGCAGCCTTTTCCTAATTTCTTTTGTTCTGGTGTGAGTTTCCTCTTTCTCCCATCCCTTTGTTGCATTCCTGTCTTCCTGTGTTTTAATGAAGAATAAGATAAAGAAAAGAGCACTTACTGTGTACTGCATACTAGGAGCTGGGGATGCAAAGCTAAACATTGTGGACCCCACCTTTGGGACTGCACATTCTGAAGGTGAGGGAGATGTGCCCACACATGATTGGTGTGCTGTGATGGCAAGAGTACCAACCACCATCACTGTGTAAAGCATGTAAAGAAAATCCTGCAAGGAGTGGAGGATCCTGGGCACCTAGGCTGGGGATGCAGACAGTGGCCAGGGAAGATGTGGGGAAGGAGGTGCTGTCTGGACCAGGTGTCCAGAGATGAATGGGAGTTATCTTGGCAAAAAGGAGGTGGATGAGTTTTTAAAAGCAGCTTCATGGAACAGTGTTAGGGATAGAAATCACTTGTTTTTTGTTGTTTGTTTGTTTCATGAATTTGATTGATCAAAGACACTTAAAAATACAGAAAATACTTAGAGGAAAGTGTCTGACACTTGAGAAAAGACCTTAATACATGGTCTCTGTTGTGTTGTCATTATTTAGTAGTAATCATAATAATATTTAGCAGATTTTGGCCCTGGGCAACAGAAAAATAAAAGCATTCCTTGGCTTGTTGTACCAGAAGCTGAAGCAGCTAGTCTGGGTTTGAGCATGGAAAAAGCCATACATGAACACCATCTCATTCAGATCTTGTGATGCTTAGGCGTGAAAGCGTTTTTTAAATTCTTCTCGTGTTCAGCATTCTCCTCAATTGTTAAATTGTTAAAGCAGCCTTTAGCAAACTTATCTAGGTGCTGAATTTGTAAATATAAAAGAGAAAGAGTTTCTTTTCTCTATTTTAACAGACAACACTGTTTCATAATTTCATTTTGGAGATGATTTAGCTTTGGCTATTGTTTTAATCTCACAAGCCTTGCCTTATATAAATATAGAACAGAAATACTGTATAGCGAGTGTTGCAGGAATTAATCGACCTGCTTTACGCATTTGCTTGACACTGCTCTTGAATATACCCCACGAGTTGGCTTCCACCATTGCCACCATTCAACAAGATGTTGACGGTCTTCATTCTTGAACCATGGCTTTGTCAACCATCCGTAGGAGACCCATTTCAGCTGCTGATGGTATTTCTACTCCTGCATAACAATTTAGGAGAAATCAAGTGGCTTAAAACGACTCCCATTTATTATCTTACAGTTCCATAGGTTGGAAGCCTGGGTGGGCTCTGCTGAGTTCTATGATCATCATTAGCACAAGGCTGAAATCAAGGTGTCACCTAGGTTAGCTCTTATCTGGAGGCTCTGGGAAGAATACTCTTCCATGTTCGTTCAAGTTGTTGGCTGATCTCAGTTCCTTGCAGCTATAGGACTGAGGTTTCTATTTCTTTGTTGGCTTTCAGTCCAGGGCATCTTGCAGCTCCTTCAGGCTGCCCTCATTCCTTTTGACACAGCCTGCATCCATCTTCAAAACAGTGCACTGAGTCCCTCTCAAGCTTCAGCTTTCTCTGATTTCCCTTTTTGTCACCCGTTGGAGGAAGCTCTCTGCTTTTAAGAGATTTGTTTTATGTATTATTTTTATATAAAATCAGGAACAGTAAGTTTCCAAGAGATGTTGGAAGGAGGCAGGAGGGCTGCATCTCATTTGCATTTTTAGAAGGAATTATTTCTAAGTGACAGCTGGTGGTAACAGAATGACAGTGAACTGGAATTGAGAGATGAGGGTTCAAGCCCTGATTTTGGGACCATGTGTCTAGAGAGCAGTGGGCACGTTTCCTGGGCCTTGATTTCACCACCTATAAAATGAGACAGCTGGGCTCTTGGGGTCATACTGTTTTTCTTTTCTTTTCTTTATTATTTTTTCTCTTATTCACGTGCTCTCACTCTGCCTTCCGCTCACAGACCTTGCTAATCAACCATCCTCTGTTCCCTGCTGAGCCTGGATGCAGTCCTAGAATCCTTTTGACATGGCCCTCCAGGAAGTCACCACCAACCCACTGGAGTTGGCACAGGAGATGAAACCTGTGTGTCATCCCAACACTTGAAGGTCCCATTTCATCCTAAATGCTATGATTCTCTGAAATGATAAATTATCATCTTCTTTGGCCAAAAAGACATCTATAGAAGAGCCAGTTGGCCTTTTCTTTACTTGTCATACAGACATCTGGGGAGTGGGTTCAGTTTTCAAGCCACAAATTGAGGTGTGCAGAAAAAGTCACTTTTTTTTCTTCTAATTGAACTTAATTTCTCATTTGAGCCCTTGTTCTACCAAGTTACTGAAGTGAAATCCATGGATTTGTGGTGCTCTCTCTGGCTCTCCCTGGAGTTGTATGCAGTTCCAAGGACCTACATAGAGCCAAGGCATGGTGGTGGAGGGCCTCTGGTGCCCTGCTGTCACCTGTCAGTGATGGTGTTTATGGAGACATCCTTGCTCCCAATCACCTTTGATTTTGTCTCGGAGAAACTGGGCCATGCTA
Organism: Homo sapiens; assembly: GCF_000001405.40. Lineage (NCBI taxonomy): Eukaryota > Metazoa > Chordata > Mammalia > Primates > Hominidae > Homo > Homo sapiens. The sequence continues at coordinate 54,271,870 of NC_000003.12, forward strand.
AGTAACAAATTCACTCCAAAAGCTCTGTGGAAAATATAAAAGTTACTTTGTTGCTTAGGCAAAGTCCCCAGTGGCTTGGGCAATTCTTCAGGGAGTCGTTTATCTAGATAGTGATCAGGGAGCGAGCTGTTTTCATCTTGTTTCAGTATAAAGCTTCTAGACACCCAGACAGGGAAGAGAGGACTGGAAGTTTCTTGAGTGTCTCTTAAGTGCTGGGTCTGGATGGGACACATACCTTCCCATATCCATGGGCTACAGCTGGACATGGCCCCGCCACCCCCCATCCACAAGGAAGCTGGTGTGTCGGGAGTGACACGTGTTAGGTGGGCATTACCAGTCACTGCCACCGTTGTTGATTGATTTTGAGTCACTTCTTTGTTTTCTTGTACATTTTGCCTCACCTACCTCAAGGCTAGAGCAGTTTTGCCAGCTCTGTGTGCTTCACCCCAGCTGCTTGCAGCCAGTGAGAGAAGCTTTCCATTCTTCCTGGACCTTCTGGGCTTGGGGAAGCTGTGGGGCCATCTATGGCTCCTTAGGCCACCTGTTCCACATGCATGTCTTTAGCATCAAATGTGCTGGTTGTGGGAGGACCATGGGACCTTACTGGCTTCCTACACTGCTTGGAGAACAGAAGGTGCAAGTGATCCCTGTTTTCAGGTTCATTAAACCTATTGTGGGGTTCTTCTGTTCCCCTCCCAGGGATGAGTGATGAGGACTCAGGGCTCCTTCCCACAGATGCTTGTCCCAGACACAGCTGGGTCTGGCTGCTTGGCTTCCCCCGAGAACTCTCCCTGAGCCCTCTGCTTATGACATTGCTTCACTTTTGTGACATCGCTTAATTTTTGTGATGTTGCTTCACTTTTGTCATATTTTATTCATCAGAAAGAAGGCACCAGGTCTAACCCACACTCCTGAAAAGGGGATTGCACAGAGGCACAAAGACCTCTGGTGTTTCCAGTCCGGGTAGACTGGCTGTCACCACTGGGGCACTGGTGGGTACCTGTGAGCTGATGAGTGGGACCAAACGGCTCTGGCCACCTTGGACCCCATTCCTCCCAGGCTTTGTCTCTCCCTGAGCCCTGCGCTTGAGAACATTAAAAGCCATGCCTTGGACCCCCTTGTTCTGAGTCCTGCCATGGGCCGTGAGGACAGCCGGCCACTCTTCCTGGTGAGCAGATTGTCACTCGGCTCCAGCTGCACGTCCAGCTCTTCCGCTGTTTTGCTCACGGTAAATGCGTCACTGGAGAAGGGAAGGTGGATTTTTGCAGTTCCACGTGCCTGGCACAAGGATATCATTTGGTAAGGAAACTTGTTGGAGAATGTGTGAAGGCCCAGGGTTTGTTCTTTCCTCTCTTCCAGCTGTGCTTACTGGCTGGAGAGAAGGGTTTGGATTCGTCTCGTTACTCTTGGCTGCTGGGCCCTTCTTCCTTTGTCGGCTGTTCAGAAGTGGGAAAATATATATTTTTTTCTCCCTCTCCTTCTTTGTCTCTTTGTCTGTGTCTGTCTGTCTGTCTCTCTCACGCACACACCCTCCATCCTCTGATCCCATTCTAGCTTCCCTGCTTTATTTCCCACTGATTTCTTTAATGCCCCAATCACATATAAACTAAACCATTTTCTGTTCCTTGCGTTCTGGCTCTTGGGTGGTCCTAGTTAACCAGCTTTCACAGGGCAGCGTTTCCCCTTTGGTGTGATTCACATTAAAGGTGAGACTTAGACGCTGTCTGAAGTGCAGGCAATTTACTCTGGCAGCAATCTCACAACACGGACAGCAGGAGCAGGCTGGTGGCCAAACACAAGGTCCAGATGACCACCCGACTGGGAAGGGTCTCCATCTGGCGACCGTTCTCGGAGTTTGAGGGATTCTTCCTCCTTTCTTACACCTGTACTCAGTCCAGGTCAGTTCCCAGGTGTTTCTTTCATAATGGAGCTTTAAGCTATTCTGGTAAGGGTGAGCTTTGTTTTAAGGTTTGTGAAAGTTGTGTCTGTGCTAGATGGCCTTATCTCTAGGGCAACTAGGATTTTGGGATCCAGTTGACATAGAGACCCAGTAATCCCTGGGCCAGGGCTGGAAATCCCAGGCCAGGTTGCATCATACTGCTAAGTGTGTAGGTCCTGTGAGATGTTTGAGTGGGCGTATGGCTGTCATTAATCTTATAGCCATGGTATCTCATAGTATACTACAGTGTGTCTTTGTTTGTGTTAGTCTACTGGAAATGACCTTCTCTTATGACTCTAACATTTACCCCATTCCTTAAAAAAATCTGCTGTAAAGCAATATTTACAAACAGAAACCTGGAAAATATACAAATATATATCTCTACATTTGTAGAATGATTTCTATGCATATATATATATATAAGAAATACGGAAATGTATAAAGTAGAAAGCAAAACCCCATAACTTTATCACCTGGCTGTAATCATTCTGATTCATTCTTATAGATTATTTTTCTTCTTTCTTTCTTTTTCTTTTCTTTCTTGCAACTCCCTGATATGATGAGAGATCCTTGAGGCCCACTTCAAGTGCAAGTCTCCTCAGACACCTTTTTATATCATTATTCCTAGCCAAAAGAGATGGTGTCTTTCTCAGTACCCCTAGAATGTTAGTGCTCCTGCTCGTCACTGTGTGTTCGGGGTCATTGTATTAGTTATCTATTGTATTGCAAATTACCCCCAAAATTATCTATTGTTGTATTGCAAAAATTACTATTGCAAAATAGTGGCTTAAAACAGCAGCCATTTACTATTACACAGTTTCTCTGGGTCAGGAGTCTGTATCCAGCTTTACTAGGTTCTCTGTCCAGGATCTCTGACAGGCTGCACTCAAGGTGTCAGCGGACTGCAGTCTCACCTGAAGGCTCGGCTAGGGGGGAACTGCATCCAGGCTCACGCATGGTCTGAGGGCTTCCAGGCCTTGCTGGCTCCCTCAGACCTTTGCCACGTGGGCCTCTCTGTTGAGCAGCTCACTGCATGGCAGCTGGCTTCCAGCAGAGTGACCAGGGGAGACAGCAAGAGAGCCTTTTTGTAATCTGATCTTGGAGGTGACATTGCTTCACTTCTGTCATATTTTATTCATTAGGAAGAAGTCACCAGGTCTAACCCACACTCATGGGAAGAGGGTTGCACAAAGGCATAAAGACCAGGAGGCAGGGACCACTGGGGTCCATCCAAGAAGTTGCCTGCCGCAGACAATCCTGCTTATGAGCCTGTGCTGGACTGCATGCCGTCTTGGGCAGAGCCCTGCCTTATCTTTATATGTCTAATGAGATCGTGTATCTTGTGCCTGATGGGCACTCAGAAACCCACTTTGCTGTTCCCTCTTTCGTCTCTCATAGCAGGCGCCCTCTTCTTGGCAGCCTCTGCCCCGGCCCACCTCTGTGCCTTTGCTGGATAAGTCGTCTCATGCCTTCAGGTCTCAGGGTGTGCACCCCTCCCCTAGGCAGGGAGTAGTTCTTGACCTCTTTTATGCCATCAACCACTTTGACAGTCTGAAACTTAGATTTTTTCTTAGAAAAAAAATTCAAGTTCAAAAACAATATGAAAGGCATAGAATTATAAGGAAACTCAATTATAATGAAATACAGCTATCAAAATATAAAAAACCCAGATTTGTGATATAATAATATATGTGCTTATTTAGTAACACCTTAAATAGCAAGATGTGCAGCAGTCTTAATTTCAAAATAGTGATGAGAATGAATGCTGTTTTGAGATACTGACAGACACTAAAAGGTGATAGGAAAGTATCTGATTTCTTTTTTTTTGAGACAAAGTCTCACTCTGTCACCCAGGCTGGAGTGCAGTGGCATGATCTCAGCTCACTGCAACCTCCGCCTTCTGGGTTCAAGCAGTTCTCGTGCCTCAGCCTCCCAAGTAGCTGGGATTACAGGTGCCTGCCACCACGCCTGGCTAATTTTTATGTTTTTAGTAGAGATGAGGTTTCATCATATTGGCCAGGCTGGTCTTGAACTCCTGACCTCAGGTGATCTGCCGTGATCTGCCTGCCTTGGCCTCCCAAAGTGCTGGGACTACAGGTGTGAGCCACTGCACCTGGCCGGAAAGTATCTGATTTCTACTGGGGATAAAGTTGCAGGTTCTTTTAATACTAATTTTATTTGTTTACTTTAAGAACTCAAAATTCAAGGAAATAACTACAATTCAGTGCAAGGTTATTAAAAATCAGGGTTGGATTCTTTCTCTGACATCCTGAAGCCCCGATTGAATGCCCCTCCCTGCAGGGATGGGTTGGCTGCCCACTGCACCCCTGAGCCCTCTACTCTTCCCAAATGAATGTGCCCTGCGCCCTCTCCCACTGCCCCCTTGTTGAGGAGTGAACAGTCAGCAGGGTTCACACTGGAAAGATGAAGATGGGATGAGAGAGAAGGAAGAGCAGTTTGATAAGAAAACGAAGAAAGAGGCCAGACGCAGTGGCTCACGCCTGTACTCCCAGCATTTGGGAAGCTGAGGCGGGCAGATCACTTGAAACCAGGAGTTCAAGACCAGCCTGGCCACCACGGCGAAACCCTGTCTCTACTAAAAAAAACCACAAAAATTAGCCAGGCGTGGTGGCATACGCCTGTAATCTCAGCTACTTGGGAGGCTGAGGCAGGAGAATTGCTTGAACTTGCGAGGTGGAGGTTGCAGTGAGCCAAGATCACGTGGCTGCACTCCAGCCTGGTCAACAGGGCAAGACTCTGTCTCAAAAAAAAAAAAAAAAAAGAAGAAGAAGAAAGAGAGAGCCATTAGAGAGAGTCCATGCTGATTGTACAAGAGAAGTTTGGTATTTTGAGGCAGGGAAAAGAGGAATTAGGGAGGGGATGAGAGGCAGAAACAGAGTGGCAGGGCTGGTATGGGAGAGAGGATGGTAAAGAAGTTTTTTTCTGTGCATTTCTTCCAGGTTAAGGTAAAGGTCCAAATTGTTTATTTTCTGGCTACCCAACTGTTGCGTCTAAACCCATCTCTAGGCTAGAGCTACACCCTGAGGCAGCTTTCCTTGATTGGGTTGCCCACTGATGACCAATGACGGATGACTGATGACTGTACACTGTGGTTGTTTATGTAGATGAGGGTTGATGAGCTATGGCCCACCGCAGGCATGCCGCTTCTTGTTGTACATCTCCAGTTTTCAAATTCAGGGCCTGTCCTTTTTCAGATGCTGTATTACTGGGCCCTGGTCCATGGCATGGAGGTGGCACATAATGACACAGACCCAGTGTACCATCCTGTCCTTCAGGCCTGGGCCAGGGAGGCCCCCACACGCTGCCCTGCAGGACTGGGTTGCTGCCATTCACATGAACGTCTGCCCTTTCCTCCCTTTTTAAAATCCCGCCAGTGCCTATGTCCTGAATGATATTGCCTAGGTTTTCTTCTAGGGTTTTTATGGTTTTAGGTCTTATGTTTAAGTCTTTAATCCATATTAAGTTAATTTTTGTATACGATGTCACGAAGGGGTCCAGTTTCAATCTTCTGCATATGGCTAGCCAGTTTTCCCAACACCATTTATTAAATAGGGAATCCTTTCCCGATTGCTTGTTTTTGTCAGGTTTATAAACGATTAGATGGTTGTAGATGTGTGGCATTATTTCTGAGGCCTCCGTTCTGTTCCATTGGTCTATATATCTGTTTTGGTACCAGTACCATGCTGTTTTGGTTACTGTAGCCTTGTAGTATAGTTTGAAGGCAGGAAGTGTGATACCTCCAGCTTTGTTCTTTTTGCTTAGGATTGCCTTGGCTCTACGGGCTTTTTTTTGATTCCATATGAAATTTAAAGTAGTTTTTTTCTAATTCTGTGAAGAAAGTCAGTGGTAGCTTGATGGGGATAGCATTGAATCTATAAATTACTTTGAGCAGTGTGGCTATTTTCATGATATTGATTCTTCTGTACATGAGCATGGAATGTTTTTCCATTTGTTTGTGTCCCTTCTTGTTTCCTTGAGCAGTGGTTTGTAATTCTCCTTGAAGAGGTCCTTCACATCCCTTGTAAGTTGTATTCCTAGGTGTTTTATTCTCTTTGTAGCAATTGTGAATGGGAGTTCCCTCATGATTTGGCTCTCTATTATTGGTGTATAGGAATGCTTAAAACACCAAAAGCAATGGCAACAAAAGCCAAAATGGACAAATGGGATCTAATTAAACTAAAGAAGCTTTTGCACAGCAAAAGAAACTGTCATTAGAGTGAAAAGGCAACATACAGAATGGGAGAAAAATTTTGCATTCTATCCATCTGACAAAGGGCTAATATCTAGAATCTACAAGGAAGTTAAACAAATTTACTAGAAAAAAACAACCCCATCAAAAAGTGGGCAAAGGATATGAATAGACATTTCTCAAAAGAAGACATTTATGCAGCCAACAAACATATGAAAAAAAGCTCATCATCACTGGTCATTAGAGAAATGCAAATCAAAACCCAGTGTGATACCATCTCATGCCAGTTAGAATGGTGATCATTAAAAAGTGAGGAAACAACAGATGCTGGAGAGGATGTGGAGAAATAGGAATGCTTTTACACTGTTGGTGGGAGTGTAAATTAGTTCACCTGTGGAAGTCAGTGTGGTGATTCCTCAAGGATCTAGAACCAGAAATACCATTTGACCCAGTAATCCCATTACTGGGTGTATACCCAAAGGATTATAAATCATTCTACTGTAAAGATGTGCACACGTATGTTTATTGCAGCACTATTCACAATAGCAAAGACTTGGAACCAACCCAAATGTTCGTCAGTAATAGACTGGATAAAGAAAATGTGGCACATATATACCATGGAATACTATGCAGCCATAAAAAAGAATGAGTTCATGTCCTTTGCAGGGACATGGATGAAACTGGAAACCATCATTCTCAGCAAACTAACACAGGAACAGAAAACCAAACACCGCATGTTCTCACTCATAAGTGGGAGTTGAACAATGAGAACACCTGGACACGGGGAGGGGAACATCACACACCAGGGCCTGTCGGGGGATGGGGGGCAAGGGGAGGGATAGCATTAGGAGAAATACCTAATGTAGATGACGGGTTGATGGGTGCAGTGAACCACCATGTCACGTGTATACCTATGTAACAAACCTGCATGTTCTGCACATGTATCCCAAAACATGTACCACACACACAAAAACACCAGTATTGACAGCCCAGCTACAGAGCAGACAAGAATCAAATTAGCATTCTTTAATGTACACGGATCCTGCGACGATACCTAATTCACTGCTATAAATGGACTTGTTTCCTCATTCCCCAAAGCTTTACTGTGCCTTTGTGAGGCTCCAACGATGGAGAGATTGGCTGTGTCTCTTTGATGACTCATTTAATTCCCAGTTTCATGAGTGGAATGCACAAGTCCAAGCAGGGGTGAGGTGCAGATTCTGACTAACGAATGGAAATAATTGAAACATTACGAGTGATTTCAGTGACACCTTTCTACCACTCATGGCTGCAGGCGGGTGGGCAGCAGTGACCTTCACTGTGTGTGTGGGAGTGAGGACCAAACGGGATGGCCCTACTAGTATGTATGCCCAAGGAGAGCTGAGTAATTTCCCCAGGGACTGAGGATTTATTAAATATTGGAATCCTGACAAGCTCCCTCTCTGTGTCTCTGGTACTACGCTCTTCCCAGAGATGACCTTGGCTACACTGAGACTGCACTTAGCTTGCACTTTGAAAATGGAGCTTTCATTTAAATGCCTTGTCTCCTTGTGGCGCAGGAAGGTTGGATTTTCAAGAACTTTCCATCTCTGTCCCCCTGTCTGTTACTGGAGAGCAGTATGTAGTGCCAGCAGCCCTGTTGTACCTACAGGCATGAGTGTCTGAGTAGAGCTCTGGCTTAGTCCTAATAATTGAAACCATTTCGAGTTCTAGCATCTTGTGCACAGAGCTGTCTCTGTTCTCAAAACGAGAATGGAGGGCCTTGTCTTGAGGGTTTGGGCTTTGAGTAGCTGCCTCAACTCCATGTGGTTGGTAGACTGTGATCAGCATAGGACCTGAGGTGTTGGTTTTGTTGTTGGTTTTGGTCTAGCCTGCAGCATCATTTTTACACGAAGCAAAGGTTCCCTAAACTGAATTTTATACCCTGTGTTTTCAGTGGTAGGGGCCAGCCTAGGCTAGTTCCACCTGTAGAGAATTCCAACAGTGATTTCTTTGATACAACTAAGCATAAGTGAAACCAACAAAGATGACTTGTTTGTTTGTTTGTTTGTTTATTTATTTATTTATTTATTTATTTATTTGAGACGGAGTCTTGTTCTGTTGCCCAGGCTGGAGTGCAGTGGTGCGATCTCTGCTCACTACAAGCTCTGCCTCCTGGGTTCACGCCATTCTCCTGCCTCAGCCTCCTGAGTAGCTGGAACTACAGGTGCTCGCCACCACGCCCAGCTAATTTTTTGCATTTTTAGTAGAGACGGGGTTTCACCATGTTAGCGAGGATGGTCTCGATCTCCTGACCTCATGATCCGCCCTCCTCGGCCTCCCAAAGTGCTGGGATTACAGGCGTGAGCCACCGCGCCTGGCCTGTTCGTTCATTTAATACATATTTATTAAGCACCTATGAGTCTTGGACCCAAGCTCTTTGCTGGTGGGGAGTAGGCAGAAACCCAAAGAAGTTCCTGTATTCATTAAAGTTCTAATGTAGTGTAGGGGGGACAGAAATGTGAGGGCCTGAACACTGTACTAAAAGAGGGAGAGTAAAGGAGTGTAGTCAGGGCAGGCCTCAGGGAGGAGGTGACATGAAAGCCTAGACTTGATTCCCCGCCACAGTTTGGAGCATGCCTGCCACGCAGCCTCATACAGTTTCCCCCTCAAGTTTAGCAATAACAACCCTTCCCGACTCTGTTCTCTCTTGTGCCCTTTGATCTCTTGCCTTTGAGCCTTTGCTTTGCTGTTCCCTCTGCATCATTCATTCCCTCTCGCCATCACCTTTCTTAGCTAACGATTCCTCCTCCTTTTTGGGTCTCAGCTTAGGCATCCCTTCCTCTGGGAAATGCCTTTAATGCTCAAGTCTAGGATGGAGCCCACTCCTGGAAACTGCCCACACACTCCATACTTCCCTTGCTATGGTGTTGAGCATACTACTTTCTTGCTTTTTTCCTTTATGAGGCTGTGAACTCCCAGAGAATGAGGACTGTGGCTATACTGTTTATTCCTCTGTCTTCAGCATCCACCCTAGAGGCTGGCACACTGGTTTGTGTTTATTGAATGGCATCATGTGCAAATGAGTGCTGGCTGAGGCCCTGGCTCCTAAACAACCTGGAGTGGAGAGGAGGAGGACAGCACCATGGGGAAGTGTGGGAAGCCGACAGTGTCCACAGGTGATTCACTCATCTCCATTAGGCATAAGGCGATGTTGAGCAAAACAGTATCAGGAACAGGGCCCCTGCCCTCCCTTGCCACTTGGAAGCCATGATTTATGGCACAGGAAGGCATCACTATATTTTTATGTAGATTCTTGCACATTTTGTGACTCAGTATCTTTTCCACTGTGTATCCAGATTGCCGAAAAACACAAGGCTACCTGCCTGTGTCAGACCACGTGGGAGCTAGGTATAGAGGCCTGGTGAACCCTCCCGGTGGCAGAGTGGATCATGAGGGGGAGGAAGTGCTGGGCTCTGAGGGGTGCAGGCAGACCCCAGAGCGCACTCAAACATGGCAGCTCTGTAATGAGGTGATCCTTCATTCCTTAAACTGCTGAGCGAGAGCTGTGCGAACAGATGTGTGCCCACCATGGTCACGTGGAACACCTCAGAGAGCCACAGAAAGGCCAGTTGGTGCGGTTATGTTTTATTGATGTCTTCCTGCCTCTGCACATTCTTGCTGGGAATAAATAAATTATATTTTATTGTATAGAATTAAAGCTGAAAATGATACAGCTTAAGCTCTGTATTCATGCAGAATATTAGGAGGTGAGCTGGATCTGAATCAGTGGCATTTCCTGGCAGTTAAGAATGGATGTTCAGTCTCCGTGGGTTTGATGTGACCAGTTGACAGGAAGTTCTACTGCATTGTACTGACAGGAGTTAACACTGCTCAGCAGATAGCACAGAGTGGAGGCTTCCTTATGTGTGTTAAAGCAAAGTGTTCATTGCTCCCTCTCTCCCGACATTTATAAAATTAAAAAGATAGTTTATTGCTTAAGTGGTCTCAGCAAATCAAAGCATGACTAACCACAGCAGTGATGACAACAAAGTGTATACTGACATAGAAGGCTCTTCATCACATAATTTGTAAAAGGCACTTCTTCATAAAATGGAAAACATATGACAGAATTCCAGTTTGTTAAAATGCATGTTGAACGCTGAGAAAAAAAATATTAAGCTAGGGGGTTTTGCAGGGTAGGTGGGAATGGAGAGTTGGTGGAATTGTCACTGAATTTTCTATGTCAAATATCTGTAATGTTTTTCAATGAATATTTATTAGTTTTTTAATAAATTAACATAGGTATAGAGATGCTTTGGAATTGAATAAATACAAGCTCATGATGCCACTTTATAAGACTAAGTTGACATGCTAAGAGGCCCTTGGATAGTAGCCATTAGCCAGCAACAAACCATCAGGTGTGAGGAAAGATGCGTCAAGGTAGAGACACCAGAGTACTATGTGGATCATTCTGGTGCTCCAGCACCCTCATGAGGGGTCAATGTACTTGTGGAGTTGAGGAATGGAAACTTAGAAGTCTTCATGTTACTATCACGTAGACTTCTAGACATCTAGTCTGATCTAGGAAAAGAAGTGACTGTATTCAGTGATGTTACTGTCCTTGTGATTCTTAAGTCACCAGGCTATGTGCTGGGCTCTGGGTATGCAATGAGCTTCATGAATTTACAGTGTAGTGAGAAGACATTAAAGCAGATACATATATAAGTGTATTACAAGTTGTGATAAGTATTATGAGAAAGAGCACAGGTTTCAATGTGAGAGAATAAAAGACATCACTTTCTGTAGGAATTAGCCCTCTAAGAAGAACATACACTTTTAGTTTTCGCTTTGTTTTTTTTTTTGTCATCAAATACAGTCATTATTAGTTGAATCACAAACCCTATCATAGTAGTTAGCATTGTTTGTGCTTGTAGATAATAAAAGTCTGTTATCAAATAGGAAGAAATACATGAGAAATAGGTCTTTATTCTTGAGGGTACATTTCCCTTTTGATGAAGCAGTTTCGTACTTTACATGATCCTAAAAGGATTTTTACTTTAAAAACAAAGAAGGAGAGATTGATTTGAGTTTTGAGCCAGCAGGACTTTGAAATGTGATTATAATTATAGGATACAAATTGCAGAATTTTAGTGAGAAGTAATGTTGTCCAAAGAGAATTGATAGGGAAGGTGGTGTCAGTGAAGCAGAAAAGATGCCAGTCCTGTTTTCCCAAGTTCTACTTTCTGATCCTGGCAGGGACAGCAGTGGTGGACTGCCCTGGGGTAAAATCCCTGCCCTCTGTAGGGTCAGAATTCTTTTTCTAAATGGGAAGAGATAGACTTTAAGGGTCCTCCCTCCATGGATATCTCCTGATGCTGTGAAATGTTTTTGGTCGCAGAATATAATGTGAAGTTGCATATCTGCACTCTTTTAGCAGAGTATTAAACATGAGAACAAGATATTTAATGGGCAAATGTTTTGAGCTTAGATACCTAACAGAGCAGATAAAATTCTTCAGGAAGTATTAATAACAAGAGGAAGAAATTGCTTTAGAGGCTTACTCTGTGTTTCTGGCTTTCATTGTAGTGTGATATTCTGGGGATATGATTTAATTGGTGAGGTCAGAAAGCAAGTGCAATGTGTGTGTGTGTAATTGCACAAGTTGGGATACATCACTGGTGAATCACATTCCCTTTGTCCGCTCAAAACCTGATAACGACAGTGTTGTTCTTGACCTTCTGACACCAGAGGTGTTTCTCTGTGTAGATAGAGGAAGAGGCTGCTGATTTTTTTTAAACTACTCCTCTGTCCCAGCACTTTGGGAGGCCGAGGCAGGTGAATCACTTGAGGTCAGGAGCTCGAGACCATCCTGGTCAACATGGTGAAACCCCGTCTCTACTAAAAATACAAAAATTAGCTGAGTGTGGAGTGCGTGGCTGTAGTCCCAGCTACTCAGGAGGCTGAGGCACGGGAATTGCTTGAACACAGGAGAAGGAGGTTGCATTGAGCCGAGATTGCACCGCTGCACTCCAGCCTGGGCGACACAGTGAGACTCCATCTCAAAAAACAAAAAACAAAAACAAAACAAAACTACTACTCTGATATATGTACTTACATATTAAAACCTTTTTCCCTTTTAAATGGTTAAAATATTTAAGCTAATGCTAAATGACGAGTTAATGGGTGCAGCACACCAACATGGCACATGTATACATATGTAACAAACCTGCAAATTGTGCACATGCACCCTAAAACTTAAAGTATAATAATAATAAAAAATAAAATTAAATTAAAAAAATTAAAAAAATTAAATAAAATGGTACAATTAAGTTTTGTACTGATGTTAATCTTATAGTTTTATAGGTTAGTTTTAATTTTATATTTGTAATATATTATATATTTTAGCTTTGTATTTGTTATATTGACAAATATACCACAATAACATATAATGTTAACTTTAGGAGAAGTTGGGTGAAGGGTATATGGGAACTCTATTCCCTTTACAGCTTTTCTGTAAATCTAGAATTATTTCAAATTCAATCTACTAAAGGAAAAATCGTATTAAAATGTCTTAATTTTAAGGATGACATCTAATATACTCTGAACAGTAAACATCTCTGTCTTGATGAACAGTGTGAGAATAAAGTGTAAAAAATGAATTTTGGTGGAATAGAGCTCCTTCGGTACCAGTACTTCTTAATAAAAATAGTCGTCCAATTACCTGCTGCAATAATTTTCTTAAAATCAGGATCAGAGACGGATATTCATTGCAGCATTGTTTACAAGAATAAAAGATGTTCTAAAATAAGGGATTGGCTAAATAAATGACACCTCTTCAGTATCCTGGAATGCTATAAAGCAATAACAATGATGATGTCCAATGTATTTGACATTAATAGTGCTTTCGATATGTGGAAAAGTATGTCATAAAGGAGTATATAAATATATACCTACGAAGATGGCCGAATAGGAACAGCTCTGGTCTACAGCTCCCAGCATGAGCGATGCAGAAGACGGGTGATTTCTGCATTTCCATCTGAGGTACCGGGTTCATCTTACTAGGGAGTGCCAGACAGTGGGTGCAGGACAGTGGGTGCAGCGCACCGTGCGCGAGCCGAAGCAGGACGAGGCATTGTCTCACTCGGGAAGCGCAAGGGGTCAGGGAGTTCCCTTTCCTAGTCAAAGAAAGGGGTGACAGACGGCACCTGGAAAATCGGGTCACTCCCACCCTAATACTGTGCTTTTCCAACGGGCTTAAAAAACGGCACACCAGGAGATTATATTCCTCACCTGGCTCGGAGGGTCCTACGCCCACGAAGTCTCGCTGATAGCTAGCACAGCAGTCTGAGATCAAACTGCAAGGCGGCAGCGAGGCTGGGGGAGGGTCGCCTGCCATTCCCCAGGCTTGATTAGGTAAACAAAACAGCCGGGAAGCTCGAACTGGGTGGAGCCCACCACAGCTCAAGGAGGCCTGCCTGCCTCTGTAGGCTCCACCTCTGGGGGCAGGGCACAGACAAACAAAAAGACAGCAGTAACCTCTGCAGACTTAAATGTCCCTGTCTGACAGCTTTTAAGAGAGTAGTGGTTCTCCCAGCACACAGCTGGAGATCTGAGAATGGACAGACTGCCTCCTCAAGTGGGTCCCTGACCCCCGAGCAGCCTAACTGGGAGGCACCCCCCAGTAGGGGCAGACAGACACATCACACGGCCGGGAACTCCTCTGAGACAAAACTTCCAGAGGAAGATCAGGCAGCAGCATTTGCGGTTCACCAAAATCCGCTGTTCTGCAGCCAGCGCTGCTGATACCCTGGCAAACAGGGTCTGGAGTGGACCTCTAGCACACTTCAACAGACCTGCAGCTGAGGGTCCTGTCTGGTAGAAGGAAAACTAACAAACAGAAAGGACATCCACACCAAAAACCCATCTGTACGTCACCATCATCAAAGACCAAAAGTAGATAAAACCACAAAGATGGGGAAAAAACAGAGCAGAAAAACTGGAAACTCTAAAAAGCAGAGTGCCTCTCCTCCTCCAAAGGAATGCAGCTCCTCACCAGCAACGGAACAAAGCTGGATGGAGAATGACTTTGACGAGTTGAGAGAAGAAGGCTTCAGACGATCAAACTACTCCGAGCTACAGGAGGAAATTCAAACCAATGGCAAAGAAGTTAAAAACTTTGAAAAAAAATTAGAGGAATGTATAACTAGAATAACCAATGCAGAGAAGTCCTTAAAGGAGCTGATGGAGCTGAAAGCCAAGGCTCGAGAACTACGTGAAGAATGCAGAAGCCTCAGGAGCGGATGCGATCAACTGGAAGAAAGGGTATCAGCAATGGAAGATGAAATGAATGAAATGAAGTGAGAAGGGAAGTTTAGAGAAAAAAGAATAAAAAGAAACGAACAAAGCCTCCAAGAAATATGGAACTATGTGAAAAGACCAAATCTACGTCTGAATGGTGTACCTGATAGTGATGGGGAGAATGGAACCAAGTTGGAAAACACTCTGCAGGATATTATCCAGGAGAACTTCCTCAATCTAGCAAGGCAGGCCAATATTCAGATTCAGGAAATACAGAGAACGCCACAAAGATATTCCTCGAGAAGAGCAACTCCAAGACACATAATTGTCAGATTCACCAAAGTTGAAATGAAGGAAAAAATGTTAAGGGCAGCCAGAGAGAAAGGTCAGGTTACCCACAAAGGGAAGCGCATCAGACTAACCGGATCTCTCGGCAGAAACTCTACAAGCCAGAAGAGAGTGGGGGCCAATATTCAACATTCTTAAAGAAAAGAATTTTCAACCCAGAATTTCATATCCAGCCAAACTAAGCTTCGTAAGTGAAGGAGAAATAAAATACTTTACAGACAAGCAAATGCTGAGAGATTCTGTCACCACCAGGCCTGCCCTAAAAGAGCTCCTGAAAGAAGCACTAAACATGGAAAGGAACAACCAGTACCAGCCACTGCAAAAACATGCCAAATTGAAAAGACCATCAAGGCTAGGAAGAAACTGCATCAACTAAAGAGCAAAATCACCAGCTAACATCATAAGGATAGGATCAAATTCACACATAACAATATTAACTTTAAATGTAAATGGACTAAATGCTCCAATTAAAAGACACAGACTGGCAAATTGGATAAAGAGTCAAGACCCATCAGTGTGCTGTATTCAGGAAACCCATCTCACGTGCAGAGACACACATAGGCTCAAAATAAAGGGACGGAGGAAGATATACCAAGCAAATGGAAAACAAAAAAAGGCAGGGGTTGCAATCCTAGTCTCTGATAAAAGACTTTAAACCAACAAAGATCAAAAGAGACAAAGAAGGCCATTACCTAATGGTAAAGGGATCAATTCAACAAGAAGAGCTAACTATCCTAAATATATATGCTCCCAATACAGGAGCACCCAGATTCATAAAGCAAGTCCTGAGTGACCTACAAAGAGACTTAGACTCCCACACAATAATAATGGGAGACTTTAACACCCCACTGTCAACATTAGACAGATCAACGAGACAGAAAGTTAACAAGGATACCCAGGAATTGAACTCAGCTCTGCACCAAGCAGACCTAATAGACATCTACAGAACTCTCCACCCCAAATCAACAGAATATACATTTTTTTCAGCACCACACCACACCTATTCCAAAATTGACCACATACTTGGAAGTAAAGCTCTCCTCAGCAAATGTAAAAGAACAGAGATTATAACAAACTATCTCTCAGACCACAGTGCAATGAAACTAGAACTCAGGATTAAGAATCTCACTAAAAACCGCTCAACTGCATGGAAACTGAACAACCTGCTCCTGAATGACTACTGGGTACAGAACGAAATGAAGGCAGAAATAAAGATGTTCTTTGAAACCAACGAGAACAAAGGCACAACATACCAGAATCTCTGGGACGCATTCAGAGCAGTGTGTAGAGGGAAATTTATAGCACTAAATGCCCACAAGAGAAAGCAGGAAAGATCCAAAATTGACACCCTAACATCACAAAAGAACTAGAAAAGCAAGAGCAAACACATTCAAAAGCTAGCAGAAGGCAAGAAATAACTAAAATCAGAGCAGAACTGAAGGAAATAGAGACCCAAAAAACCCTTCAAAAAATTAATGAATCCAGGAGCTGGTTTTTTGAAAGGATCAACAAAATTGATAGACCGCTAGCAAGACTAATAAAGAAGAAAAGAGAGAAGAATCAAACAGATGCAATAAAAAATGATAAGGGGGATATCACCACCGATTCCACAGAAATACAAACTACCATCAGAAAATACTACAAACACCTCTACGCAAATAAACTAGAAAATCTAGAAGAAATGGATAAATTCCTCGACACATACACCCTCCCAAGACTAAACCAGGAAGAAGTTGAATCTCTGAATAGACCAATAACAGGATCTGAAATTGTGGCAAAATCAATAGCTTACCCACCAAAAAGAGTCCAGGACCAGATGGATTCACAGCCGAATTCTACCAGAAGTACAAAGAGGAGCTGGTACCATTCCTTCTGAAACTATTCCAATCAATAGAAAAAGAGGGAATCCTCCCTAACTCATTTTATGAGGCCAGCATCATCCTGATACCAAAGCCGGGCAGAGACACAACCAAAAAAGAGAATTTTAGACCAATATCCTTGATGAACATTGATGCAAATATCCTCAATCAAATACTGGCAAACTGAATCCAGCAGCACATCAAAAAGCTTATCCACCATGATCAAGTGGGCTTCATCCCTGGGATGCAAGGCTGGTTCAATATACGCAAATCAATAAATGTAATCCAGCATATAAACAGAACCAAAGACAAAAACCACGTGATTATCTCAATAGATGCAGAAAAGGCCTTTGACAAAATTCAACAACCTTCATGCTAAAAACTCAAGAAATTAGGTATTGATGGGACGTATCTCAAAATAATAAGAGCTATCTATGACAAACCCACAGCCAATATCATACTGAATGGGCAAAAACTGGAAGCATTCCCTTTGAAAACTGGCACAAGACAGGGATGCCCTCTCTCACCACTCCTATTCAACATAGTGTTGGAAGTCCTGGCCAGGAGAAGGAAATAAAGGATATTCAATTAGGAAAAGAGGAAGTCAAATTGTCCCTGTTTGCAGACGACATGATTGTATATCTAGAAAGCCCCATCATCTCAGCCCAAAATCTCCTTCAGCTGATAAGCAACTTCAGCAAAGTCTCAGGATACAAAATCAATGCACAAAAATCACAAGCATTCTTATACACCAATAACAGACAAACAGAGAGCCAAATCATGAGTGAACTCCCATTCACAATTGCTTCAAAGAGAATAAAATACCTAGGAATCCAACTTACAAGGGACATGAAGGACCTCTTCAAGGAGAACTACAAACCACTGCTCAATGAAATAAATGAGGATACAAAGAAATGGAAGAACATTCCATGCTCATGGGTAGGAAGAATCAATATCGTGAAAATGGCCATACTGCCCAAGGTAATTTATAGATTCAATGCCATCCCCATCAAGCTACCAATGACTTTCTTCACAGAATTGGAAAAAACTACTTTAAAGTTCATATGGAACCAAAAAAGAGCCCGCATCACCAAGTCAATCCTACGCCGAAAGAACAAAGCTGGAAGCATCACGCTACCTGACTTCAAACTATACAACAAGGCTACAGTAACCAAAACAGCATGGTAGTGGTACCAAAACAGAGATATAGATCAATGGAACAGAACAGAGCCCTCAGAAATAATGCCGCATATCTACAACCATCTGATCTTTGACAAACCTGAGAAAAACAAGTAATGGGGAAAGGATTCCCTATTTAATAAATGGTGCTGGGAAAACTGGCTAGCCATATGTAGAAAGCTGAAACTGGATCCCTTCCTTACACCTTATACAAAAATTAATTCAAGATGGATTAAAGATTTACATGTTAGACCTAAAACCATAAAAACCCTAGAAGAAAACGTAGGCATTACCATTCAGGACATAGGCATGGGCAAGGACTTCATGTCTAAAACACCAAAAGCAATGGCAACAAAAGCCGAAATTGACAAATGGGATCTAATTAAACTAAAGAGCTTCTGCACAGCAAAAGAAACTACCATCAGAGTGAACAGGCAACCTACAAAATGGGAGAAAATTTTCGCAACCTACTTATCTGACAAAGGGCTAATATCCAGAATCTACAATGAACTCAAACAAATTTACAAGAAAAAAACAAACAGCCCCATCAGAAAGTGGGCGAAGGATATGAACAGACCCTTCTGAAAAGAAGACATTTATGCAGCCAAAAAGCACATGAAGAAATGCTCATCATCACTGGCCATCAGAGAAATACAAATCAAAACCACATTGAGATACCATCTCACACCGGTTAGAATGGCGGTCATTAAAAAGTCAGGAAACAACAGGTGCTGGAGAGGATGTGGAAAAATAGGAACACTTTTACACTGTGTGTGGGACTGTAAACTAGTTCAACCATTGTGGAAGTCAGTGTGGCGATTCCTCAGGGATCTAGAACTAGAAATACCATTTGACCCAGCCATCCCATTACTGGGTATATACCCAAAGGACTATAAATCATGCTGCTGTAAAGACACATGCACACGTATGTTTATTGCGGCACTATTCACAATAGCAAAGACTTGGAACCAACCCAAATGTCCAACAATGATAGACTGGATTAAGAAAATGTGGCACATATACACCATGGAATACTATGCAGCCATAAAAAATGATGAGTTCATGTCCTTTGTAGGGACATGGATGAAACTGGAAACCATCATTCTCAGCAAACTATCGCAAGGATAAAAAACCAAACACCGCATGTTCTCACTCATAGGTGGCAATTGAACAATGAGAACACACGGACACAGGAAGGGGAACATTCCACACCGGGGCCTGTTGTGGGGTAGCGGGGGGTGAGGGATAGCATTAGGAGATATACCTAATGCTAAATGACGAGTTAATGGGTGCAGCACACCAACATGGCACATGTATACATATGTAACAACCCTGCACGTTGTGCACATGTACCCTAAAACTTAAAGTATAATAAAATAAAATAAAAATATGTACCTACATACACAGGATGGATGGAAAACATCGTGGCAGGTTGCATACCAAAATACAAATTGTTGCTTTTAACTAGCCTGTGGGTTATGAGTGATCCTTATTTATATTTTGCTTATGTCAGTTTCCTACTTTACCTATCATGAACATATATTACTTGTTTAATAAAGAAAATAAAAATTCGTGTCTCCACCATCACCACACAAATTTAAAAAGCAGTTGCAGGAATGATTAATATCCTTTTTCTCAGATAGGCAATTAAAATGGCATGTCCATATGTAAATATTGTCTAAATTTTGTCCCTTTAAAGTAACCCTTAAGGCTACTTTTTCTTGAAATGCATCATCTTTTTACCTGTTCCTTTGATTTTCATTCATATTGGTGAAAGCGCAAATCACAGTTCATAGAACCTCTTGTCATTTTTGCTGTTGATGTTTGGTGGTAA
This sequence comes from Homo sapiens, assembly GCF_000001405.40. Taxonomy (NCBI): domain Eukaryota; kingdom Metazoa; phylum Chordata; class Mammalia; order Primates; family Hominidae; genus Homo; species Homo sapiens. The sequence continues at coordinate 54,291,519 of NC_000003.12, forward strand.
CTGAATTATCTGAGCCTGTAATCTTTTTTTTAAAAAAGGTAAGTGTTAATTACTATGGACTAGGAAAAAGTGTGCCTCTCCCCAGCGAAACAGAACAGAGCCTGGCGGGAGCAGTTGGTTTTCTGAAACTTTTATTCATAATATATGCTATCTTTTTGATAAGATTTAGTGGTAGGCTTCTGACATTGCCTAGAACCCAAACTGTGATCGTGGAGCAGGTGATGTCTGGTGGACATAGTTACTCTAGGAATGGGAGTGCTGAACAGATTCGAAGTGTAGTCTAGGGAAGGAACATTTACATTGATTCACTCATTCATTCAACTATTGAGTAAATTTCTGTTACGTGCTGAACACTGTGCTAAACATTTTGAAATGTAACACTTACAATCCAGTAAGGGAGATAGCATGCAGATAATTAATGGTAAGTAATTATTGACCAAAAAAATAAAGTTGAAAAACAACATTAGTTTGATGGAAAGCCCAGAAACAAACCCTCACAAATCTAGTCAGTTGATTTCCAGCAAGTGTGCCAAGACCTTTCGGTGGTAGAAAGAAAAATCTTTTCAACAAATGGTGTGGGGACAACTGCATAGCCACAGGCAAAAGAATGAAGTTGGACCCCTACCTCATACCATACACAAAAATGAGTCAAAAAACCTAAATGTTAGACCAAAGGCCCAAATTTAAGAGCTAAAACTGTAAAGCTCTTAGAAGAAAACATAGATGTCAAATTTCATGACCTTGGATTTGGCAATGAATTCTTAGATAATGACAGCAAAAGTATGAGGAATGAAATAAAAAATAAATACATTGGACTTCATAGAAATTAATTTTTTTGTGCTTTCAAGAACACTATCAAGAAAGTGAAAGGTAACCTAGAGAAAGGGAGAAAATATTTAGAAATTATATCTGATAAAAGACTTGTTTCTAGAATATACCAAAAACCCTTACAGCTCAATAATAAAAAGACAACACAATTTAAAAATGAACAAAGGTTCTGAATAAACATATATCTTCAAAGAAGATACACAAATGGCCAATAAGTACATGAAAAAAAATCCTGAAATAATTTGCCTCAGTGAGATATAAATTAAAGCCACAGTCAGATAACAACACTTCACATCCACTAGGATGACTATAACCAAAAAGTCAGATACTAAGTGTTGGCAAGGATGTGGAGGAATCAGAACCCTCATATGTTGTTGGTGTGAATGTAAAATGGTATAGCTGCTGTGGGAAACAGTTCAGTAGTTCTACAAAAAGTTAAATATAGAGTTACCATCTGACCCAGCAATTTCATTCCTAGGTATACACTGCAAAAGAACAGAAAGAAGAGACTGAAATAGAGACTGGCACAACAATGTTCTTAGCAGGATTATCCACAATAGCCAAAGGTGGAAACAGCCCGAATGTGCATCAACAGATGAGTGAATTAATAAAATGTGATATATGCATACAATGGAATTTTCAACCATAAAAAGGAATGAATTTTTCATACATGCTACAACATGGATAAGCCTTGAAAACATAATGCAAAGTGAAATAAATCAGACACAAAAGGACAAACATTGTGTGATTCTACTTATACGAAGTACCTGGAATAGGCGAATTCCTAGAGACAGAAAGTAGAATAGAGGTTACCAGGAACTGAGTGGAGGGGAGAATGGGGTATTATTTTTTTATTTTCTTTTTTATTTCAGTAGGTTTTTGGGGAACAGGTGGTGTTTGGTTACATGAATAAGTTCTTTAGTGGTAATTTCTGAGAATTTGGTGCACCCATCACCTGAGCAGTATACACGGTACCCGATGTGTAGTCTTTTATCCCTCACCCACCTTACAACCTTTCCCCAGAGTCCCCATAGTCCATTATATCATTCTTATGCCTTTATGTCCTCATAGCTTAGCTCCCATTTATGAGTGAGAACATAATGATGTTTGGTTTTCTATTCCTGAGTTACTTCTCTTAGAATAATGATCTCCAGTTCCATCCAGGTTACTGTGAATGCCATTACTTCATTCCTTTTCATGACTGAGTAATATTCTATTATATATATATATATCAATATATCACATCCATGCAGTGGAATACTATTCAGTAATAAAAAGGAACAAGCTAGAGGCATACACAACACCCACAGATGAATCGCGAATGCATCATACTGAGTGAAAGAAGCTAGAATCAAAGGGCCACATTTATTTTTATTTATATGACATTCTGGAAGAGGCAGATCTGTTAGGACAGAGAATAGATCTGTGGTTGCCAGAGGTTTGGGTTGGGGAGTGATTGATTGCAAAGGGGCTCCTTGAGGGAATTTTCTGGAGTGATGAAACGGTTCTGCATCTTGATTGTGGTGGTGGTTACACAACTCTGCATTTATCAAAACAAATAAAATTGCACACCCAAAAGAGTGCATGCCTGAAACATTTAAATGCATGCTTGGGGGTAGTGGAAGGCCCCCAGAAAGGAGGGGGAGAAGGAGAAATTTTTATTTTAAGAATTAGATGTTTTGAAAACTTGTTTACATTACGTTAAAGCTGATCCCATAATTTGGAAGCAGTATGAAATGGCAGAATAAAGAAGCTGGGATTTTGTACTTTCTAGCAAGGGAAACCCTGATATTCGCCAGTGCTTTGGGAATTGATGAGTAAGAAAGACTAAGTAACAGCCTGTCCCACAGTGATCATCTCTGCCACCCTGTGTTGTCATTTTAGATACTGTCTTTTTAGGGGCCCATTTGCACTTGGTCTTGCCCAAGGATCAAGGAAAGTATTTCTGCCACTTTCCAAAGAAGCCTTGCATAACAAATGGGTATGCGACAAAGTTTTTCGAGGGAACAGGTTCAGTTTAGGCCCCCTGGTGACAAGAAGACGTCTGTGCTGTCCTCATGAGCTATCCTCCTGCCCACCAGCCCTCTGCTTGTCCTCTCCTTTGAGTGGTTGCTCATTCTTCCCTTTCACTTGCTGCTGGAGCCACTGTGGGAGGAAAAAGAGTAGACAAGGAAAAATGCCAGGAGAAACCTTGCCTTTGTGCATGAAGCTGGTGGTGTGGGGAGTGTGTGGACTTGTTCCCCACGCTTTGCATGAAGTCTGTGTTCAAATCTAAAAACAACACACATGTGAGTTTCCAGGCCTTGGTCATTTTATCGATTTTCTGTCACCCTAACTTTCTCTCCCTCACATCACCTTGACGGGCATTTCCAGTGCAGGGTGGTGCTAGTTTAGGGAAAAAAAATAAAGAGATAGAGCTGGAGATTGCCTGGACTGCAGAGGAAGGCAGCAGACCTGCTGTGGAGTGTGGTGATCATTGGCTCTTGCCACTGCTGGTGGCCTTAGTGGCTTCTCTTGCTTTAGAGAAGTCAGGGGTTTGAAATGTAGGGAGAGACTGTATGTGGCTTTTTCTCCTAGTTTGAGTGAAGCTACACCAGATCATTGCCTTGCTTCCACTTTTTTTTTTCATGTTTGTCTACCTATTCATTCTCATCCACCTATTCACTCAGCAAGTCTTTTGAAGAAATAAATCCATTTTGTGCCAGTCAAAGGCTGTATGGATGATGAAGAAGGAGACACAGAATGAGACACATCTTCAGTGGAGACACATAGAGAAGAGGTGATTAGAAAACCCTGGAGGTGTAGCGAGAGCTATGCCGAGAAGAGTTGGGGGTGCCAAAGGTGCATGGAGGTGGTGAGGTGTGCTTTTTGAGGCTGGGGATTCAAGAGGGTAGACATGACTTGTAGGAGACAGGTAGGAGATGAGGGAGTGTGGAGTATGGAGAGCTTTCCAGATACCATGAACTGTGTGGGGCCTCTGTAAACCAAAGGTATCTGAAACAGGTCTCAGTGAATTTAGAAAGTTTATTTTGCCAAGGTTAAGGACGTGCCCATGACACAGCCTCAGAAGGTCCTGAAGACGTGCCCAAGGTAGTCGGGGCACAGCTTGGTTTTATACATTTTAGGGAGACATGAGAGATCCATCAAATATATGTAGGATGTACCTTGGTTCAGTCTGGAAAGACGGGACAACTCAAAGTGAGGAGGAGGCTTCCGGGTCATAGGTAGATGAGAGACAAACGGTTGCATTCTTTTGAATTTCTGATTAGCCTTTCACTGAATGCACAATTTACAGGAATAGTCACTTATGCCTTAGTTAGTCTAGCTTAGTGAAATAGTAAGGCCGAGGAAGCAATCAGATATCCATTTGCCTCATGTGAGCAGAGGGATGACTTTGAGTTGTGCCTGTCCCTTGTCCACAAAGAATTTCCTTGTGATAAAATTGTGAGGGATCCGTAGCTTTCTATAAATTTTTGTAGTTATCTTACTTAGGAATAGAATGGGAGGCAGGTTTGCCCAATGCAGCTCGCAGCTTAACTTTTCCCTTTGGCTTAGTGATTTTGGGGTCCTAAGATTTATTTTCCTTTCATACCTCCCTTCCCAAGTTCAAGGAATGACTGGGCTTTGACAAAAGGGTAGGGAGCCCAGGGTGCCTGGAGCATGAGGGGAGGTTGGCAGGGTTCAGTTGGAGGACGTCCCTTGGGCTGTGTCCGCCTTTGCCCAGCCTTGGAAGGGGATGAACTTTAGGGTGCACGTCCCAGTGGCTTTATGGAGGGAGGACTGGACATGGCAAGGCCGGGATGACATTTGGAAGACGCCTGGGCACTGGGGTAAGAGATGGATGTGAATTGAACTTGGCAGTCAGAATGGTTAGAGGTCAGTAGATTCCAGTGAAGTCCAGTGGGAGAACCAACCAGACCTTTTCCAGAGGATGTCTTTTGCTTTCTTCCTCTCCCTTCTCCTCCTTTTCTCTCTCCCAGCCACCCTGATGTGTTGGTTATGTAGGAAAGTACAGCTGGACTTGTTGCTTTCTCATTTCTCACCCTTGGCTTCCATCACATAGACCCAGGTCTGTTGGAGAAGGAAACTTACTAACCTAAGATGAATGAGTTTGGCCACAAGGAGTTCTGCATTTCCCAGGATAACATTTGTCTTTATTTTAAATCATCAAAACAGCATTTAAGTGAGAACAGGGATCCGTGCTCGCTTTTATTCACTGTGTTTTCCAATTGCTCACATTATCCTCTAATAACGGGATGTGTACACGATATGATATAGAGGCCACTGGGCTGCAGAGTAGTCATTAGCTTTCCCTCAAAAATAAAAAGAGAGGCTGCCGTTTGAATAATGATCCCTGGCTGTTTTCTTTGTACACGGGCCATTTCCTTAATTAGGTTTCAAGCTTCATCTCTCTTGTTTTTAGCTAAAAAGCCAACTGAGAGAAGGAGACAAATTGTGTTGTGGGGAAAAAGGAGAGAAATGTGTTCCATGCGAAGTAAGGGGCAAATGAATAAAACGGGAGATTAGTGGACACCCTGATGTTCAAGCTGAGTTTGGCAGAGCTGGGCTTGTGTCTGGGATGAACTCAGCGTCTTTGGAGGTCAGGGGTACCTTTCTGCATACCTCAGGGAATACCTCCTCCACTTCCTACCTAGCGCTTTTGATCCAGGTCTCAGAATTTGTCTCTAGGGTCACCTTTCCCTTCACTTTACCTTGAAATGACCTTGGCAGTGTATCTTTTAAACATGCACTGTTAGGAGTCAGACAGCCTGGATTTAAATCTTTCCCTTCTACAAGCCAGCTCTGTGACCTTGGGCAAAGCCTGCCATTCCCTGTAGCCCCAGGTTGTGCTTTGGTAAAATGGAACTGATAATAGTAGCTACTTCACAGGGTTGTTGTAGGACTAAACTACTAAACTACTTTGTTTTTACGTGAAGGGCTTGGGACAGTTCATGGGTCAGGGTGAATGCTCACTTAAGCCTAGGGCTGCTGCAGCTGCTGTGGCTATTATCCTTATTATTATTATTAGCCCCTGAAGGAGAGTCCTGGTGGGGGGTGTAGGACAGATGCAGGATTGTTACTTCATAACCCAACTCTCAGTTAGGAAAAGCGAGTCGGCATGCAGGGGCCATAAATTACAGAGAACATTGACAACCTCGTTTATATTTTCCCAGAATGCTATGTTTTCTCACCTGTTTTTAACTTCTGAGCTCCCTGAGATCCTGGAGATGGTTCCTGTTTTGAGTTTGCTGAATATGGTGGCAAGTAACTTTGAATTTGGACTGAGACCTTGGTTCATAACCTGTTCCATCTTCTCAAATCAGGGTGCTTTGTGTTTTAATGTTGGTTCCCCTCTCCCCGCCACCAAAAAAAAAAAAAAAAAGAGTGAAGAAATGGTAACACCACTAAGAAGCTTTCCTGACCTCCCTAGGCAGGAATTCTTCCTCACTCTCTCAGTGAGTCTCCCCTTACCCCCATTTCTAGCTGCCTGGTGCATGGGGGCTATGGAGATGAAACCCACAATCTTTCCTTTTAAACTCAAATTGTGGTCCATGGACCACTAGCATTAGTATCACACAGAAGTTGTTAGAAATGCCAAATCCCCAACACCACCCCAGATCTGGATCAGAATCCAAATTTTAACAAAGCACCTCGGGAGATTCATATGCATATTAAAACATGCCAAACTCTAGGATATCTCACTCCCATTGGGAAGATGAATGAGCGTAAGCCAAAGAGTATATACCAGTGTGGTAGACCAAAGTGTCGCCCCAGGGAATGTAGGGACTTCTTACAGGCAGTGGCCCTTGATCTGGGTATTGATGGATGAGTGGGAGTTGGCTAGGAAGAGGGGAGAGTGAGGGCAAATAGAAAGACGGACCTCTACACGAAAGAATTGGAGGTACAAAGCCAGTGGTGGCAAAATAATGTGACCTGCTTTTACTTTTCTCAACTTGGTATTTATGGCTTCCAGGATCCTTTCTAGCACTCACACAGGGCATGTGCCGGGTTACGAGAAATAATTTTGAACAATGCAGCAGTGTTTTGTTTCTAAAATTCTTACATGTGAACTTCAGGTTCATAAAACCGACAGACGAGAGTTATTAGTACTTTGCAGTGAGTTTACTCAACTTTCAGATTAATTCCTTAGGATTAAGAAGGAAGGAGTAGGCCGGGCGCAGTGGCTCATGCCTGTAATCCCAGCATTTTGGGAGGCCGAAGTGGGTGGATCACTTGAGCCTAGAAGTTCAAGAGCAACCTGGGTAACATGGCAAAACCTTGTCTCTATAAAAAAGTACAACAATTAGCCAGGTGCGGTGGTGCATACCTGTAGTCCCAGCTATAGCTACTCAGGAGGCTGAGGTGGGGGGAATTACCCAAGCCTGGGAAGATTGAGGCTGCAGTGAGCCGTGATCATGCCACTGCACTCTGGCCTAGAAGGAAAGTGGAGGCCAGGTGGCTCCAGAAGGCAGTGGCTCAAACCTGCTACTCAGGAGATTAGTTGGGAGGATTGCTTGAATCCAGGATGTCGAGGCTGCAGTGAGCTGATTACACCACTGCACTCCAGCCTGAGCAACAGAGCAAGACTCTGTTTCTTAAAAAAAAAAAAAAAAAAAAAAAAAAAAAGAAGAAGAAAGAGGAAAGAGTATGGATGGGCTTTGAAATCTTCCATTTGGGTCTGGATCCACAGTCTGCCATTTGCAAGAAGAAATGTGGGCCAGTTCGTAGCCTCTGCAGTCTGTAAGTTTTAATTTGTGAGATGTACCTTTTGATACCTCACTGGCTTGTTGTGAGAACTTGGTTGGTTTGTAGTGGGAGTCATGAAATTCATGCGTCTTTACCTTCAGATGTGTGGTTCCATTATTAAAAAAAAAAAACCAGTGCTTTATAGCCTAACTGAAACATAGCAGAGGCAGGGAGGAGGGTACAGGGCCCCACACCACACTCCTGGTCCAGGACTGTGTACCGTGGCACTGCAGCTCCTCAGAGAGTCCCAGTCCCGCTCCGCTAGCCTAGCCACTCTCTCTTCTGTTGGCAAGGGGAGTGTTTGCGCAAGTCTGGGTGCTTCCTCAGCTGAAACATTTTCAAAGTTAATTTTCACTTTCGGTGTTTGGCTGATGTTCCAGTCTTTTCCTTTTTCTCTGGTTAACCTTTTGTAGCCCATCACTTGTGTTTTATGAAAGATGAATGGATTAAAGGAAGCGTAATGGTAACAAGGAAATGGAATAGCTAGAAAAGCATTCAATTAACGAGAGAGCCCACGGAACACAAAATGAATGCAAGAAAAGACAGATAAATTCAGGGCTCCTTTATTAACTAGAATTCACCTTGAATTCAGAAAAGGGAACTTTTTCAGTAAAGGATTAGTGACAAGATTTGAAAAGCGTCCCCCGGGGAAAAGGATTAACAAAAGGAGACATTATAGAATGAAATAGAAGTGAATTAACACATCGATTTTCTGTAAGGGTTAGGAGACACAAGATTTATTTGGAAGATAAATATTTGGTAATTGAAACCTGTAAGCGTTTTGTTGCTGGTTTTTACCCAGTGAATCTGTGCCTGTGTAGTGAAAACCTTATGGCTGATGAACGTGGGATGGTGTAGACCCCCTAACAATGCTGTCCGACCTCCTTCTCTCTCAGCATTTGCTGCTCGGATGTATTTTTCCGCTTCTTTAGTAATTCAAAGGATTTTCTCTCCGATCAAAGAGGTTAGTTTAAAAGTTAAATGAGAATATGGGACCAGAAGATAAAATCATTATTTTTAAACAGGGGAAGTTCTTTCTTTTAATAAGGACTTCTATTAGATATTTGTTTAACTTTTTAGCTTCCTGTGCTTCAATTGAGTTCCATGAAAGCATTTTTGTTGTCTACAGAGGAGTGTTTTGGGACTTGTCTTGTTGGTTGACAGCAGCAGTTTACCTGATGGGGGTTTCATAGGATGTGATGCCCTGTCACCAGGTGATGGACTTGATGTAGGAAGTGCCACCAGCAGTCTCTGCCACGTGGCATATTCTCCCAAATGGCCCTTGCCATTCCAGAGGATGTTGGGTTGCATTGTCTGACTCATTAATTTACAAAGGATTATTTATTTTCTAATGCTCTATAGCTTCTTCGCCTTCAGGATGTGGGCTGTGCTGCTGAACGGAGAGGGGTAGAGCTTGTAAGCCCGTGACTTAATTCTAATCCGGTCCATTGTTCATCTTCATTCATGCCTTTTCTCCCTGTTTCCTTCTGTTAATATGGGAAATTGATATCTGATTATATATTTGGCTTTTGACTATGCTGCTTTCTGAGTATAAGTATGACCAATAATGTCATTGTCACCAATTCTGATTTTGGATGATCAATTGGGTCAGTGGGGTCTTTTTAAAGTAACTTAACCATGCTGGGTGTGGTGGCTAACATCTGTAATCCAAGCACTTTGGAAGACTGAGGTAGGAGGATCACTTGAGGCCACACGTTCAAGACCAGCCTGGGCAACAAAGCGAGACTCCATTTCTACCAAAAATTTGTTTTAAAAAATTAGCTGGGCATGGTGGTGTGCACCCATAGTCCCAGCTACTCAGGAGGTTGAGACCAGATGATCATTTGAGCCCAGGAGTTTGAGGTTGCAGTGAGCTGTTATTGTACCACTACACTCTAGCCTTAGTGGCAGAGTGAGAACTGTGTCCCTTTAAAAAAAAAAAAAGAAAAAATAAAGGATAAGTTAAGCCTGGGCGACATAGTGAGATCTTGTCTCTATCAAAAGAACAAATAAATTAGCCAGGCTTGGTGGTGCAGATGTGTAGTCCCAGCTACTGAGGAGGCTGAGGCAGGAGGCCCACTTGAGCCCAGGAGTTTGATGTTACAGTGAGTTATGACTGAGCCACTGCACTTCAGCTTGGGCAACAGAGCGAGATCCTGTCTCAAAACAAACAAACAACAACAACAACAAACAAACAAACAAAAGACAGAAAAAAAAAAAAGAGGCCGGGGATGGCGGCTCACACCTGTAGTCCCAGCACTTTGGGAGGCCAAGGCAGGCGGATCACTTGAGCTGAGGAGTTTGAGATGGCAATGACCTATGATCATGACACTGAACTCCAACCTGGGTGACAAAATGAGACCCTGTCTCAAAAAAAATAAGTACAATAAATTACAATTATTTACATTCAGAGATAGGAAAAAGAAAAAGGAAACATATTTAATACACACCTATATAATAATTTTAGTAGGAAATCATTTAATATTATGAAAGTTGCAATTACTAGTTGGAGTTTCCAAAGAAAATGTAGTTATCCTACCTATTGAAATAGTCCATGATTTCCCGTACTGGTTCCACTTTTCCTTGTTCCCAGATTTTATCCTACCCCATGAAACACAGCAGGCACATGTGCACACATGGGCGCACACACACACATAACAAACACTTGTCCCAGATTTCTCTGGGAGGGAGGAGGAAGAGAGTAGATGATTCCCTTGAAACTATGTTGATTTTAGATTTACCGATGTTTGGAAAAGTGACACCTATGACTCAGGCAGATACATGTCTCCCACCTGACCATTGTTTAAGATACCTTATGTAGATCTGATGTACATTATAGAATATATAATTCAAGAGAGGGAAAATAAAGTACTTCTCTGAAATTGAACTACAAAAGCCTGTCAAACAATTATACAGGAAACTTTAAACAGTTCTTGCCTCACGTTGTTACTTTTCTGATTCCTGATCTAGCATCTGTAAGTTAGCATTGGTGTGTAACAGCACCAAGCTGAGATGTGCTGAAAACCCTGAGTATTGCATTCAATTTTATACCAAAGCTAGGTCCTTTAGCGACACATTCTCCTCTCACTGGTAAAATCTTTCAGTCAAGGCTTCTTGCCTTACAATTTCTCCACCGGAATAATTCCAGCATCTCTCAGGTACAGTAAAATGGATGTGTGGCCTCTAGGATTGTTAAGTCTCTGTGTGGCTGCTAAGGATTGAAGATGTGGAAGTGGTTGGTGTAGCTCAGGGGTCTGTATTTAAAATACCCTTTGTTTGTGGAGGGGACTTACCATCTTACCATTCAGGTATTTGGAAGGTGGTGTTTTTCAGGTGAATGAGTTACAGTAGAGCTTCCAGGGAAAAATTCGGCAAGGTCCCAAGTATAAGATGGAAAGAGCGCTTGGTGGATCCTCTTCTAATTCTTGATCTCGAGTTTGGTCTTCCAGGCTGTTTGCTGAAAGCATCACTGCAGCTGAGCGTGCACTCTTTCTCCACATACTCTCACCTCCTCATTGCCTGTGAATAATTTTAAACACTGAAAATGAGACTGCCTTTCCCAAAGTCTGATGAGGAAACCATGCCCATGTCCCAGTGAGCTTCAAGATGGGTTGACATTTACTGCTTATCCCTGTGACCTCACCCTCTCCTGTCTGTCCACTCCTCCTTCATCTGTTTCTCTCTTCTTCCTCCTCCATCCGGTTGTACACGGAGGCATCTGCTTGGGGCTTTGGTCCCGGGACCTGTGATCTCTCCTCCCTGCTCTCATCTCCTCTTTCTGCCTCTTGCCCTCTGTTATTGAGGGTGATCTTATTCATCTTCATGCTGCTTTTACTCCAGGATCCTCCGAGTGTAAGGTGTGGGCACATGACATTTTCCATGCCTGGGAGTCTCTTGTCTCTGGTCTTTCCCTCTCCTGTGACCTCATCCTTTCCGTTGTGGTAACAGCAGATCCTCAGAGAGGCCTTTGCTCTCCATCTAACTTCATTTTTGTTAGACTCACAGGACTTGATGCTATTTGTCATGGTGTATAATGACATGTGTGTTCTGTGCTTTTATTTGGTTGACATCTCCCCAGTAGATTCTAAGCTCTGGGTGGATGGAGAGCACATTGCTTTTCTTCTCTGGAGTAGTCCTACCACTCAGCATAGTATCTGGCACATAGTAGGTATTTAGGAATTATTTATTGAGTAAGACATCAGTGGTTGACTTGATTCTATAGTCTTTTCTGACAGTGTCAGGGCATTGTTGAAAGCGAAAATTTTCTTCTAATTGTATTTAATTTCCTGATGGAAATTGTTTTGTTGGTTTGTTTACTAAGAAGAAATTAATTCAGCAGAGTTTCTTGTTTGACTGGACGAGTGCATATATCAAGTCTCTCACTGGAGCCATTTTCAAAAGCCTATTTTTTCCAGCAGAGTATGTTTGCACATATGCACTGTGCTATGAAATGTATGACTGGAGTCTGTGAGTTTGGTGGCCTTTCTGAAGTTTCAAAGCATGATACCTCACCCAGGGTGTTAACTCTGCAAGCCTCAGTTTTCTCATCTCTCAGGAGTTGTGCCTGTCTCAGGAGCCGTTGTGAGAAGGCTATGATGCGTGAAAACACTTAGGGGAGACATGGCTCACGGGACATGCCCAGCTGTTATTAGCTGCTATCTTGATCGATTAGAAGATGGATTTGGTGTGCATCTGCTGTCAGCCTCATCAGTGACTTTTTTTCTGTTTTTTTTTTTTTTTTTTTTCTATTGCTTAGTGCTGCTCAGCGGGAGGGATTGCCTTGTGGGGCTGCAAGAACCTCTCCATGGAAGAGTCCAGGGGCCACTCTTTGAGATGCCTGGGACAGAATTTCAGCTACTGGAGGGACACTGGGTTTGAGTCATCAGGGTTTGTGTTATATGCATTCAGTATAAAATGATTCTCTAACCCAGTTTTTCTCAACCTCTGGACTCTTGACATGTTTGGTCAGATAATCCTTTGTGGCGGGGCCTGCTCTGTACTTTGCAGGATGTTTAGCAGCATCTCTGACCTCTGTCCACTGGATTCAGTAGCAACTCCCTTTCTTCCCCCGAGTTGTGAAAGCCAAGATTGTCTGCAGACACTGCCAAGAGTCCCTGCAGGACAGAATGGTCCCTGGTTGAGGCCTGTTGCTTCAAATGAGCCTCCCCTCTTCCTGGAGAAGCCTATTGTTTTATTGTCTTCACTACACCCACCCCATGGGTCTCAGTGTGTTTGTATGAGGGCCCCTGGGTTGTCAGAGCCTTGCAAGTCCCTGTTTGTATTTTGGTGAGCTGAAGGATGAGCTATTTTGTTCTTAAGCTTCCTAGGGAAATAAATTGAAAATAGATCCCTTTGGCATGTATAGGATGACCTCACTTTGATTGTAAAAAAACAATTACATTTATAATCTTACATTTAAAAAAAGATCTGTAAAGATATAAATTGAGGAGTAAACTGTGATATTTGGGAGAATGAGGATTAACATTTTTCCCCCTTCTATTTGATTACATCTACCATCTGATTGTTTTCCTTACAGTGAGTACATTTTGCTTTAATAAGAAGAAAAAAGTCTCGTTTTACCTTCCAATGTCTTAGGAGAGTTATTAGGGAGGTCAGGACATGGGCTATCGAATGAGCCTGCCTGGATTTGAATCACATCCTTACTTTTCTATTTTTCTCCATTTTAGGTTTTATGTTTCCTAATTTAAAAGCTATGTCACAAAGCAAATTTAGAAAACTGGAAAAAGTCATCCAAAATTCTGCCACCATACCCAGGCACGATTGGAATTTTGTTGTGGTTCCTCCGAGCATCTTTTGCTCTTTTTTTTTTTAAACATGGCTTTAATTATAAACACAACACACTTGTATAATTTGCATCTGTATTTAGCATTATTTCATGAGCAGATTTCTGTGACAGTACACAGTTGCATAGACATTGATTAAAATATTTATTTTGGCATAGTAACGTAGCAGCTGTGGACAAAGGCCAGGCTTGTTTGATGGGTTGTTTAATTCATGTCTTGAACATAAACGTGAGTCAGTTACACTCCTCTTTGCACATTATGAGACAAGACAGTTATTATATTTTTATAACAGTGATTACTAAATTTCTTTGAACTTGACACTTTATGTATTTTTAATCACACAAATAATACATGAACCTATGTTCTTTGTGAAGAATTTTAATAACCTAGTGGTACATAGGGAAAAAATTATAGTTCCCATTAATTCTACCCTGTGACCCCGGCCTGAAATAAAATTGCTTCCAGTTTAGTGTTTACCTTTCCTCAGTCCATTTGAGAAATCATCATTTATTGGCAGAACAGCCAGAGAAACTCATGCACTATAATTTATACTTAGAGAACAGAACTGTCTAGTGGCATTGTTTCAGGAAATGTCCAAAATTTTATGTATATGTTTAAAGTACAGAAACCTTAAATCACATGATGAATGTACGCTAATGATCAGACAGTACACAGGATGACTTAGTGACATAGACCAGCATTTGCCCATAGGCATTGCCTGTCCTGACACTGTGTAGGAAGCAGTGGCAGATCACCATTCACACACTGAAGGACTTTTTCCAGGACTTCTTGGAAGTGCACAGAGGTGCTGAACCTGTATCTACAGTCTTGGGAGAATTCAGGAGACTATAAATATAGATGAGAAAAAAATGACATCTTTTACTTTCACTAACCTCTAACCAAAACATATGACTTTCTTAACTTACAAATGTAGATGACAAGCCACAGCAGTGCCTGTGACTTTGTCATCAACAGAAATCACAGATCGTTTCCTGTGATGTCATGGTTGATGTGGATATCTCCTTGCTGTTGCTCATCCTGGACACTGACGATAATGACTCTAGACTCACCACTAGATCTCATTGTTTAATGCACCCATGAAGAAACACCTGTGTTTCTGCTTCACAAATTTATGTTTTAAACAGTTTTGAAAACTGAGTTTTAATATAATCAGTTTCTTTCCTCTGTGTCTTCTTTTTTTGCATTGAAAAAAGTCATTCTGAGGAGGGGTCCATGGGCTTCATTGGATACCAGAGTACCTGTGGTCTGCTGCACCCCCCAACCCGAAGCTCCAAAAATCCCCATTAAAGGCACATTACAGCATAATAATCAGGAAGATGTGGATGAATTGATCAATTTCCTTATATTTTCCTAAACAGATGTTAGGAGAAAAAAATATTGGTAGCATTGTCATTTTATGTGTGTGTATATGAGAGAGAGAGAGAGAAGTATTAGTTACATTTCTTAGTATTCTAGGATTCTTCAGACCACCATAGAAATGTCCTTATCTTGAGAATAATGTGTGGACTTCTATTAACTTCCTCAACTCCAGGTTTCTATTTCCATGACTACCAACCTAAAATGTGTGAGGAATCAAGTGCTTTTGGTCACACTTGGGGTCTGTAGGGAAAAGCAGCTTTGAGTTCTGAGCCCTTGCATGGCCAAGGAACTGTGAGTGGTGAGAAGGACCATGGCTCTGCTTCAGCTGGCTGGGATCTTGGTGAGCCAGGTGGGCATCTGTCCCTTATTGGCCCTGGCTGGCCGCTGCCCTCTCAGGGCCTCAGGCTCATCCTCACACCTCACGAGGGAGATCGTGGCAGTGCCTGATTGGAGGCTGAGTGTGTGGTGCCTGGAAGCAGCCTGGTTGCTGCCCAGCACATCAGTGGTTTCTGGGAGATGCCAGGCTATGTTACTGTGTGTGTTAATTTCCTCAAGAGAAGGAAGATATTTAGAGACATTTTGTACTAAGCCCCAGCATGTTCAAAGAACTGGACTCAGTGGGAGATTTCATATAAAAACACAGATTTCTGGCTTCTCATCACAAACAGAAGATCGGGTAGCTGCCGCATGCCCCCCGCCCTGCCGACACAAAGATCAAAGAAACCAAGAAGTGGCTGACTTCTTAGGATGGGATGGAAGCTCTGCCGTCTGATGCCGACTCCAGACTGGCTCATTTCTCTCACCTGATATGACCTGTCTGGCTTCTGGAGGCATTTGAGTTAGTGGTGTCTGAAATGGATTATTTCTGGGTTCTTTTGTATTTGAACACCCTGATTTTAAAGATGTTGGGAGAAAGTGCTGGTGCTGGGCTTGGTGAAATATGTCAGAAAAATCATTTGATTCTGAAGTTGGTGACACTGAAATTTTTAGAGGGTAAAGATGATGTCTTCGCATCTCAGCGTAGGGATGGCTCTGATGTATAAGAATACCCTCATTTTTAGTACTGTTTATGGTGATGCAAATTGGAAGGTCACCTGCTGCAATCTCCTGGAGGACCCGTGGGCTGCTGTGGGAAAATGGGAGGCAATGAGATGTTTCCATAAAGGATGCTGATGCTGTGGGTCATTTTTCTTAGCCTCTGATATTGGCAGTAGGGAATTATATGTCAGCGTCTCCCCACCTTTTCACAGAGGAAGCTTCCCAACATGGGAAGGAAGACTCAGCCATTGCCTCTTCCCCAATGAAAAGCTAGGGTCCAGCTGTGCCATAAACCAGCGTCTCTTTACTCAATTTGGAGGTGAAAGAGTTAAAGAATCATTCAGATGCAGGTTCCTAACTCTCATTCTGGCTTTTGGCCCTGTAACTACAGAAACCACTTGAGCAGCTGCAAATAGTATTAGCTTTAAGCTTGTTAGGGATCTTGCAGACTCATTCATTGATGGCCTTCGATTTCCAGGACATCTTGGATATAGAATTTAAAAGACTTTAGTTAAGCCAATTAACTTTTGTGGCGCCTGGGCAACTAATATCGTGTGCTAGAGAAGGTCATTGATGTTATTCAAATAGCAGTTTTATTTGAGCTGGGATTAAGGAAGTCAGACAAAAGGTCTAAGAATTGTTTATAATGTATTCCTTTCTGTGTTGCAGTATCTTGGCCTTTAACATCTGATTCTGACCATAATTACACATACAAGTGCTTGGTTATGTTATTCTTTCTGTAGATTGTGGCTTGATTGCACCAGCTCTCAACTATCCATCTTGCAGATTGTTCCCAGCCAAGTTTTAATCTGAGGTTTCATCTGGTTGTGGTTTATCAAGCTTTTAAACCAAGGTGTGGTGGTTAAGAGCATGGACTCTGAGGCTGTGCTGCCTGTGTTCAAATCCTGGCTCCCCTGGTGATTTAAGCTGCTTCTTCCATAGTGTTGACTTGGAGCCTGGGGATAGTCCTCAGCCATGGGTTCCATTCCTCAGGCTGTCCTTCATCTGATTGGACTATGTGTCTAATTACTGCCAGTGGACCATGAGCAGAACTGATAAGGGCCACGTCCAGGCTAAGGAGTTCAAGAAGCAGGTACACTTTCTCCACTCCCTCTCCCCCAATCGGCTGGCTGAATGTGGAAGACTCCAAGGCCTGAGAGGAGAACAGAGCTGTTGGATTGGGAGGATCCTGGGTCCCTGAGTCACTATGTGGAAGGCTACCTGATGAAAAGAACTTCTTCATGGATGGTTACATGAGCAAGAAATAAACCTTTATTGTGTGAAGCCGCTGAGATATGGGGGTTATTCTTATTATAATGGCTAGTATCCCCTTAACTAATAAACTCCTTGGTAGCAGTGTAACTTTGGATAAGTTGCTTGATCTCTCTATACCTTAGTTACCTAACCTATAAAATGGGGGAAATAGTATCTCCCTGACCCAAATAGAATGCTCAGTAAATGCTGGCTGCTATTATTAATAATACATTATTGTTATTGTGGTCATTCCTTTTGATTTTCTGGGAGCAGGAAAGGTGAATTATCTTCAACTGGAACATCAGAAAAATGTGTTTGAAAAAAAGTAGGCTGCAGAAAGCAATCTATATGAAGTAGTGCAGGCTTTGTACAATAACATTTTATTATTTGCATTTGGGCTGTAGTTAAATTTGTTGGTGTGCATAAAGACACTTGTAAATGCATACAAAGAGATATTTCTTCTCTAGCACACATGGACTTGTAATTATTGTTTTGGCTGTGGGGTTGTGAGGATGTATGTATAGCGTAAATATTCTCATTTCAGAGCCTCAGATGCCCATGCAGGAATCTAGCGAATACTCAGGAATTGGAGTTTTTAAAATAAGCATTGAGACTGTTGGATTTTGTTTAGTAGACAGATTAATTCCCCAGGTTTAAAGCATTATGTGATGCCCCCATACAAGGGCACGGATGGTTGTATCAATAGCTGGTATAGTAGCTTGCTTCTGACTTAATTTCCTTTATCTAAAACAGGAATGTAATGCAGTATTCACATGCAGTTTTATACCATAGAGCTACAATTTATCAGAGGCATTTGTCCAGTTGACTCTGTTGAACAGGAAAAGCTTATGCAATCTATGAAGATTTTTTTTAAGAGTATAGACAGTAAAACAGGAGAGGAGAGATAGCCATCTTTTAATTCAGAACCTGACAATCTGGAAGTGGTGGAAATCTGTCAGAGACCACCCATGGCAGAGCCAGCTGCTCTCGGGGACAGCCTCCCTGGATCTCTGGAATTTAGTCAGGCACTCTAAAACAGCTAGTTGGGAGCATGGGCTCTGGGGGCACTGGGCCTGGGACCCCTGATCATTCTGACAGTGCTCTCCTGAGGGGGGTGTCAGAAGGCACCATGGAAAGTCATTTAGACCACACCGTTCCTCCCGTCTAGCTGGAAGTTCTTAAAAGCACGCTGAGGAAACTCTGTTGCTTTCGATATTGGTTCATTTCCATGCTTCTCAACCCCCTAAGGAGGCGCTGCTTACAGGTCATGCTCTGAATCCCTCAAGCCGGATCCATTTGCCACATTGAGCCCTGAAGAAGTAGGGGCTGAGCCACTCCCTGCATCCTCTCTGCTTCCTCTCTGCTTGCAGTTCAGTGCCATGTCCTCTTCTCTCTCTTCATCATTTCTAAAACAGTCTTTTGTTCAGATTCAAATAGTCTCTTGTTCCTGTGGCTTTGACAGAAAAATTGCATTCCTCAAGGATTGTCCTCAAACTTCACTAGATCTGGAAGAGCACAGCATTAACAATGGACATTTTTGACCTTGGAGACACTAGATTGGAATACCTGTGTGAAACAGAATTATTCATACAATAGGGCACTTTCCATTTCAACTAGAAAAGTATTCTTTTGTGGCTGAGAGTTCCATGAAGTCAGTTTTGTTTTTGTGATGGTTAAGAAGAAGTGGTCCTAACTTCAGTTTAAAGGATTTGGATGTGTATTTACTTGAAAACGTAATTGCTTTGGAGTATTGTGTTTTGAAGTGACACCTTTGTATGCAATAATTGGGTTAAGAGGAATACTAAGCACATTTATGTCATAATAAGAAAACGACGCTGTCTGTAAGGAGAGACTGCAGAATTATACATTAGTTTTTATTGCAACATCTTTAGTAACATATCTAAAAATTGTCTTCCCTCTGCCCCCCCAATACACACACACAAATATGGACTTCTAGCAACCAATTTCTGCCAGAACAGAGTCCTCACCAAATAATTATTATTGAAGAGTCCTTGGAGCCTTGTGAATGTATTAGAAAAATGCCATTGCCCAGAGCAACATCGGGAGCTAGTTGGTCTGTTAGGTTGTAAATGTTGGTTGCACGTTTCTTCTTATTGTTGCGGCAAAAGAATGACGTATTTCAGAAATTTTAGAAATACTGAGATTTATTACTTCTCCCATCACCATTATCATTTGTGAGTATTTTACTCTGTGTTCAGCACTCTGCTGCTGCGTACTTTACACACTTCACATCATTTGATCATCTCAAGAGCAGTATGAGGTCTGGTCTCATCCACCTTACTGTCAAGGAAAGGACCCTGGTGGAGGCTGATCAACTTGTTACGTGGCTAGTACATGGTAACATGAGGACTTGAACGTGGAACATCTGGCTAGAGAGTCCCTGGTCCTCGGCACCATGACAAACTTGAAGCTGGTGTTAGGACCGCTTGCCCCTAGCAAGTGCACCTTGGTGATTCTACTGCGATTTGAACCCTGGCCAGTAATTCTAAGCCAAGCGGGATGCTGCTATCAGGCTTCGAGTCAGCAGCACAGCAGCAATATTGACACAGATTCTTTCCACTGGGCCCATCGTGGTCAGCTATCTTCACTAGGAGTAAGCTGAGGGAGACAGAGTAGGAACTACATCACTCTATCCCCACTGGAGGGACATAGGATGAGCTTACAGCTTACATGCAACCTGAAGAGACTGTCCCCTGTTTCTCTTCTCCCCTCCGCATCTCTCCTTGCTGCCCCTTTCTATCACACCTTGGTCACAGATGTCCTGCCTCATAATGACTCATGACCGTCTCATTACATTACTAGGCTCCTTCATAGACTACATCTTCCAGGAAGCAGGGAATCATATATGCTGCATAGGCATCCCCTTTTCTGGGAACTTTGACTAATCCATCATTTTACATCCCGTGATCCTCTTTCTCCCTGGTGACTGTGATGGCCGGTCCTTTCTGTCCCTGGCCAGAGCACCCTTGCACATCTGGCAGGAGTAACATACCTCTACTGCAGACCAGTGTGCCCTCCAGAGGAGGCACACAGACCAGCCGTGCAGGATACGAGGGTGCAAGTTTACATAGAAATGATCCATGCAGCTCTGTGTCAACTTATTTTTAAATAAAATGAACCAAAAATAAGCCTCCTTTTACCCCAAGGGAACCACATGTGTTTGTCAACACATTCCCCCCATCTCCGTGCAGCTTGGCACATGGTAAACCATTTGTAAATATTTGTTGAATGAAAGAAAATAGCCACATTTTCAGTTTAAGTTTCTTTTTTGTATTGGCATAGTCCCATCTTAAATGATTGGGTTAATGAATTTATCTCTTGCACTGTGGCTGTTTCAGAGCTTGAAGGAATAAAAAGAGAAAAAGCAAAAGAAAAAAAAGAACCTTAGGGTGGGAACGTGAGGCTTCTTTCACTCTTACATAAACAAAGCAACTTAAAGGCCTTGGACTATCTCTGGGTTACTATCCCAGTGTCAGGGTTATTGGGGGATCTGAATTAGAGGATTTTAAGGGAAGTGCCAGAGGGTTGGGAGAGGGATAGAGAAGCAGCCCATTTATTTCAGGTCGCAGACTTCAAGGCAAACGCTCCACATTTTCACTTGGGGATGGGCAGGTCCTTGCTGTGCCATCTCCCCGCCAGGGCCTTCTGTTAATCCTCATGCAGTGATTTAATTATGTCGACTCTAGAGGTGTAATTTCAGTTTTTGATGAGAAAATCTAGCCAAGAGACCATGTTAACATGCACCCACTCTTTGGCTAATGATGCTTCCTGCATTTGTCCTCTGCAGAGGGTATTTTTTTTCCTGGTGCCAAGTCCACTCAGAGCCCCTCTTCCGTGTCTGGCTTTTATCCGAATTAATTCTGATTGGCCAGAAGTCTCCTGACTGGAGCTCCCTCTCTGGGGGCTGTTCTAGGCGACTCACTTTTAGATACACAATTCTCACATAGGAAAAAAACCAACCCAAACGTATGAACAACATTAAGTGTTCTGACAGTGAAGTAGTACTTTTCTCTTCGTGGTGTTTGTGTGAAATGATCTGGCAAAATAGATGCTGCAGAAATAATGCATTTCTGTGTCTTCCTTCCCAAATGATAAATGTTCTTGGCTCACCACAGGATTTCTTGCCAAATGCTGATTCTGCTAACAGAAGGGATGGAAACTTCAGAGGCTCTTTTGTGACAGAGAGAATACAAAGTTTCTCAGGCTTGCCTTTCTTCCATGTCACAAATGTGACACAGAATGCGTTCTGCCTAGACCCCAGTCCTGGCTAAATCCACAGGCTGCCTTGCTGGGGCATCTCTGCTTACTGCACCAAGCCGGGGTTAGGCCCAGTGAAGACATCAGCATCATCCACCACCCTGTCGGAATTTGTCTGTTACATCGAGACCTTCAGTTTAGGAATATGAAAACACAATGCTTGCTAGAATCCCCTGTAGCCAGAAATGCCAAGAGGGAAAAATAAGGTAGCACTAGGATTTGGGGTGGTTCATTATGTGCAGGCACTGTGCTGAGGGCTTTGACAGATGTCCTCCCAGTAAGACTGCAGGGCAGCCCTGGATGATGGACATCATCATCTCTTGAGTTCTGAATGAGGACCCTGAGGCTCAGGAGGTTAATGGCTTCCTTAAAGTGACCCAGCCAGCTGGCCCAAAGTGTTGCTGTGTCTGGCCCCTAGAACCCTTGATGTCTCTCCAGGAGCCCTGCCTCTCATTCCTCTGCCTCTTATGGCCCTTCCCCATTGCCATCTTTCGAGTCCTGGCCACTGCAGCCTCTGACTTCCTTGTCTCCATCCAGTTTTGCCCCCTTACTCTATTCTGCACACTGAGGTTATTCAAAAGTACAGACCTGATCACTGATCCCTCCTACCCTCAACACCCCTGGTGGCTCCAGTTGTTGCCTGTCCCCGCAGCCCCACCCACCTCCCCACATCAGGATGGGGTCCAAACTCTTACTCCTAGCACACCGCCCTTGATGACCTGGCCTCTGCTCACTTCACTGGCCTCATCTCTCACCAAAGTCATCCAACCGTGGCCATCCATGCTCCAGTGCAGTGGGGGCAGTGAGCACTTCCTTGAGCCCCGGGAGTCTCCCCTCTGGACTTCCCTCCTTGCTGCTCTCTCTTCCTGGCATCTTTATCCCCTGTTGCCCCTCCCACCCCACCCCCAGCCTTGTCGTCCTCAAAGGGTTCTGCAAGATAGGAGTCACTGCCCTGACTACCCTCATCAGACTTTCCCTGATGCTGCATCTTCCTTGCCTGTTTCCTTCTCAGAATATCCTGGCAAAGAAAGCAAGCTTTCTTTAAATTTTTTTTTTTTTAATTTTCACATGTTTTTGGGGAACAGGTAGTGTTTGGTTACATGAGTGTGTTCTTTAGTGGTGATTTGTGAGATTTTGGTGCACCCATCACCCAAGCAGTATACACTGAACCCAATTTGTAGTCTTTTATCCCTCGCCTGCTTCCCACCCTTACTCCCTTTCTCCCTGAGTCCCAAAAGTCCATTGTGTCATTCTTATACCTTTGCATCCTCATAGTTAGGTACCACTTATAAGTGAGAACATATGATGTTTGGTTTTCTATTCCTAAGTTACTGCACTTAGAAAAATGGTCTCCAATTCCCTCCAGGTTGATGTGAATGTCATTAATTTATTCCCTATTTATGGCTGAATAATATTCCATCATATATCTATACCATAGTTTCTTTATCCACTCATTGATTGATGGGTATTTGGGTTGGTTCCACAATTTTCCGATAGCGAATTGTGCCACTATAAGCATGTGTGTGCAAGTATCTTTTTCATATAATGACTTCTTTTCCTCTGGGTAGATACCCAGTAGTGGGATTGCTGGATCAAATGGTAGTTCCACTTTTAGTTTCTTAGGGAATTGCCATACTGTTTTCTATAGTGGTTGTACTAGTTTACATTCCCACCAGTAGTGTAGAAGTGTTCCCTTTTTACCACATCCACACCAACATATATTATTTTTTGATTTTTTTGATTATGGCCATTCTTGCAGGAGTAAGGTGGTTTCGCATTGTGGTTTTGATTTGCATTTTTCTGATCATTAGTGATGTTGAGCATTTTTTCATATGTTTCTTGGCTATGTGTATATCTTCTTTTGAGAATTTAGACAGCAAGCTTTCTTAAACATCACTTTACTCGTTATCATGTGCTTGGTGTCTAGCACCCTGCCTGGCATACCAGAGACACCAAGTATAGTTTGCAGAACAAACAAATGGAGTGCTGGAGACAGGATGCAAAGCCAGCCTGGCTCAAACCTTTCACCTGGTGCCATAGTCATCGCTTCCATTTTTGTTTTCCTCTCTGCCTTCCTTTTGTGTTTAGAGGGACCTGGTAATACTTTCTTAACTCCTTTTCCCAGTTGAAGGATGACTGCTTTTACGTGAAACAAAAGTAATTTGTACTGGCATCCTTGAAGCTATAGAAAATAAAAAGGCCCATTGCCTGCACAGCTGTGTGGAGAGGCAAACCCTAGGAGGAGAAGGAAGAATTTTAGGTATTTTTCCTCCAGGTCTTTCTTGGTACTTTAGGGAACAGAAGCCAGTTGGTAGCCTGCATGTGGCCATGGAGTAATTTCTAATTGAGGTTCCAGGGCCCCCTCCAGAATGGGCTTGCTTTGCCCTCTCCAGGTATTTTTGTTGTTGACAGCTGTGTCTACTCCCTGGGGGAAGGCTCCAAGCTCACCCCGCAGAGGCCCTGTGGAGGAACAATCAACTCTCGTGACTTCACATGTGACCTGATGGCTTGGAACAGTCGTGTAAACTGCCGCAGCCCCTGTTAACTGCCAATGTCTCCTGGTTTTGGTATTTGCCTCTCTTGCCAAGTTCAAGCCACTGTTGGCTACAAAATCAACAAAACAAGTGTTTTTATGGTAGTAAAATGGGTCCTCTGAAACAAGTTTGCAAATTTTTAGACCCTCAGTCACCTACCCCTCTACTCCCCTTCCCCACAAGGTCAAAAGATGGAGCATCTAGAAGAAAGACCCTGCTAGGTTTGAAACCCTCCAACGAATTGACCTTCAATGCTGGTTGACCTTCTGTGTGCCTCAGCTCTCCACCTGCAACATGGGGGTTTGTGAGGATTAGACAAATTAATAGGTGAAAAGCTTCTGGCACCATCCTGGGCCTGTGATACACGTGAAAAGCTTCTGGCACCATCCTGGGCCTGTGATACACACAGGACTCATTTTACTGACTTCCTTAGACTCTGGTAATGAAGACATGTCGCTTAACTACAAAGAGTCTAATTGGGACCACATTCCCTTAAAGGAATCTGTTTATTAGGTGCTCATATTCTGTTGTAAATATAACTACAACTTATATATATTTTTGAATGTGAAATAGTCATTGAAAAATTAGAAAATAAAGGTAAGCAAAAGAAGAAAGAAAAAAAATCATTTGTGATTGTACAGCTGGCTGTGAATGTACAATCACATTGTGTACATTGTGTATGTCCTCCTAGCAGGGTGTGTGTGTGTGTGTGTGCACGTGTGTGTGAGATTAGTGATTTAAAACAAAAAGTAAGCAGTTACTGTCATACGTTGTGACACTATTTCCTGTATTCTTTGACACAGTTTGGGATGGCTATGTGAAATTCTTTTGTACTGGAATAGCTCACTCTATCCAGTTACTGGAGGTCAAATTGCTTGGTTTTCTACTGTAGGTACCTTTTCAGTAATTTTGATGTATGTCAACATTTTAAGTTACTAAGGGCTTTTGATTGATTAATGACTATCACTGGGTCTTTGTTCTTCAGAATCTTTTCTTTCCAGCAAAGTGAAACATTTCCTGGAAAGAGTAAGGCATTATATTTTTCTAATGTGATTCCAGCAGTCATTAACATGTCTTGGAAGGACAGAGTGCTTTTTGCTTATGAGATACTTCCCCAGGATGATAAGAAAGTAGTATATTCTTGGCTCGTTTGCAAGAAACACCTGTGGGTATGTGGTCTGAAGGGTGGATACTCAGGCTAGAGAGGAATGGAACCATTAAACTGCTCAGCTTATCCCAGATCTGGAATCCACAGCTTGGCAAAGAGCTTTGTGCTGAGATTAGTTAGCGATGTTACAGGCACCAGTAGTCCTGGGAGACTGACAACCTGCCGTAAAGCCAGGGGCTTCTGTTCACAGAGCAGACTCAGAAGAAAAAAGTGGGATATAGGAAGATCTCATTGAAAACTTGGTGGAAAGTTAGAGTTCAATAAATCGATTCCCTTCTAGAAGTCTATTGGGAGAGAAACACATACAGGTAACAGATATGGCCAGAATATTGGGGCCTGGTTTAAAACCAAAAACTTCAGATAAAGATGAATTGTGAAATCCATTTTATTTTTCTTTATCTTGAGCCTCTAGATTACCTTAATTACAGAATTTAGACATCATTTCACTGACTATAAATATTAGACTGCATTAGTTTCGTTTGTTTTACTCAGTCTTGAACTTTGTATTTTTGGTGGTAAATCAGCCTTGGGTATAAGCTGAGTTTCAATGTTGGTTTTTGGAGCACATCTGGCAGGCAGCAAAGAGCTCCTGGGAATTTTAGCTCCAAAGATATTGGCTTCCATTTGAACTTAGGAATAGTCTCAGTGATGGTCATTGAAGTTTTATTCACATACCAGAGCACGCTGTTAGCTTGAGCCAGGTTTGGGCTGGCCAGAGCCCCACCTCTGAGGCCAATCCAGTCAACCTCCCAAGGTAGGGGTAGGGAAGGTCACTCTTTGCCTTACTGTGTTGAGTGTTGCTGTAACAGATTATCATAGATTGGGTAATTTACAAGAGAAGAGTTCTATTTCTTCCAGTTCTGGAGGCTAGGAAGTCCAAGGTCAAGGGGCCCGAATCTGGCAAGGGCCTTCTTGCTTCATCATCCCATGGCAGGTGGTAGAAGGGCAAGGAGAGCCAAGCCTGAGAGCAAGAGTGGGCCAAACTCACTTTTTTTTTTCTTTTTTGAGACAGAGTTTTGGTCTTGTTGCCCAGGCTGGAGTGCAATGGCGCGATCGCGGCTCACTGCAATATCCGCCTCCCAGGTTGAAGTGATTCTTCTGCCTCAGTCTCCTGAGTAGCTAGGATTACAGGCGCCCACCACCATAACTGACTAATTTTTTGTATTTTTAGTAGAGATGGGGTTTCACCATGTTGGCCAGGCTGGTCTGGAACTCCTGACCTCAGGTGATCCACCCACCTTGGCCTCCCAAAGTGCTGGGATTACAGGTGTGAACCACCGCACCTGGCCCCAAACTCGCTTTTATAACACACGCAGTTTCTCCATAACTTACCTACTCCTGTGATAACAGCATTAATCCATTCATGAGGGTGGAGCCTTCATAACCTTATTATCTCTTATTAGGCCCCATCTCCCAGTACTACTGTATTGGGGATTAAGTTTCCAATACATGAACTTTGGGGGACACATTCAAACCATAGCAGCCTTATAGAACCATAGGAAAATGCAGCTGCATCCTTCCTTCCATCTTCCTTGCATTGTAAAATTGCAATTACTCTGCAATAGGCTCCATCCAGAGAAATCTTTTGTGTCTGCTGTGGGCTGTGGCAGCAACCACAAGGACCTGTCCTTGCTTCCAGGGCCACACAATCTATGATGCCAGGAGAGAAGAGCACAGACGGTTTTGGGGTCTGGGATGGAGCATGAACCCTTCTTGTGTTGGAGAATAGGACAGCTTTGGTGGGGAGAGAGAAAAGTCTAGATTGAAGGAATAAATGGTTTTTCAGGTGAGATGCAAGAGAAACTCATAAGATTTTTATGGATGTTTTCAGGGAGCGGGGGGAAACATGAAACTACAACTCATGATCAATTATAGGACCATGTAAAGCAGTTCAAAACATCTAATAAGCAGTGTAGCAGATGTCAATCTTGGTCTAGACTCACATGGTCCAGAAATACCACTTCTTAATTTTTCCAGGGTCAACTTAATGCTGAGAAACTCCAAGCTCTTGGGTCTAATATTCAGGTCAGAGGAAGAGATCCATTTTGAGGACCTCTTCCCACTTCCCCTATGCCAGTGAATACGGGGTTGCTGGGGAGTCCATGTCTAGGTTCCTACCTGCCTGTAAGGGTAAGAGGAGTATCTTTTTTTTTTTTTTTTTCTGAGACAAGGCCTTACTGTGTCACCCAGGCTGGAGTACAGTGGGATAATCATAGCTCACTGCAGCCTCAACCTCCCAGGCTCAAGCAATCCTTCCACTTCAGCTCACCAAGCAGTGGGACTGCAGACATGTGCCACCATATCTGATTAATTAAAAACAAACAAAAAAAAATTTGTAGAGACTGGGTCTCACTATGTTGCTCAGGCTAAGAGAGGGGTATCTTGCTGCTCCTAGAACACATGGCCAGATGCCTCCAGCCTCACCTCTAGGCTCTAAGGATTTTGTTTTAGTTTAAGGATCTGAAGAATTCTCTCTTTACATTCGTTGCTTTCCTTAGAGTTCCTCCCCTTGTCCTCAAACAGTAATCTCATTTCAGGATACCCAGTATTACTGCGTCAAAAGACTTGGACATTTGAGCATTTGAACAAGGAAGGGAAGCATTTTGTGACACACACACACACACACACACACACACACACACACACACACACCCTTCCTCGAGTCAAGGAGAAACTGAGCCTCCCAATTTACATTTTGAAGGTATAGGATGGGAGGAATGAATGGAGAGAAAATGTAGATTTATATCTCAAAAATTATTCTGCCATTAAAATGTAATACATTTTCCTTTTCACAACTAACTCTTAAGGTCTCTAGAGCTGAGATGAGATGTGGAGCCCCTTGATTTCCCTGGGTAAGAGCTTGGGGTGAGGAATTAGTAAACTGATTCAGAGTTTCCCCACAAATAAGAGTAAATATATCTTACCCAGCATCTTTAATTTTCCAGCTGTTTGATAACCAAATAAATGTGATGGATTCATGTTGACATTAAAAGTGTTATAAACTTCATTTGGAAGGTTCCTATTAATAAACAATATTTCCTTCCACTAGGAACAAAATTAAATCTTTAGTTAAACCGTGTTTTGGGTCTCAGGACCCTTTACACTCTTACAGAGTCCTGAGGACTCCCTGAGAGCGTCTCTTTATGTGGGTTACTTGTGTCTATTGATATTTACCATATTAGAAATTAAAACCAAGAAATTCAAAAAGTGATTAATACAAGGATAAAAAAACTCATTGCATGTTAACATATATATTATAATATATTTTATGGAAAATAACAATACTTTCCAGAATAAAAAAATTAGAGGAGTAGCTGTTTTTCATTTTGCAAATCTCTTTAATATTTGATTTAAGAGGAAATAGGTGGATTCCCATATCTGCTTCTGTGTTCAATCTCTTGTGATTGGTTGCTGAAGAAAATCTGGCTTCACATAGACAACGCTGTTGGAAAAATGAGGACTTCATGGACCCTGAAAGGGTCTCAGGGACCCATAGGAGTTTTGGGATCACTTTGAGAACTGCACATTTAAACAGATAAACTACCAGGGTATGTGATGGCTTTTAAATGAAAAATTGTCTTTAGTGAGAATTTGAGTCAACTGTGGGTGAAATCAGTCCCTTATAAATAGACAGATGATCGTTTAATTGGGTTAAGATATATTCCTTTCCTGGGTGCTGGTTAAGTCTCCCAGGAGAGCCAGAGTCAGTTTCATGCTTCTCCCTAGTTGGCTTAATAATTTTGAAACACAGTTTAATATCCACAAATTCACCAGAAGCAGTCATGGTGTAATTTTATCTTTATTTATTCCTTGTGGGTAGATGTGGTCTGAAATCACAGCTGTGGTGTTTTACGGTGTCATGTGTCTTGAATGTTGCCCTCTCTTCTTACAGAAATACAAAGAGTATGAGAAAGACGTTGCCATAGAAGAAATTGATGGCCTCCAACTGGTAAAGAAGCTGGCAAAGAACATGGAAGAGATGTTTCACAAGAAGTCTGAGGCCGTCAGGGTAAGTGCCTATGTTTTGTGCCCTGTATCGCCTGAAGGCACAAAGGCAGCTTCAGGGGATGGCATTGATGAACCAATCTCTCAAAGATAAAAGTTGACTCACGCATCTATTACGTAAATACTTTTATTTTTACAGTCTGGTTAGCCAGGAAAAGCAGTCACTAGGGGCACAAACTGCCCTTTTCATAGAGGGTTCCTGTGCCAGTTTTATTCTGGTAAATGTATGCCTTCAGCAGAGCTGCCACTAATTGTACAGCCATACAACGTGGGCCTGTAACTGTATGATGCATTCAGTAATGGCCAAAAACCATTCAAAGGTACACTAGGGTTCAACTAAGCTCTAGTCTGAGCATTTTCTTGTGTCACTGTGTTTTGTGATTTTCTCAAATGGTTGCATAACATTTCAGTCTATGAGTGTGTCATAATTGATATAACTGTTCCTATATATTTGGATGTCTGAGTTATTTGAAAGTTTTTATTGGCCGGGCGCGGTGGCTCATGCCTGTAATCCCAGCACTTTGGGAGGCCGAGGCAGGCAGATCATCTGAGGTCAGGAGTTCGTGACCAGCCTGGCCAACATGGTGAAACCCTGTCTCTACTAAAAATATAAAAATTAGCCGGGTGTGTTGGTGGGTGCCTGTAATCCCAGCTACTTGGGAGGCTGAGGCAGGAGAATTGCTTGAACCCAGGAGGCAGAGGTTGCAGTGAGCCAAGATCGCGCCACTGCACTCCAGCCTGGGTGACAGCGTGAGACTCCGGCTCAAAAAAAAAAAAAAGTTTTTAAGAGATGTGTTGCCCAGGCTGTTCTCAAACTCCTGGGCTCTAGTGATCCTCCCACCTCAGTCTCCTGAGTAGCTGGGGCTACAGGTATGTACCACCACACCTCGCTCACTTGCAAGTTTTGACATAAATAATGCTGCAGTGAATCTTCTTATATATTTATAATGGATCAACCAACCAAGCACCTACTACAGGCAAACTGTTCCTTTAAGGACCGTATATGTACTCACTTGTATTATCCTTGTAACACCTCCGTGGTGGATGTTAGTATTATCCCCATTTTACAAGAGAGGAGACTGAGAGGAGGAAGTTGAGTAGCTTCTCTGAGGTCACATGAGGAGTGAGAGAGAGCCCCAGTCATAATGACCCCAGAGTCCGCATTCTTTACTGCCGCCTTGCTTTCAGTGTCCTGGAGTGTGTTTCCTTAATGTGAATTCCAGAACACAGAAGACAGTTCAGAGGCTCAGAAGCAATCTTCAAGGTTCTTTATGCATATGAAAGCATTTCTGTCCAGATAAGGTTGTGCCAATTCACAGCTGCTCCAGCGACAGTGGTGTGCAAGTGCTTATTTTCTGAAATCCTTGCAAAAAAAAAAAAAAAAAAAACTAGTAACAGCATTGTCAATTTGAGAGGGGGACATATTATTTTAGCATGCATTTCTTTGTGAATCACAGAATTTTAGAGGAGAAAAGGACATAAATATCTTTAGGTTCTGCTTCTACAATTGACAAAGTAGCCCTGGTGCCTGGAATTAGGGGAGCATTGGGAGTGGAAGGAGGAGGGGGCCATGCAGCATGCTGCCTTGACACAGAGGTCCAGCCAGCACCAGAACCTAGACCTCACCTCCTTGAGGCAGTGGGCCCACGTGGTCAGTGAGACATGGGCTCTGAAAGTAGTGGAACTGTCCCGAATCTCAGTTCTGCCCCAAGGTGGGAGACCAGTGAGCAAAGCTGAGTAACCCCTGTGAATCTCTTTTTTTCCTCACTTACCAGCCTGGCGGCATTACGAGAAGTCAATGATTTAATAAATACGTGCTTACACTTATTGAGTTCAGATGCACCAGCCCCTGTGCTAATCACTTTATGTATGCAATCTCATTCTTGTATCAACACTAGGAGTGAGACACTGTTATTATTGTTGTCTTAGAAATGACCAAACAGGCTTGGCAGGGTGAAGGCATTTGCCCAGGTCACGTGGGCAGGGCTCAGCAGAGTTAATTTTTACACCTAGGTGGTGGGGTTGCAGTACCTCTGTATCTGTGTAAGGTGTTTATTTAGCTCAGTGTCTGGCAAACAGTAAATGTTCAGTAAACATTTGCTGTTACAGCTGGTTAAAGGGCCTTCTAATCTGTGAACATCTGATAGGAGGTAGTCTTGCAGCTTTAGGAAACACCTGGATGATGACAGGAGGGAACGTGAACTGGGTTTAGCGTCTTCGTATTGCCTAATTTTAAAACCTTTTTGTGTTAAATTAGTGAAGATAAAAAAAAAAAGACGATTTGGTATGGTGGGTGTAGTTCCTTTGAGAAGAAAAAAATAAGTTGCTCTGTTTAAATTGAAATATTCCCAGAATAAAGGCAGCCAGATTCCTTGCAATGTGTATTCTATATATTTTAAAATAAATGCACAGGCCTTCTGTAATTACGCTTGATGCTCGAGCCTGTAACATCTTGGTTAATTGGTCCAGTGTTATATGGATTTCCCCACGCCCGTCTTTAAAGAGAGTTTGTATGTCACGTAGGGGTTTAGTCTGGGGATGGTAGAGATGGGCCTTGTCCTCACTGTGAGCCATGTGGCTCTCTTGTTAACACTCAGGACCCATATGCCATTTGGAATGAGATGTCCCTTTGGAGGCCAGGGAAGCAGTGAGTGTGACTCTTTTCCTATTTTAATGATACCTTGATTCTCCATTAGGAAAAGTCGCTGTTTGCCTGTGAGATTTGTGAACATTTGAAGAGCAAAGACCTCAGGTTCAAATTTGCCCATGGGTTTGCAGTGGAGTCATTATTTGTAGCCTTGCACTGGAATGCACCACTGTGAGACAAGGTGGGGTCCTTTCCCATGCCACCCACTGGGCAGTGACCCTTCCCCCTCTTTTCTCTCCTTTCCTCTCCTCTTTTCTTTTTCTTTTCTTTTTTTTTTTTTTTAAAGACAGAGTCTTGCTCTGTTGCCCAGGCTGGAGTGCAGTGATGCGATCTCAGCTCACTGCAAGCTCCGCCTCCCGGGTTCACGCCTTTCTCCTGCCTCAGCCTCCCCAGTAGCTGGGACTACAGGCACCCGCCACCATGCCCGGCTAATTTTTTGTATTTTTAGTAGAGACGGGGTTTCACTGTGTTAGCCAGGATGGTCTCGATCTCCTGACCTCGTGATCTGCCTGCCTTGGCCTCCCAAAGTGCTGGGATTACAGGCGTGAGCCACCGTGCTGGGCCCCCACCCCGCTATTTTCTGATAGGTCAGGAACAGAACAGATTTTAGGTTTGGCCCTATCACTCTGATGCGCCACACCTAGGAATCTTCCATTTCCAAGCCCCCATCCCCCTCCCCCAGCAGTTGGAGTTGGGTCCCAGGTTCAGGTGCCCTACCTTGTGTTTTCCTAGTGTGAATCAGTGGTGACTCCAGGGACGTGTGTAAGAGAAACCTGGTTCACAAACAACCCTGATTTATTAACATTTCCATTGGTGTATATAAAATATTTATGAGCCTGGCAGTAGCAATTTAGGAAGCTACAATAACAACACCTTTAGTCTGTGAAACTAGGTTCAGTTAGTGCTGGGGGAAAAAAATGGAGTACTACAATAACCTCGTCCTTTAATGTAGCCTGTCATCTCCTGCCTGTTAAACAATGTTGATCTTTTTCTCTGTCTCTTCTGGCTTGATTTCATCATTTTCCTCCATCACTTTTCCCAGTGATTAGTTGAATCAGAGTGATTTTATCATCCTCATCTCCTATTTGAATTACTCTCCACTATGCAATTATCCTATCACAGAAAGTCCTATTTTCTCCCCGTCAGATGTCTGAAGTAAATGTGAAACCTAAAGTGGCCTGCCCATTACATAACCCCTGTCATCTCATTGGTAATGGACTATATGTAACTTTTTTTTGAGGCTAGCAAGTTATAAATAACCTTAGCTTCAGTAATTTCCATTAACATAATGGTGCCATCATTATGGTAGCATTTCTTAACTAATATTTTCTAGTTCTTTTTAATGCCATTGGTGGTTTAAGTAATTTTTTCACACCCACGCAGAGGCTAGCTATAGGTTATTTGATATGGCCATGCTCCTGCTTGCTTTTGTGTATAGCAGTTGTGCCCAAGGCACCATCTCTCACCTTCATTGTTCAGACATATTTATGCTACCAAGCCCTCAATTAATATTGCTAAGCAGTTTGTCAAGTTTTAAGTCCCTACGAATGGACAAGAAATGGAGTCCATTTGCTTTTAGTTCATTAACATTTCAAGGGAGATATTTCACATGTTGGACATAGAGGAAAGGATATGCACCAGTCCTCTGCCAACTGTGGATTCCCATCAGACCATTCCTAAGTGACACCTGGAAATGCTTGTCTGTGTCACAAGTCAGAGCTCTTTGATATTGATGGAAGGCAAATTTGACACCACTCCCCTTTCTTCTGAGTTGCTGATGTTGAGAAATGTACCCTGATTTGAGGGGAGGGAGAAGGCAGAAGGGTTATATTGCATGACCTTGGTTATATGGACAGGCTGCCCCCAGCCTTTCCTTTGTCTTTAAAATCCAGCCCTTCAGGGGGAGTAGCACAAACTATCAATCAACTGCAAGCATTATCTGGGGCTCCAGGGAACTCTGAGCAGGCACAGCCAAATGTGCAGTGGGAAGAGAATATGTAGGAAGTAACTGCGTAACCACGGACATCTCTGATTGTAAGGATATACTTTGAGGACCAATTCCATCACAGCCAAGGGGGTGTCATGATCCTGTAATTTTGGTGCGGTACATATAACTGAGATGAGCAGCACAAGAGAAAAGCAGATAAACCAGGAAATGACAAAAAGACTTTGGTGAATTTATGATTTTATGCTAATATTCTCTAGGATGGTTTTCTAAAGGTGAATTCCTTCTAGTGGATTTTGCCTTTGGTTGCACTGAACAGCTCTGCCACTGCCTTCATCACACTGATTTGAGCTGGACTTAGAACCTCCTCTGGTCTTCTCAAGTGTTTCTGGTTTCAGGGCCAGACACTGATTCAGAGGACCCTAAATGTCAGCCTATGCAGACTTCAGACCTCCACAAACTTTAACAGGTTTCAGAGCGGGAAGGAGCACTGGGGGGATTATAGGATAGTATCTGTTGTGGTAGCGTTTCAAGCAAAACATTACAATTAATTAGTTGTATCTAAAAGAATGAACTCTTTTGGGGAATGTGAAGAGATATAAAACACAAGTTGTAGCTAGACCTACTCAGTGATGAGCCAATTGTTTTCAAACCTTGGGTAAGATATTTAATAAATTTTGAAAGCACCCTGAAACTCACACCTGTAAATAAACTTAATGTTGTTTCACTTATTTTTTGATTTACATTGATAAAATGATAAATCAGGCCCTTGAAAAGAGTGTTTTGCTTAAAAATAAATACCTTTGCTTGTTGGGAAGAGCTAAAGGAGACTAGATTTTATATTAAGTTTTCCCCCCTTCCTATAGTTACCTGCTGTTCATTGTGGAACTGATTCCCATTATAGCTTTACTGTGGAAAGTAATTGCTGTTGTACAGTAATTCAATTTCAGTGCATTCACGCATCAGTCCACCGATAGGGGTTTATCTGGAGAAACCTGGGACTTGAAAGCTTTTTATCGAGAAATTCCACATGCAGCAAGACATTTTTCCTAGGAAACGAATATCAGTATTTGCATTTAATAAACATTTACCTTCTCAGAAAAATGGATTTTTCTCTCTGCAGAAGAGATTTACGCCAATCTTCCAAAAAGCTAGAGGGTACTATTAAAGCAACTTTCTTGGAATGTTTTTTGACTGGTGCCTGTCTACATATGTATGACTATAACATACATCAGTGTTTTTATGGGAATATATACAGTGAGGCATGAAAAGCAGGATGCACCCAAGTAAAGCATACTCCATCCCCAAAATATAAGCTGTATAAGGAATTAATATCTATAGGGACTATATGAATACTTCTGGTTTAAAAACTCATCTGATCTATAGACATTGTGAAAATTGTGTTTGAGGCATACTTTCAAAAGGATTACATTGGAAATGAAATAATTGATTCCGTTTATCCATTTGTAAGTTAAGGAAAGGTTCTTAAGACAGAACTGATTATTTTCTTTACATGTTAAGTCCAAAATGTGGAGGTTTTAGGAACTGAATATAGCCTAACAGTGCCAGGATCACTTTAAGTTCTCAGGCAGTGGAGGTATATATGGCTGTATAGATCTAAAATATTTTTGTTTTCTGTCTTGTTTTCATTTCTGATCTCATCTCAGAATTTCAAAGCTTGTACTTTGAAAGAGCAGTACATTTGTTTCAGAAAAAAATAATGTTTTCTGTTTTGAGTCACAGATAGAGGGAGGAGACTATTAATTTTTTATGTTGATGTATCTTGTCTATTTGTCCCCTTTTTTTGGTAAACTGGGTCGCTTGCAAAATCGTACGTATATATGTAAGGAAATTTAGAGCAAAAACCTCAAACCAGAAGAATCTTAAAAAAGAGCAACAATCTGTATTCACCAGTTTTGATGAGGTCAGTGAACCATCTTTGGTTAATGGCTGAGAACAAAACCACATGGAACTGCGTGGTCCTCGTGGGTTTCACCCCAAATGGGCCCAGGGTTTCCGCTAACATACTTCAGTTTGAGCCAACCTGAGCCTCACAGCTAAGCCCAGAAGACTGCTGTCCCTCCCACGTTGAGAGGGAACAACTTGTCCACCCCCTTGGGGGTACATGCTTACCACTAAAGGGAAGGAAGGGGAACCACTGGATGACTTGTATGTGTAATTTCATGTCTTCTCTCCTCAAGCTCTCAGTTTTCCATCAGCCTCACATCATTGAAGTTGGCTTGACTTGGTGGACTGTATCCTAACTTTCATGCTTATTCTGGGGGTGTTGGCCTGTAGAAAGCATTCTTCTTTGTGGGTAGAACCATTGCATCAAACCCTCCTCAACTTCATGGTTATTTATCTCTTTCCCAAATAATTGGACTAAACGCTTTCCATTTGCAAAGCTTTATGGAAGTCTTAGTTTTGTGTTTTCTATGTCTACTGTAGAAGCACCCATGTGTTTTTTAATGCTTTTTGTTTTTACTGGTTATAAAAGTAATACATATTCATCGTGAAAGAGAAAAGAATGTGCAGAAAATGAAAAAGGGGAAAGGAAAGATCACAGCATGAAGAAATAAGTTTCAAACAGTACTTAATGTCTCTCAATACCTTTTGTTTTTCAGCATCTTAGTTTTTGTCCTTACAGGTTTTTTTTTCTGTTTGTGCATGAGTATATAGATATGTGTGGGTGTATATAAACTTCTAAAACATTGGATTATTCTTTCTTGTAACAGGCTTTTTAAAAGATTACATGTTGTGGACATGTCAATGAATATAGATTTCTATTATTTTTCATGACTGCTTTCTGGATGTTCCAATCAAGCAGCTCTCTCTTAGTGAACATTGATGGCATCCGTAGTGTTTCACGGTTATAAGCAATAATATGATAAACTCTCTTGCAAAGAAACTTTTGTCCATTTATTTGATGCATTTATTAGGATGTATTCCTAGAATTGAAATTAAGGCTTTGGGTGTATCTTTCCAGATTGTTCTACAGACAATGCTATGCCTGCCTATGTTCCCACCTGTGTGGTTGGAGGGGAACTATTTCCGCATTATCCTCTCTAGTATTTGACTATTATTAGTCTTTTGGCCAAGTTTAGTATCTCATGGTTTTTTGTTTTGTTTCGTTTGTTTGTTTTTTTGGTTTTGAGACGCAGTTTCACTCTTGTTGCCCAGGCTGGAGTGCAATGGCCCGATCTTGGCTCACTGCCACCTCCGCCTCCCGGGTTCAAGCAACTCTCCTGCCTCAGCCTCCTGAGTAGCTGGGATTACAGGTGTCCGCCACCACGCCTGGCTAATTTTTGTATTTTTAGTAGAGATGGGATTTCACCATGTTGGCCGGGCTGGTCTCGAACTCCTGACCTCAGGTGATCTGCCCACCTCGGCCTCCCAAAGTACTGGGATTACAGGCATGAGCCACCACGCCTGGCCTCAAGTTATTTTCTTTAATTACTCACCGTTTGGCACAGTGGGTCCCTCCGGCTCCTCATCTGTCCTGCACCAGGGTTTGAGGAAATTACACCATGTCACACAGAGAGCATGGGCTTGCCAAAACAGAGAGATGGCCCAGGTGCTGATCCCCATCCTCCCACAGAGAGGAATGTGGGTGTAGGCACTCTGCTGGACATGCTTGGAGGGGCCCTCCCCTTCTCCTCCCTTTCTGGAGTGTATCATGGGAACAGTCCTGAGGAGGAGGGACAGGCTAACTAGCACTAAGCTTCCTGACTTTGGGGTGCCAGCTGTTTGGAGGAATCAGCTGGGAGCATCGGCGGCTCAATACCTAGGGACTGTGGTGCCCAGGGTGTTTCAGCCTCCCCACTACTGTGGGAGAAAGTCAGTAGTTGCAAGAGAATTTGAGCTTGGTGCAGCCCCTCTCACCGGGAAGGGGTCCTGTTCCCAGATGGCTCGTTGTCTGAGCACCCAGACTGACCACCAGGGTCACTTTGATTGACTTTTCTGAAAGGTACTGTGTAGTTAAGTTGACCATCTTTTTACATGTGTATTAGCCATTTCTTCTTCATTTTTATTTTTTATTTTCATACATTGCCTGGTAATACTCTTTCCCCTTGTTTAACTGTACTATTTCTTTTCTTGTCCCAACTTGCCTTTACTGTGGCCCCAGTGCCTACTACGGTGCTTCAAACTATAGTTAAGTGCTCAGTAAATGTTTGTGGATTGACTTACAGGCCTTTGTCTTGGGGTCAGGATAACTTAAAGTGAGGGTGATATGGATGGTATGGGCTACACCCCTTCCCTTTGGCCAGAGAACTCCTGATAAAGGGGAAAAGAAAGTATTAGAGCTCAACTGCAAAGCAACTGTGGGGTTCATGGACTTTCCAGAATCCTCCACTGTCGGCTCCAAGCGAATGAACCTGACACAGCAATGTGGCACCAAGATGTTTGTCCCAGTTCTGATTTTTCAGAGTATTATGTTGTTGTTGTTGTTCTACACTAGGCCAGGTAGAAAACAATGCCTCTTAATTTATACTCAGGCCAGGCAAAAGCAATCTTAAAAGGTTTGTGGGTGGGAGGAAATTATGATGGGTGAATTACTGATGTGTTACCATCAAGAGATCCAAATGACAGAAGAAAGCCATAATAATAATAATAATAATGATAATAAAAGACCACTGTCTATAATTTTATAAATTACCAGCAACAAATTAAAGGGTTTCAGAAATATTTTGAATGCATATTTAGTCTAACTAGCGATGTGTTGGTGGCATTGGTTGTACTTTTTTGGTCTTTACTCAGTTTCCCATATGGAGGTGAGGAGCAGCTGGTCCTGCAAACAGAGTGAGATTATTTACATTTTCTAAATTAGGTTATGAGGGGGAAAATGAAAAGATAGTTAGGAATTCATTGGCATTTCATTTACACTGCATTCAGTGGAGAGATGACAGCCCTTGCGAGTAATCAGAATCTTTGTTAAAAATCAGCTGGGATATCATTTATTGCACATCCCAGGCTTACTGGCAGCCTGAATAGATGAACATGCAAGGCTTTGTACTATCAGGGGTAAATGTGGATTTTTTGTTCTTGTATGCTTTTTAATTGATATGTGTGTGTGTGTGTGTGTGTGTGTGTGTGTGTGTGTGTCACTTGGGAAGGAAAATCAGATCCTTGGGAATATACTTAGAGAGCCTCCCCTCACTGCACCCAGTGACTCTGGAGCATTTCGTGAGTGTGTTTGATGGGATTTATAGAGAGGAACTTCTCTAGTACCTCTGCAAAGCCCGTGATGGATGTCAGAAAGCAGACTCCTCATCCAGGGTCACGGTTGGAGTTGCTCATAGACAGCCCCACTCCAGCCAATGAGCAGGAGTCTTCCTACCTCAAGCAGGTGTTTCTGCAGACACTGGAAGACTGCTAACCCTAACCCAGGTTGTGGCCCTGATTTGACTAATGCAGGAGTTGCCTTAGTAAAAACTCTAGGCTGGGCAAAGATTCAGACTCTTATGACTTTTAACCAGCCATGAATACATGGGTACCAGCTGCACAGAGATGATGGAAGCAGCTCCAGTCAGACTGGAGCACAGTCAGACTCATAGGGGAGCAGAGCCCTGCAGGCAGCCTCTTGGCCAGCCAGTGGGTGGCCTCTGTTAGGATGCCTTTTGAGCCTGGCAGCCTGTCTCCAAGAGGACTTCCCTTCAAAGGGCTCAGTGGATCCATTCCCTTGATGTGCTGGGAGTCTGTCATTGCAGTCACTGTGGCCATGGTCTGGGGATAGTGCATCAGCTTGCTGTGGTCCACACGGGGGAATTAGGGTTGGCCTCTGAGACCAGATTTGGTAGAGATGATTTTTTTTCTAGGGAAGTATGTTCAGTACACATGTGTTTATAATGGAGGGGATGGGCAGAAGTGTGGGGGTTGGTGGTTGACACATGAGCATTCATTTTCATGGGAATTTCGTCATTGGAGATGGGGAAATAAAAAATAATTAATCACATCAGAATTGTAAACCTCTGTCCCCCAGGCCAATCCTGGTTGTAGATACCTTTTACTTGGTCTGTGTGGGCTTTAAGGGGGAAAAATGAAATCACATATAAAAATATGTAGTGATATTAAAATATCCAGATTTAAATCTTGGAAAATGGAGAAGTGTAGCCATCCTGGGCCTCCATGTCCATAGAAAAGCAATCAGCATCAGCATGAATGTCTCTATTGGTTGATTTCCATGCAGCTCCGTAGTCGTTTATTTGCTACTCTGGCCCCAAGGAACATTGAGTTTGCAACCCCTGCATTAGTCAGATTAGGGTTAGTAGAGTCTATGTGTATGTGAAGTAGGCAGCATACTTAGAGCTTCCATAATTCCCCCACAGAAAGCCAGCTGGAGTCATTGCCATTGTTTTCATCATTGATATCATCTCTGTTGTCATCATGATCATCACATTACTGAGTGCTTCTTGCTTGCCAAGACACTATGCTATGCTTTGCATATATTATCTCATTTAAGTGATACTTGTGAAGTTGGATTTAAAAAATTCTTGGCTGGGTGCGGGGGAAAGACCATTCAAAGGATTTAAGGTAAGAATGTGCATTATAAGGGGACATGGAATCTTTCTTTTTTAAAGTTCCTGAACTACCAAATGAGACTGAGATTTTCTTCACCTTTAACATTTGAGGATGTTTAGCTCTTGTTCAGCCCTCACCTATTAAAAGTTCTATTTGTTTTGTTGTCTGTTTTCTCCCAATCTCAAAAAGGTTTGATTCATGTAAATAATTCCCAGTCTGGTCCCATTCATAGAATCGGCAAATGAAAATCAGAGCTATCCCCTCCCTCCCTCAATCTACCCTGGTCCCCAGCATAACTTTCCTGTAGCATGGACTGAGACAGTATTGGTCACGTGGAGAAGGGGATGAAAAATGCTCAAAGTGGCTACATTTGAATATGTGGCACTTATCTCTCTGCGCAGGCACCTTATAGAAAAAATAATTCATTAAACTTCGTTCTAGAAAGAAAGAGCATTAAGCCTTCATCAACAACAACACAAAGAGCTCACCATGGCAGGAACGGGACAATAAAGGGGTTATTTTAGCAGAATTAACAGGAAGAAATTAGCCCCATGTATCCTTCCTTTTTATCACAGTGTGGTGCATTTACATATTTTGAAATTTCACATTTGCATAGTCAATGATTTTAAATTATATTCTCACATCTCCTCTCTGATGTTTGTCATGTGTACAACTTGTCTTAATAACTGAGTTGTTAGCATTTAAAAAGCAGTTATCTAATTATTGGCACAACCTTGAAACATAGCACCCAGCCACCCTTGCAATTTTTAAGCAGCTTTACTGAGATATAATTCACATATGTATAGGACACGTGAGCATGCATGTGTATTTACTTATATGCCACTTTGAAACACATCCAATGTGTAAATCAAGTTCAGGTTCTCTGATTTATCTGGTAACCACAGCTGAGAATTGGACTGGGGAGTGATGCTTTGAACTAATGCCTGTCGGGAGTGGGATGAAGTGCTTATTTCTTTGAGAATTCCTGTCATTTCAAAGAGGAGAAAATAAAAGCTTGAGAGTAGAGGTGCAATTTTTGTGTCTTCTTTTCCTGTCCTGAGCTACCTTCATTCGTCCAAGGCCTGTGTGTGGGTGGGGAAGCATGCTCACCTCACCTGCCCCATCTTTCCTTGACCACCTGTCTGCTTTGTGGGCTATAAGTTATATCAGCCTGGGGTCTTTGGGTTGGCTACTGTTAAGATCTAGATTTATAGCGGGCTCCCTCCCCACATGGAGTTTATGTGCTATTAGGGGAGACAGGAAGGCTTTGAAATCGGGAGTCCTGGCCGTGCCACCCAGGGAACCCAGGGAGTGAAGCCAAACATACACCAGGTCCTGGGAGGTGGCAGAACCAGAAGGAACAGCACATGTGAAGCTGGAGAGGAAGTAGAATGTGGGACCAGTTGAAGGCATTGAGAAGAGGATAGAGTGGAGAGAGGGTTTGGAGAGGAGAGAGCAAGACAAGGGGTTTTTTTTTCCTGCTGTGAGGGGCATGGTGTGGTGGAATAGAGGTGGTCGATTCATGTGTTTATTTCAATGTCTTCCTCACCACCTCCCAGGCCAGTGGTTGGTCCATTTTACTCTGCTCCCCAATTTTCTCCCAGCGCTTCACACACCTGGCTTGGTGGGTGCTAGGCATTCACTGGAAGAGTTCGGGTGTCATTTTAAGAATACAGGAAGTTGCGGCAGGGTTTGCATTTCTGTGTCTGCACTGCTCATTGGCCGCCTCCCTTTCCCTTTGTGTCTAGGGAAAAGCTGCCATGTTCCCCACTTTTCTCTGGGTATTGATGTATATGCACCTGCCCACCCTTAGAAAGTATGTTGCCTTCTCAGTGATCAGAGGCTGTGGTGCCCTGAGATGGCTCCTTTGTTGCCTGTTCCTCTCTTCCAGCCAAATGCGCTCTGGAGACTGGAGAGCACAAATCTTTTGTACAGCCCACCGAGAGTGAAGCCCCCGGGGCAGCACTCAGGGGGAGGGAGCTGGGAAGTGCAGCCGCCTCTATTGTGCTGGGAGAAAGCCCGAGAAGCCTGTGTTTAAGGGAAGCAAAGAGCCTGCTTTTTAATTTTCAGCTACATTTAGCAGATGGACCAGTTCAGGATTGTCCTGTTTAGGGAATCTCCCCCAACATTTGGACAATTCATGGGTGGAGGGAACCTCGTAGGAGCCAGCCCAAAGGGGAACGTCACCTGTTAGTTCTCCAAGCTTGTGTCCCATTGGGTCTCACCTCTCTGAGGCAGTTATAAGGAGACAATGCATAATTTGCTCACTTTCAGCAATGGCTGTGGTTCTCCAAGCACGCTCCCTTAACCTGCTTCATTGGCCCCAGCAATTTAAGAAGGTCAGCCTTGGGAATTACTTCCTCTTGTAGAAGTGGAAGTGCAGGGACTTTGCCCCAGTCATTTGTTTTATGTGTTGACTTTTTAATTTAATTTAATTTTTTTTTGAGACAGAGTCTCACTCTGCTAGCTGGAGTGCAGTAGTGTGATCTCGGCTCACTGCAACCTCCGCCTCCCGGGTTCAAGCAATTCTCATGCCTCAGCCTCCCAAGTAGCTGGGATTACAGGCGCTCGCCACGACGCTCAGCTAATTTTTGTATTTTCAGTAGAGACGGGGTTTCACCATGTTGGCCAGGCTGGTCTTGACTCCTGACCTCAAGTGATCCGCCCACCTTGGCCTCTCAAAGTGCTGGGATTACAGGCTATTTTGTATGCAGACTTTGATGCACTTAGATGTTCAGTCATCTCTTGGGAAACAGGTTCACTTTGGAAGGGAGTGAACTGGGCTTTGGAGCTAGTGAGACCTGAGGTTAGCCATTATCCACTGACAGTGAGATCTGAGGTTAGCCATTATCCACTGACAGTGAGACCTGAACCTCCCTGAGTCTCAGTTTTCTTGTCTGTGAAATGGACGTGTTCTCATGTGGCAGGGATTGTGACTCTCTGGATATGGCAAGAATGGATTTGAGGCTGGTTCCCTCAGACTAGCCCCAAGCCCAGGTCACACGCTCCCTCCTTGAGATGGAAGCAATCACACGAGTGACCTCAAAACTAACATGAGGATCAAATGAGCAAACATGGGTCTGGCATGAGCCCATGGGTTACATGGCGAACACTTTGTAAATGGTCATTTATTTTTATTTGTATATGTAAATAGTACCTTTTACAACCAGCATAGCAGAAGCAGGCTCTGGTTTGGGCACCAAACTCACTCAGCTCAGATCCTGTCCTAGTCATTTAATAGCTGAATAATCTTGCCCGATTTACTTAAACTCCCTAAGCTTTGGGAACCTTAACTGTAAGATGAGGGTTAGAATACCTACTTAATGGAGTTATTTTGAGGGTCAAATGAGAACATTGATGTAAAGTGTTTTAGCCCAGTGCCTGGCACATAGTTCTACTTCCTAAAGACTAGTTACTATTATTCTTGGTCTAATTATTAATATAATCATACAGAAAGTATGGATATGATAGAACACTTAATAGGAATATTTGAAGAGGTTTTAAAAATTCAGCTATGGCAAATGCTACTATTGCAGGACAGGGGTCCCAATCCAGACCCCAAGAGAGGGTTCTTAGATCTTGCTCAAGGAAGAATTCAGGGCGAGTCCATAAAGTAAAGTGAAAGCAAGTTTATTAAGAAAGTAAAGGAATAAAGAATGGCTACTCCATAGGCAGAGCAGCTCTGAGGGCTGCTGGTTGCTCATTTTTTTGTTATTTCTTGACGATATGCTAAACAAGAGGTGGATTATTCATGCTTTCCCTTTTTAGACCATATAGGGTAACTTCCTGACATTGCCATGGCATTTGTAAACTGTCATGGTGCTGGTGGGATTGTAGCAGTGAAGACGACCAGAGGTCACTCTCGTTGCCGTTTTGGTTTTGGTGGGTTTTGGCCAGCTTCTTTACTGCCACCTGTTTTATCAGCAAGGTCTTTATGACCTGTATCTTGTGCCGACCTCCTGTCTCATCCTGTGACTTAGAATGCCTGACTGTCTAGAAATGCAGCCCAGTAGGTCTCAGCCTTATTTTACCCAGCCCCTATTTAAGATGGAGTTGCGGCCAGGCGCAGTGGCTCATGCCTGTAATCCCAGCACTTTTGGGAGGCTGAGGCGGGCGGATCATGAGGTCAGGAGATCTAGACCATCCTGGCCAGAATGGTGAAACCTGTCTCTACTAAAATAACAAAAAATTAACCAGCTGTGGTGGTGCATGTTTGTAGTCACAGCTACTCAGGAGGCTGAGGCAGGGGAATCGCTTGAACCTGGGAGGCGGAGTTTGCAGTGAGCTGAGATCGCGCCACTGTACTACATAGCCTGGCGACAGAGGAAGACTCCGTCTCAAAAAAAA
This sequence comes from Homo sapiens, assembly GCF_000001405.40. Lineage (NCBI taxonomy): Eukaryota > Metazoa > Chordata > Mammalia > Primates > Hominidae > Homo > Homo sapiens. The sequence continues at coordinate 54,336,013 of NC_000003.12, forward strand.
AAAAAAAAAAAAAAAGATGGAGTTTTTCTGGTTCCAATGCTTCCAACACTACTATATCTCAGGGAGGTAACCTAGAAGAAACTCTGCCTCCTCAGAATCCCAGGAGACTTGTCTGCAGGGCGGCCCCAGTGGGTTATGGAGAGCTCCCATCTGTATAGTCTTCTTACGCATGGACGCCCTCCTGCTCTGCACAGCCTGACTTCCTCAGCTGGGCAGGGTCCCTGACACGGACAAGGAGAGGAAAGTGAAGGTGAAACAGGCTCTGCATTGCAGTGTCTTCCTTGGGCACAGAGGGAGGGGCTTCAAGGCTCTGCTTGGTCCTCTCATTGCTCTTGCTTGTTTGAGAGAGGGAGAAGCTGCAGGTTAAACAGAATGTTTAGAGAGGAAAACTAGATTGGCAGCCTGAGCTCATTGGCCCCAGCCTATCAGTGGAATGCAGGATGGTGTCCAGTGTGAATGAGCATCAGGCCGGTCCTTAATGGAGTGATGTACCTGTGGGAGCCCAAGGGTCACACGCTCATAGCTGTCTAATAATTTTAATAGTTACATGAAATTTACATTATAACAAATATAACTTCCTTTTAAAGTGGAAGTTATATGTTATGTACGTTGATTCAAAGAAACATATTAAGTAAAGGTGAGGTGAGAAGGCCAGTTGCAGCCTGGTTTTTGAAGGCAGCTAGAGACTCCCTAGAACCCATCATTAGGGAAAGGGACAGTTCAAATGTGCTGGATGTGGTTGCAAAAGCAGTGATCACATAGCAACCCACACTGATCTTGAGCGAAACAATGCATAAGAAATAGCATAAGATTTATAGTACAGTAGCATCTATATAAATTAAAAGTATATAAAACACCCATATGCATTTTCTATAAACACATGCCCCATTAAGGAGTCCATTGAATCCATTAGAGTGGGTGCAAGTGGGGGAGGGAATAAGAGTAGAGGTCAGGGCTGAAGGAGATATAAATCAAGATGGGGCCTTGCATGGACCAGTGATGATGATGTGCTAAGAGTATGAATAGCTCAAGTTTCTGTATATACACAGACATAGAACGAGACATAGACAGACAGACAGACAGACAGACAGAAATCCGCACACACGGTGGTAGGCAGATACGGCAAATGGTGATGGTGGTATGCTGATGTCTGAGGTTGGAGCAGTAGTGCAAAGGTGGAAAGATAACATTTACAGTGAACTTTTCTTAACTGCTTTCCTTGTACCTGGCTTCCCACCTTGTGCCTAAGACACATCTTTGCATTCCATTTTCTCAACAACCTCATGAGGTAGGTGGTATTATTACCTCCTTTTGACAGATGAGGAAACTGAGCAGGTCCAGCGTCCCAGAGGGAAAGCTTGGCAGAGCAGATGCAGGTCCAGTATGTCCAACTCCAGAGTCCAGATCCATCAGTGACATTGCTGCACAGCCTTCTTTGTCTTAGAATTCCTTTAAAATGGATGCACTTTTAACATCCTTATTAATACCTGCATTGCTTAAGTTCTGCTGTCTCTGCATTAGTGGAAAACTGAGTTGTCCCACAGTAGTTGTAGGCCCTATTGAGAAGACTAGACTGGTCCTTTTCCAGTGGAGGGGGATTTATTGATGCCATCCCTTTGCCACTCCTGATACTTGATTTCATGCCTCTAAAGTTCCATGTCTTTTCGCTTCCTTTCTTTCCGCCATTCCCTCCTCCTCCCCGTTAATAAGCCAGCCAGTCAAATAGCCTCATTTCAAACAGCATCTTCACCCTCCTTTCTTCCAATAGGTGGCTATATAACATTGGCATTCCATGTATATGTCTTCAAAGTGATTTATCAGAAAGATGCACAACTCCACGGGAGGTGGCTAAGTCACCTGGAATGCTTTATAGGTTATTTCATTGTCCACAGGGGTAGATCAAGCCATGGACACCCCTTTTTGGTTATTAAGACACAGGCTGCCACTTGCATCCAAAACGTTTGGGTGCCTTAAGTGAGTGCCTCACTTGTCTGGCTCGATGGCTGTTGGCAGGGCTGTGTGAGTGCTCCCCGAGGACAGACAACACCAGTAAATCTTAATCACTATGGAGCACTATAGAAGAAGTAAACAGTTCTGAAACTGTGCTATAAATTGTCATCCAGTGATGATTCTGTTTTATTATGGAGGTTAAATTACAGCAATCACTGGCGCACAAAGGCGCTGCAGTAAGAAAACATTTGGGAACAATGTTTTTCTCCTATGGCTTGGGTGATGGGTGCACAGGAATAAAACACCATAACTTGTTTACCGTGGGCCACAAAGGAAAATATGAACTCTAACCCACTGCCACATGTGTGCTCTTTTTCTTTTCTGAACCAGGCAGGTTGTGAGCATGTTGCTGTTGCCACAGGAAAAGGTGATAGATACACTTGACTTGAAAACAGCTTTCAGCTGTGTTTTTCTTCTTTTTATAGCTCTCTTCATCTCCCCTCCCTGTGTGTGTGTGTGTGTGTGTGTGTGTGTGTGTGTGTGTGTGTGTATCTATTTGGGTTAGGATGGGCTAGGAGAAGATGAGCCAGAGAATGACACCTGTCTTCAGCAATCAGTCGCTTACAGATACTGTCTTTCTGGCATTCCCCAGCATGCTGTCCAAAGGGCTTGTCGCTTATGGGCCACTTGATTATTGGTGAAGAAAATGGTCTGTGGGACCTCCTGGATCCAGGTTCAAGTCCTGACTCTGCCTCTTGATCGCTTTGTGACTTAGGGAAGGTCATTTCTGTCTCTGAGCTTCCAGATCATCTGCTGTAAGATGAGAGCAGTGACTGCCCTGGCTCGTGGGGCTTGAGGAAGGAACGGCCTGTAAAACATGTGTCCCAATTCTGAACACACGCCAAAGCCCATTAATTGTCTTTTCTAGTTATCATTGTGTAGCCACAGCAGCTATTAGCAGCATCACCACAGACATTCCAGCATCCCAGTAGCCAGGTTATTTTCTCTAACCCTGGGATTATTTCGCAGTCTATAGAATGTATACATCAAAGCAACCGGTATTAATCCTGGAAGTTCGGTTCGTTATTGCAGAGAACTTGTCATCCTCTATGATTTCTGACTTTATTTACAATGAAATCAGAATTCATTGGCAAGGCCATTGAATGGTCCTGGCCACGCCTGTCTCTCCCAGCCCCTCTTCTGCTGAGTTCCCTCCGGGACCTCCCTCAAGCTCTGTGAATGTGCCAACCTCTTCTCTCTTCTAGAGTGCCCTTGCATGCAGTGTTCTCTCTGAGTGGAATCTTCTTCACCAAAATCTGGTCTCTCCTTGATATTCAGGGTTCCTCTTGGATTCTTCTCTTTGGGGAAAATTTCATTCCTTGGCCCTCTTGCCTAAGGTAGAACCCCTTTCACCCTACCCCAAATACCCCCTTCACCCCTAACACCTCCCACCACGACCGCTGTTACGCTATCATTTTCTCTCATGTTGTCTTGTTTATACCTTTTCTTCATAGAACTCGTCAGTATTTAAAATTACCTTTTAAGGCATCTGGCTCTCATTTGCTCTCCCACTAGAACTTTAGCCCAGTGAGGAGAAGGACTGTGTGTGTTTAGTTCACCCAGGATAGTGCCTCCTGTAGTGCAGACATCCAGGAAGTTCATGGAATGAGTGAACGATCAGAAATTTTTCTGATATGCCAGAGATCTGATCAGAATATTTTACCTACAACAATATTAGAAACTCGAGTAACTTAAATAAGTTTTCTTTAATTAATAGCCTTTTAAAATATTAGGCAACAGCACTATTCTTTGTGAGTGAGTTACAGGATGCACTCTAGTGGGTAGAATTGAAACTACTAATGGTACCACTCACTCCTGTTAATTACAGGGTGGAAAGTCATAGGAGGTTTAATCATCAGACCCTAATTTTCTTGTGACTTTAAAGAGTAAATATTTATTGAGTAACTAATTATGAATTTTACATACATTTATTTAAAGATGCTGGAGAGTTATTTCTTGGAGAAAAGATTTCTCCAAAGGTGATGAGTCCATAGTGGTTATCTCACTTTTCAGGATGACAAAGGACAAAGAAACGTGACAGTACTCAAAGAGAAATGATTTTAGAAAACTTAGGTTATGGGCAAGTTTATCCTATTGATTTTGAAAGAAATACTTAGAAAAATATTGCTTCTACCAATGCTATTTTTCAGGTTTGTGCTGATAGTGTTCCCTACTCACAACATTTTATTATGAAAATATCCAGACATGCAACACAATTGAAACAAATTTGCCACACAAACACCCATACACCCCCCATTCATATCTGCCATTGATATTAAGTATCCTCATTTCATCACTTATCTGTCCATCTCTCTATCCTTCTAGCCATCCATTAATACGTCTTATTTCTGGTGCGTTTCAAAGTGAGTTGCAGACTTGTTATAGTATTTTTAACAATCCATTTGTCCATGAAAAAGAAACATATTTTGTCAAGGTCAGGCTGATATAAAAGCTTAATATGTTTGAAAAGAAATGAATATAAAGTGAAACAGAAAACGTACCTTCTTCCAGTATTTCAAAAGAATGGGAAGCAGAAAGGTTCATGGTGCTGTCCTGCTGAGTGGTGTTCCATGGTGTGGAAGTACCATAGTTTATTTATCCATTCACCTGCTAATGGACATTTAATGTAATGTGACTGGTGAAGTGGAGCTTGTTCCAAATGAAGTGAGCTTTTGGATTTCTGTGGTTCTCTGGTAATAGATCCTGTCCATTTTTTCCCCTTTCTGTACAGCATCCACTATTCTACTTCCTGGTTTTCCATGGAGATCTGTCCCTTCTTGATCCCCAGTCCACAAGGCTTGGATGGGGCACATCCCAGGTGTGAGCACAAGGCTGAAGTTTGTCTAATCAGAGGGTCCCCACACTCCTCACCACAGAGGTATGAGGTCAGAGCTGCTCTGGTCTCGTCACTGACCTGATCTCGTCTGTTTCCATTTTCTCTTTTACTCACTGCTCCCCACTTCCCTGCTCTGAAGCTTCACGCCTGCTGTCCCCTCACCTAGACTGCTCTTCCTCCAGATGGCTGGTGGCTTGCCCTGGACTTCTTCTGGTGTCTGTTCAAATGTCAGTTCTCAAAAAGACTTTCCATGGTCACTTTCACTAAGATAACTCTCCAGCCCTTTTCATCACATGAGCTAATACTTCTCCTATGTTGCTTAAGCACCTTTGAGTTCCATTAAAGAAGTCCGGGTGAAAATGCTGCATTTGTTCAAACTGCCTTCAGTGTTTGTTCTCTTTATCTTCCAAGTTTCTCAACCCTTAGACTCTACCAGTGGCTGATCAGTCATCCTGATAGTAGAGCCTCCCGGGGTAGATCCTCTGAGCCAGTTGCTAGGTTCCAAGCTATAGTGCCCATCACCTCCCAGCTAGGTAACTTGGTGGAGATTTACTGGGAAGCTGTGCAGAGAGACTATGTGACCCGGAGGTTTGGCATAGAGACAAACTCAGAATGGGAGCACTCCAGCGTTTCCTCTGACCTGAAGGGGTCAGGAAGGTTGGTTCACCCTGGCATCTGGTGTACATAGGATGGCATCACACAGATAATTTAAAGCCTGGGAGCATGAGTTTGGCATTATTACTGCTACTAGCGTCCCCTTCTTTCAGAGCTCAAAACCCTGAGAGGTTGCCAAGTGTCAGTAGCATCTCCAGCAATTGATAGCTACTAGGTATTTAGAACCTTCCTCACTTCATCCATCTGCTGGCTCTTACAGTAGATCCAAATCTTTATATTATCTTAGCTTCTGCTATGAGACCTCCAGAGTGTATGTAACTAACTGCACTCCTTCAAGCTAGAGTGCGGTTTTTTTTTGTATTTTTGCATGCTGAGTACTTAGCATAGTGCCTGGGTCAATAATGATAGTACTTGTTGAATTAGTAGAATGATATATAACATTTATTAAGTGTTTCCAGTGATCAGGCATGGTTCTGATTTTATTACATGTACAAGTTTATTTAATCTTCAGAACATTAAGGAGTAGATGTTGCTATCTCTCCATCTCGTAGGTGAGGAAACTGATTCACAGAGCTATTAAGTTATTTGCCAAAGAATACACAGTTGGCAAGTGGGTGAGCTTGGACTTGAAAGCCCATCAATATCTATTTAATATTTATTTTAATCATATGTAAAAGTACTATAGCAGTAGTATAATATTACTGTCTCACCTAAACATATATTAGAATGTTTATAGTAGAATACCATAGGCCACTTATCCACTGGACATTTATTGGACCATGATTGCATGTAAATAATAGGCATTAGAGGGATTTAAAGATGAGTAAGGCAGCTTCAGGATCAGAGAAACTCCTACTGTTGAGTTAGTAATAGAAATCTACACAAAAAGCAGTCCTATGAGGCAGTGGATCTGAGTATCATTCTAAAGGCATAAAATTGCGTTGAAATGGTGGAGATTGATGTTGTTGTATGTGCATGGAGAGGGCATGTGCAGGCTGGTTGGTAATGTTGGGAAGGATACGGTGGGGTGGATAGGAGTGGGGTAGATCATCCCGGGTACAGTGTGATTGGTGACTTAGGAGCAGGACATCTTCCTGTGTGAAGCTGATGCTTCAGAGCTTGGAGTCTTGTGTTCCCTCCAAACCAGTAGCTTAGGTGACAAATCATTGATAAGAACGGCACTGTACAAATTACCAACTGGTTTAAACTTTGAAAACACCTCCTGAGTTTCAGGAGATAAAACTGACATCAATAACGAGAGTGTCTAAGGTGGTCAACAGCAACTGGTTTGAAGGTGATGAGATGTGTAATTTACCACTTGCAGAGGTGGCGAGATGCTTCCCGAAGCCTGATCTGGGCTGTAGCCACCCAGCCATAGCTCTCGGGCTGTGCGGGGCTTGGCAGGCAGCCTTCTCTGAGCAGGAAGCACCTGCCTCAGAGGAGCATGAGGCCCGGGGGGGCCCGCCCTGGGTAGCCGCACAGAGTTTGCACGTTTGTGCCAAGACCACTCCTTCACATCACAGGCCAGTGTGTGGGCAGACACCCTCACACACTGAAAACAATTTACTGTCCTTGCTGCCCAAAGTGACCTTTCTTCAATAGTGAGCAGTTGAAACAGATTTATTGCATTAAGCAAATTTTTAAACTTTTTTTTCCCTCTTGGGAAAATTTGTTTAACCCAGAGAAGTGCTTCTAGGCCTTCAGTGTGTTTAAAGCCCCCCCCTCCCACGAGGAGATTGTTAAATGCAAATTCCTGGGCCCTACCCTGGAGAGTTGATTCAATAAACTTAGAGGAGGGCTGGAGAGTTGGAATTTTCTTTTTTAATTTTTTTTTAAGAGACAGGGTCTAGATCTGTCATCCAGGCTGGAGTATAGTGGCACCATCATAGCCCACTGCAGCCTCGACCTCCTGGTTTCAAGGGATCCTCTCACCACAGCCTCCCAAGTAGTTGGGACTACAGGCATGTGCCCCCACGCCCAGCTAATTTTTTGTAGAGATGGGATTTCACCATGTGGCCCAGGCTGGTCTCAAACTCCAGAGCTCAAGCCACTCTCCTGCCTCAGCCTCCCACAGTGCTGCGACTACAGGCATGCACCACCACACCCAGCTAATTTCTTCATTGTTTTGTCTTATTATGTTGCACAGCCTGGTCTTGAACTTCTGGGCTCAAGAGAGCCTCTCACCTCATCCTCTCAAAGTGCTAGGATTACAGGTATGAGCCACCATCCCCAGTGGAGAGTTGGAATTTTAAACCCTCTACCCCCCACAGCCCAAGAATTCATGGGATCTCATTTAGAGAAGCCTTGAGCCAGAGTAGTGATTTCTAAAGAAGGACATAGGATACATCTCTGCAGTGCAGGGAGTAAATATTGAAATATCTCTTTTAAAATGCCTATTTTTGTTTAAGTTTAGAGTATACATGGTAGAGCAATAGTATATTATGATAATGTCCATAATCGTGATATTTATACAGTATAATATTGTGCATAAATATATCTATTTGTAGGCATATGCTGACTTTTTGCTGATAGAAATATGCATTTTAAAAAATTCAGGGACAGTTTAAAGGAAGTTTTTACGAATTATTTTGCTGCAAATTATCTCACCATGTCACAGATAATTGGAGGAAGTAGTAATAGAATATTACAGTCTACTTATTATTAGGGACTAACAAGCATCATTATTAAAGGGCACTGCTGAGTTAGGTTCCCGCAGCCTCTCTCTCACCTCTCCCGTAGGCTCCCTCCTCTGTTCCAGGGCACCCTGCAGTTACAGCAGGGAGTGCTTCATCACCTGGTGTCTGGACTTCTGACTTGATTATGAGTTCTTTGAAGGCAGAGCAGTATGTCTTTGTGCCATTTGTGTCTCTGCTCCCACCTCAGTGCCTGGCTCCCCAAATATTTGGTGATTGAATGAGGGAGGGAGGGAGAAAGGGAGACCTATCCATTGCTTTCTAACATGTCCTTGGCACTGCTGGAAACCATAAAGTAAAGCAAATTGTGTTCTGGCAACGAGAAATCATTTATCCCCATACAATTCTTTTCTGCCTCATATGCCATCTAACCAGAAGGTTTATATTCCTCAGGCAACTTTTCTCTAGGTGGAGACAGACTCACAGGACCTGGCTTGAGTTCCAGCTTGGCTGCTTATTAGCTCTGTGACGTCTATGTAGAAATTGAGTCTCCTCTTGGGTGGGGGAAGGGGAGTGTCTCAGTTTCCCCATGAGTACAGTAAATGAGTTGGAGTGACCCAGCTGTCAGAGGTGTGTGAACCAGAGCACTCCATCTTAATTAGGAGCTGGGTAAAATAAGGCTGAAACCTACTGGGCTGCATTCCTAGACGGCTAAGGCATTCTCAGTCACAGGATGAGATAGGAGGTCAGCACAAAATACAGGTCATAAAGACCTTACTGATAAAAACAGGTTACAGTAAAGGAGCCAGCCAAAACCCACCAAAACCAAAATGGCCACGGGAGTGACCTCTGGTCGTCCTCACTGCTGCTCTCCCACCATGAGCGCCATGACAGTTTACAATTGCCATGGCAACGACAGGAAGTTACCCTATAGGGTCTAAAAAGGAGAGGCATGAATAATCCACCCCTTGTTTAGTGTATTGTCAAGAAATAACCATAAAAATGCACAACCGACAGCCCTTGGGGCTTCTCTGTCTGTGGAGTAGCCATTCTTTTATTCCTTTACTTACGTAGTAATAAACTTGCTTTCACTTTGCCCTGCAGACTGACCCTGAATTCTTTTTTGAGCGAGATCCAAGAACCCTCTGCTGGGGTCTGGATCGGGACCCCTTTCCTGTAACACAACCTCCAGCTATTTCTGTTTTTTCCTTCATAATTTTTGCCTTATCTGAGTAGTACCTGTAGAAATGTTTAACAGAATGTTTTTCTTTACATTTTCTTCTTTTTTTCAATTTATTTTTTAAAGCAGGCTTTTAAACACTACTGCTGAAGGGAAACCAGCTGGTCATAGAAGAAGATACCTAAGAGGGAGAGTGAATCCAAATGGCCTTGCTCAGTTCTAGCTCTTTTCCATGACCTGCAAGGCTTTCATCAGAGACCTGTGGTGAGAGGGCAGAGGAGCTGGGATCGGAGTTCCCGAGAGGCTGAGACATTGTTTTTCCTTGTCTCAATTAAGAGGCATCAAGGAGAACAGGAAAAGGAAGACTTTTTTTCTCTGTGAGGCTCAGTGTCACTTAATGGAGTGTCTAGCGACTACCTTCTGTCACTCCCCAAAGCACCTCTAAGCCTAACGTCATCTCCACTGGCCTCTACCTTTGCTGTGGAAGAGTCTAAGTCTTTGCAATCTTAGATAGGACATGATTAGTTCCAAGTCTCTCTTGATGCTCTTTTTTTTTTTTAAAAAAATTGCATGTGTAGAATCTGAATCAAAGTTTTGCAGGAAATCAGGTGTTGTTTTCTGTTAAATAAATACAGGGAGCTGGAAATTTCCCACTTGTGTCATGACATCTGTCCTCCCATGCCAGGATTTATAGGATGCTGCCCCTGAACCTCTGGACTGAGTGGACCTTTGGTGGAGGCTGGGGGTAAGGGAGGAGGGTTGAAAAACAAAGTTCCCATCCTCAAGGAGGAGGAAACCATATCCTGGCTCAAGATGTTTGATGACCCTGCCTTGAAGTTGGGGTGTTGTTAGTTCAGGCCTGATTCCTGGTGATTCATTTGTAAGTGTTACTTCCCGAGATGACCGTAAAACATGGCATGGAGGTGAGGAGACGGATGATAGGATACAGAAGCCTCCGTCAGAGCAACCTGGCCCACTGCTCTCATCCAGTGTCTGGTCCAACTCAGCACCAGGGAGCACAGCTGTGTGAAGAGATCATTTTGGGCTGTTGGAGTAGCCAGCATCCACGAGAATGACATGGAATTGATTTCTCCTTTAGAATACCAAATAGCCTTTGCCATAGTTATCTGTTTCCTCTTCATGATATGTAGATGTTAATTGTATTTGGGATCTCTGTGAATTTGTTTGACATGGCATAATTGTTACCTGTTTTTCTTCTCATGTGGTCTTAAAAATTAATATATGTTCTTGGGAGAACAGGTTTAGGTTTACAGAAAAATTAAGCAGAAAGTACAGAGAACCCCCATTTACCTCCTTCCTGCCCCCTCCAGTTTCTCGCATTATTAACATCTTGTATTAGCCTGGTACATTTGTTGCAATCAAACAAATACTGATACAATACTATTAACTAAAGTCTATAATTTCCATTAGGGCTCACTCTTTGTGTTGTATAGTTCTAAGGGTTTTAACAAGTGTGTAATGTCCTGTATCCGTCATTACCGTATCATACAGAATAGTTTGACTGCCCTAAAAATCTGCTGTGCTCTTGGCAACCTTTGATCCTTTTACTGTCTCTATAGTTTTGCTTTTTCCCTATAATTTTAAATAATTGGAATAAAATGTGCACAACATAAAGTTTACCATTTTAACCATATTCAATTTTTGAGTATACAATTGTAAGCATACAGTTTAAAATGTACATGCATTTATAATGGGTTTAGATTCGGGCAAGTGGCTGACTGTGAAGGTTACAAATGCGATGAGGAAAATGACAAAGCCAGCCATATTGTTCATGGCAGGGGACACATTGCAATGTTGATGGAGCCTTGACCACAGACAGCACTGTGCTGCATATTTTATACGCAAGGGCCCGGTTGGCACCTTATGCCTGCTGGACAGGCAGATGTTGTTATTACCCCTTCACCCCTCACACATAGGAAGGAGCTGCAGGGAGGGAGTGGCTCAGGCCATAGTTGGGAAAGCTATGATTAAACCTCCATCTGCCCAACCGCAAATTTCCATCTCTTAACCAGTGCACTTTCCTGCTGGCATAGAGGTTTGAAGAAGTGTTTTAAATGCTCTTTGGGAGTATAGGGGAGCTGTAATATGAAATCCCTTTCATTTTGGAGACCAGCTGAAGTGGGGATCTTTACTCTGCCTTATTAATAAGTTCTTTAGACGGCAACTTAAGATGATGCCTCAGCTTTCTGCTGCTCATGTTTCTATCAGATTTGATGGATGCCTTGTAATAAACACCCTAAACGCAGAATCTACTTATTTCTATATTAAACATCAGATGTTTGTGGGATACAGAGAAAAGAATGAGATTGTGCTGTGTCAGGACCAAAATAACTTATGTTGGTTGACTTAAAAAAAAAAAACAAAAAACACCATGGGCTCCTTCTTCATAGAAGGCTCCTTTAGGGTCCAATTGCCAGGGACCCCATGGATCTGGTAAGATGATTCCAGGCTCCTCTCAGTCCTATCCTCAATAGAACTGGTGCTTCCTTGCCTGAGACCCACCGTGCCTGTATAAATGACCTCAATTTCCTTCCACTTGCTGACATACTTGTGGGCCCTAGAAGGCAGTACCCTCCCATGGGGCTTGGTACACTGTAGGCTCCTAATAAATGTTTATTTAATAAATGTAATTGTATAGGGCTATATGCTTTTCGAAGCAGGCCCATATACAGAAAGCCACATCATACATTTATTTGACTCCTATGTATGTATGTGAATACAAAGAAGTTAATCTTCCTTAAAAAAAGAATTCTGAGATTATTCTGCTCTTGGGTTCATTGGAGTGATGAGTTGATTGCATCATAGGTTTGATCAAGAACACCCAAGGTGTCAGCCAGGAATTAAACATTCACTTCCTGACAGTAATCCAGTTTTCTAACCACAGACCCCTTTGCTGCCCTTTGAATGGATTCAACATAGTCAATTATCATTCTTTTTGGAATTTGGCCCTTGTTGCTCTCAGCCTGAGTAAGTATTGGTACGTTTTGGTGGAGTTATTTTTGATTTCACTGGCTGATACTGTAGCTGAAAGAGCTGTGACCCATGATTTATGGAAACATTTTAACTGCAAGATAAAATATTTTTTGATTGACAGAGTCTCCATACTCAAGTCAAAATGGGTAATTTTCTTATAATTTTATTGCTGATGTTCTGTTATCTACAATATTGTGTTTCAAGTTAGAAAATGCATGATACTATGAACTCAGCAGAGACATCTATTTCTTTTTAAATGGAAATTCGAAGCACACTATCAGGACTCTCTTGTTCGCAGAAGAAACACTGCTTATTTCTTTGGCCGTAACTCAAGTTTTTCTTATTCTGGGGATTATTGCAAATGGCACTAAAATTATTTGCTCATCTTTCTTTTCTGTCAAGAAGAGAGATGCTGTGTCAGAAACACACCTAATTGTGACTGTTGTTTTTTTATTTTTATTTTTTTGAGACGGAGTCTCGCTCTGTCACCCAGGCTGGAGGGCTGTGGCACGATCCCCACTCACTGCAACCTCCACCTCCCAGTTCAAGCACTTCTTCTGCCTCTGTCTCCCCAGTAACTTGGATCACAGGTATGCACCATCATGCCTGGCTAATTTTTGTATTTTTAGTAGAGACGGGGTTACACTATGTTGGCCAGGCTGGTCTTGAACTCCTGACCTTAAGTTATCCTCCTGCCTCAGCCTCCCAAAGTGCTGGGATTACAGGCATGAGCCACTGCGCCCGTCCGACTGTTACTTTTTTGATTAGCATCCTGCAGTAGGAAGTGAGAGACTCTTGGTTGTGTCCCAGGGAGGGAGAGAGAAAATGGGTCTGGGGTGGTAGAAAACTAAAGAAAGGCATTTTGGGGACGGGGTGCTGAGTTTCTGAGCTGTTCTTGCAATTGCAGCTCTCAGCTCCACAGTCACACTGTGGGGTTCAAGAACAGGGACTTAGGAGGGTGGCATGAAGCAGAGCAAGAGGCGCCCACACACCCCAAGCCTGCTGAGACTGTGGATTGCATGCATCCTGGCCTGGCCTCCTGCAACCATTGGTTCTGAACGTTGCGCTTTCTCATTAGGAATTTCTCATTAGGAGGCATTCCTGAGAGGCAGCTCTTTTTAGGAATTCCAAAGCAAAGACTTCATGGAGCCTATCAGCAATACCAGCCCCATCTGTCACACCTCCTCACCACAGCCCTTAATGGCTCCCCTGACTCTGAGCCAAGCTGTTTGCTTCTTATCTTTTCGGAGCATTGCTGTGTTTATCTTTATTTCACTATGCTCCTTTAATTTTTGTCTGTCTAACTTTTCATTATTTGCTTCCTTATCTATACAATCACCCACAAGCTTCTTTTTTCTTTTTAATTAGGTTTAAGCTTCATTGTACACAAAGCTTCCTGAAAAATCACTCCCCCCTCCCCCAGGCATCCATCACGTCTTCCCATGATAGCAGGCCCATCTTGGCTTTCTCAGGGGATGTAGTGCGCATCTGTTCATGACTTCTTTAAGTTCTTACCTCAGTGTTTAACCTCAGTCCTCCTTCCTGTACCTGAGCATCAGAAATCTGGGTTCTTGTTCTCATTGTTCAGAGCAGTTGCTCATCTTCTATGTGTCTGCGTATGCTGGCTGCCATGACGTAAATTCTCTTTAACACATTCCTTGGACAGAGGGCCCATTGGTTCAGACTTTGGTCATGCATTTGTCTTGTGTTTTGGCTTCTGGTGCCTCTTTTGACATTTTATGTTCAAAGTAGCTAAATTAAATTATACCTTCAACTCTGGCTGCTGATCATGGAAGACATAGCTGATCTCCCAGTGGGCAGTGTTTCCTTCCCCCTTCCAGTTGAAATTCTGTTCTTTCAGAACTTGTATTGTGAGGGCATTTGAATGGAGAGTGTCTCCTCCTCTTTTTTTTATTTATTTATTAAAAGCTGTTAAAATAACTGTACTCTCTTGCTGAGAACTCCAAATGGGTTTCTAGTTACACAGTGTCATTTTAGTTCTTATATGTTTATTTAAATGGATATTTCAGATAAGTATATTTTCTAATGGAGATTAATCACTTTTTCATTTTTTTTTAAATTAAGCATCTATTGCATTTTAGGTTCTATGCCAGGTCCCAAGATAGAGAAGTGAAGAAGACAGATATGGCCTTTCTCTCTCTGGGCTTGAAGTCTGAGTGTCAGTGCAAGTGGAGGGGTACCACTGACTACTTTAGGATTAGCGTTCAGAGGCTTTACTGACAAAAGTGTAGGCCATTTTAGGTTCTTCTAAGCTAACTGCAAAATAGTTCACACTTTCACATTTTGTGCATGCTTTATTGGAGCATATTTGGAAACATCTAGAAGTTTCAAGATGATGGGCTCAACTGTTCTGTTATCAACACCAGCCACATTGTATCCTCTTGCTCACAACCCAGGCAAATGCTCCACAAGAGTGAGCTTTCGAGATACTCGAAGCATCAACCTTGTAAAATACTGTGAATTTTGTGGGACATGTGTTTTCAATGTGTTCTCTACCTGTCTGCTTACCTGGATGGTATTATAACTTATCACTTCTTTTGTGGCCCTGTCTCACGGCTTTTAACATCCATGTGTGTGTGACACAGTCACTTGGTAAGGGCATACAGAAGCTGTTTGCTTCTAGGTCAGATGTTTCCATACTGCTTGGATTTTGAGATCTTGAGTCTGTTTTTTTTTTTTTGTTTGTTTTTTTTTTTTTTTTTTTTGAGACAGAGTCTCACTGTGTCGCCCAGGCTGGAGGCGCGATCTCGGCTCACTGCAACCTCCACCTCCTGGGCTCAAGCAATTCTCCTGCCTCAGCTTCTCAAGTAGCTGGGATTACAGGTACCTACCACCATGCCCGGCTAATTTTTGTACTTTTACTAGAGAGGGGGTTACCGCATGTTGGCCAGGCTGGTCTCGAACTCCTGACCTCGAGTGATCTGCCTGCGTTAGCCTTCCAAAGTGCTGGGATTACAGGCATGAGCTACCGCGCCCGGCCTTGAGTCTGATTTTTAAACATTTTTCTGTCTCTTTTTTCCTTGTCAGCCATTGGTGGCTTCCTGCTGCTGCTTGCCGCCATTTTTAATTTTACTGCATCTAAGTGTGTTGTGACTTGGGAAGTCATATAAACAAGATTGTTGGAATGGTGTTCAAACTAATAAAGTGTTTGTGTTCTCTGCTCAAAGCCCTTCATCTAACTCTTGTTCTCAGCTTTGTCTCCGTGTTTGAAGGTTCTTAGTAACTAAGGGTAGTTGTGTTGTAATAACTTTAAAGCGTGCTTCATTTCAGCAGTTTATATGGTTCCATTTTGTGTTTATAAGGTGAGAAACTCCCTTTCTACAAGCCAGTTGGTAACCTCCTCTTTAAACTCACTGCACCACCAAGCACATTACTCTTTGCCAAGACAGTTCTTGGAACCTCTGCCCTAGCCTCTCTGCCTACCACCCTATATAATAGCAGGGCTGTGCCCTGTTGTCAGGTAACTTTATAAAGCACATCCTAGTTTTATCATTCCTTGCTCGGCTCTCTTTCGGCCTCCTGGTGCCTTATGCAATAAAATGCAGATGCCTAATCTTAGCATTCAAAGATCTCGCAGAGTGGTCTGAAGCTACACATCAGATTCATCTAAACCCATGTTGGATACCTCCTCTGCAGAGTCTGATTTCTCCTTTGCAGCACTTCTCTCAGAGTCTGCAGCAAATTCTCCCTCCTGGTCTTCATGGCTATTGGTGCTTTGTTTTTGATGACCTGTACTGCATGGATACGTGGATACATACGCTTGTGTTATTTCCCCAGGTGATGATAGGCCAGGGCATTCTTATTCTTATAATCCACTTGGACTTGGCACAATGGAAAGTCAGACAGCAAAAGGGTCACAGGATAGCAGGTGTACCTGATTTCTAGTCCTGGGTCTCCCTCTCTGCCCATCACTGTGCAAGCTAACTTTATTCCTGGGAGCCTCTACTGAGTCGTTTATAAAATAAAGGTGGTAGTAGCACCTACTTCGTAGGATTTGTGCGAGGATAGAGTCCTAGGGTACTGGTACAGTTAAAGACAGTGGTGTGGTGTTGATGGTTGTGTATTATTACTCCTCCTTGGAGTAGTAGTATTATTACCCCTACCAGATATTCAATAAATGCTTGTTAAAGTGAACTGAACCTTAACAGTTTGTTCTGTGCCGTTCACAGACATCAACCTGGGAAAAGTCAGTTGTAACTCAGGAGGTCACAACAAATAAATCAGTGTGTGGAAAAGTCACAGACATAACAGCAGCAGCTCCTGAGGTTTGGAAAGGCCCTTCCCAATCGGATCAGGCACTTCTGGTCCCCCAGGGAGCAGTAGAGCCCATGCTGGATGGCACAAAGCCCCCGCAGTTTGGGGTACTTCCACAAATTGCAGCATGCTCCCAAATGTCACCTTCCACTGTGAGTAGAAAGGCAGTGGTGCTTACTTTATTCAAGGAAAATACACACCAATGTTAGCAACAATTAACTTCCAGAAGTCTTGGGATACAGTTGTGGTCATAAATCTTGATAAGTTCTGACCAATAAATTTGGTGATTTTCTTAAACAACTTTTTTTAATTTTTAATTCTTGTGGGTACATAGTAGGTGTAAATATTTATGCGGCACATGAGATGTTTCCATACAGGCGTGCAGTGTGAAATAGGACATCATAAAGAATGGGGTATCCATCCCTGCAAGCATTTATCCATTGAGTTGCAGACAATTCATTTACACTCTTTAAGTTGTTTTAAAATGTATAATCATTATTGATTGTAGTCAGCCTGATGTGCTATCAAATAATAGATCTTACCCATTCTCTCTGTTTTCTTTTTTGTACCCATTAACCATCCCCACTTCCCCCACTAGCCAATTTGGTGGTTTTCTTGTCACCTTATTTAAGTCGTGCAGTCTTACTGGTAGAGCTATTCCCTCAAAGTCAGAAATAGCAGTATAGTTAGGGAAGCAGAATTTCTTTGTAGCTCTGAAAGAAATGCAGAGATGGAAACGTGAAATCCTTGGGAATGGTTGATGTCTTCTTATGGTTTGTATCCAGCAGCTGAGTGTGGAATCTCTGAGCCGGACTAACATGGGTTTGAATCTCACCTTTGCCCCCTGCCAGCAGTGTGGCCCTGGTTCAGCAGATATGGGTATAAGAAGGTCCAGGAATAGCATTTTTTTTTTTTATAAAGGTAACACCCTCCCTGTATTTTCCAGGTAGTTTTGATTATCATTGGAGTTTGGGAACCACATCTCTAAAGCAAGGCATTCTGATGAGTTATCTAGCATTCCCACCGCGCCCCCTCCCTGCCACCCAACTCTTTCCCAGCCATGCAGTAGCGCAGAGTAGTGTTTGAAAATGCTAGCCTCAGCTCTGCATCCTGAAATGACCTTGTGGAAGCATTCCCTTGTCTCCCTGTGGGCTTTAGGGAAGGCAGTAGATTAGGGAGATGAAATGCCAGAGAAATTAGCCAAGCCATCTCCCTGCAGACTTGGGCTTCTTGCCACCTGGTCCTGGTCTAAAAGTTAGGCCAGTCAGCCTTGCTCCAGGAGAGGTGCAGAAGCCTCAGGAAAGGCCCCTCAGGGTGATGCTTGGTTCTGTACTAAGGAGAACTATTCTTCCGTTTAGAAGTTCTTCCTGGCAGGACGGCTTTTTATCATGTTTGCCCGAGATTCCCATTACTCTTAATTGCCTTCTTTGTGTAGCTTTGGCCATTATTTTCTTTCCCCTTTAGTGTTTACTCTGTCAAATATTTAAGGGCAGTTATCATGTCTCTTTAGCCAAGCTACACACATTCAAGGTCCTTTCAACTTCTCACATGAATCTCAGCCTTCCAGCCCCTCAGCACCTACCCATACGTGCTGTGCAGTGTTTGCTTTGGATCAGAATTTGGAAGCGGAGGAATTTTTCTCCTTAGAGTTATTGGCGTCAGTGTGCACTTTATGAGTCTGCTGCAAACACCCTCACACAGGGAATTAAGGAGACACGATCCAGTTTGCTATTGTTTTAAGGACAGCCCAGGGCCTTTTTGCCCTTCTGATGATATCTCTTTAAATTGAATTTGAGACATGGGCAAAAGTCAACAAGGACTAGTGTTTCAGTACTTTAAAGCTTATAAAGTATGAAGGATTTTTTTAAGGTCTAAAACCAAAAAAGGAAAAAATGCAAGTATAATTTAAAAAAAATGACAAACAGTGCTGTGGTGAGCTGCAAGTTAAATGAGGTTCTGGTGGTTTTCATCCAAGGGCCCCTCCTGAGTGTCTCTGGGTCTCTTTCTTGTGCAGTCAGAATTTTCTGTCAGTGCTCTTACTTCTAAGCAAAGCCAATTGAATGAATGCAAAATTAGCCAAAAGGAAAAAGAAAAACAGGCAAAATGATTTAACTATTCAATTTAATTCCTCTTGTCATTCTACCTCGAGGCTGGAGTGTGGGATCTAAGACCACGTCTGCTGGACCCCTTGGGCTACTTGGTTCTCATGTGTCTCTCCCTGAGCTTGAGTGGGATTCCAGCGTTTACTGATACATATCTTTTGTACAGCACAGTCTCTAAATGTAAGCCAACGACTGCAGCTTTTGCTCAACAACAATCATAAAAACAAAAATCTTTTGCAACACCAGAAAGGAAAATGACTGCGTTGGATGTATTGAAGGATGGCTTATGCGTTTTTATTCCTTCAACAAAATATTTATTTTGGATTTTCTCTGTCCTGTTTATACATCTGGGCACTTGAGATACCATTGTAAACAAACTTTATAGTCATGGCATGTGTTTGTGTATGAAAAATGGTAAGTGTGCTTCAGAGAATGGAAATGATATGAGAGAGTGATTGGGGTAACCTCTTTAGAGTGGGAGATCAGGGGCAGTCTCTCTGCAGATGTGACAGTTTGACACTGGGATCTGTATGGCCTGAAGGATGAGGCTGATGAGATGGACAGGGGCTGGGTTATGTACAACTTTGAGGCTAAGATTAGGAATGTAGGTCATACTTGAAGTGCAACTGGAGGCCATTGAAGTGTTTCCAGCAGGAGGAGATGTGATCTGATTTCCAATCCGGGCACTCCGGCTGCTGTATAGAGACTAGTCTGCAGGAGCTAGAGTGGAAATAAAGGCCAGTGAAGGGTCTCTGGCAGTCATCAGTGAAGTGATCTGGAAATGGGGTTGTATCAGTAGAGATGGAGAGAGGTATGGTCAGGATATATTTGAAGTTAGAGTCATCAGGAATTGTTCATAGGTTGGCCATGGGGGAGCATGTGTTGGCCATGGGGGAGCATGTGTTGGCCATGGGGGAAGGAGAGAAACAAATGATGCTCCTAGGCATTGCTCTACAGCCTTCAGTTCTGCTCTGGCCATGTTAAGTTTGAGATGTCTATTACACATGTACCTGGAGATGTAAAAGATGCCGTTGGATCTGTGAGGCCTAAGCCCAGGGCAGGAGTAAAGGTAGGACATGGAGGCCTTGGAGGATTGACATATGGATGGTATATTAAGTCATGTGTCTAGGAAGAGGCTACAAACAGGAAGAGAGAAGAAGAGCCCATTTGGACTGCATGCCCATTTCGAAGCATAAACTCGAGTTAGTCTGGAGACTTCATAGTGCAAAGTGCATGTGTAGCCAAGCTCTTCACTGACCTGATTTCAGTGATTGCTCTGAAGGCTGGTCATGGGGCCAGTGACCACGGAACTGCTAAGTCCTTGGTCAGTAGGATATTTGGAGGTCCCCAGGACTGGCTGGACCAACCACATCCTGGATTGATTTTCTTACAAATTGCAGACTTCCTGGCTGACGTAATCTGTGATGACAATCCCACAATGCCCTGATTGGGTGGGAGGGCGGGGACATTGGGAGCAGCTCCCTCAGTGAAATTTGGACAGCTTTTGACAGGGCCAGGATCAACAATATAGGTTAATTGTCATTCACCAGAGAGAGAACTTATGGGATAAAACTGAGTTGAGCTTATGGGGTGGTGTTTCAAAATTATCCTTTTTGGCCCTCTCTGTGTGGGCTGCTGTTGTCCATCTGAAACTCATCGTTGTTGTGTTATATATGAACTAAAAACTGTCTTTCAGCTTTGCTTTTTCTCTTTGCTGAGAACTTGCAGAGTTCAGTGCCAAGAGGAGGCCTCAGGTCATTGCAAAGACACTGCTGACTCAGTTTTTTGTACCTAATGAATCTTTATTGGCACCGAGGTCTAACCTTGACACAGTGTGGTGAGTTATGCCTTGGCAGCCACTCTTAGGCACTGCATTCCTGTCCCTGTGAAACCCTTTATAAATAATGTGGGCTGGCTCACAGATGCTGCCAGCACACAGAGCCTTCGAGTAGTCTTAAAAAATGGGAAGTAGATGGGATGGTGCCCTTAAAATACAAGGAGCGTTCAGCGTTAAGTGTTGATGAATATCACTCTAAAAATACTGAACAATTTTTGTCAGTGCAGTTTATTGAAAATGGGCCATATGAGTCTATACAGTCTGTTACAGTGGTATTAATTTTAAAAATTTGCATTCCTCCATCATCAGTGTTTTTTAAAAAACACTTTCAGGAATGATAAACATTCTTGATTCAGACTCTCTGCCAGCACTTCCTCATTTTAGCTTCTATGTCACTTTTCTCCCTGGGTTTTCTGGCAGGGAAAATTCTTCCTGGTACTTAGCAAAAATACAGTTGCATGAAGCTTACTTAGGGCCTTTGTTTTGTCATTTAAGAGACATATGTAGGACCCCCTCCTTGTGGGCTGCCATGATTGGGGACTCACCGTGAAAGGTGACCACACATGGCTCCTCCCTTAGCTTTGGTTCCTCTTGGTGTGATGTGATCAAGGTTATTGACACCCTAGTCTGTGCCACACTGTGAGCTCTGCGAATTCATCTTGTTCGCCACTCTGTTTTCCATGGCACCATGTTGCCCAAAGCATGGGAGGGACTTAATGCATATCTATTAAATGAATGAGGCATGGTCAGCGGGTGCAATTAGCTCTGTACAAACTTAGAATAAACAAGTCATTATTATGTGGACTCGAGCATATTGAATATCAAATCTTGCCTCTTGGAACACAACAAATACATTCCCAAAAAGCTGTCATAAATTGATGTGATCACATTCACATCTTTTATTGAAATATAAAGTGCTCGACATCAATTGCTGGTGAGGATGTGAAGCAATAAGAACTCTTGTTCATTGCTGGCAGGAATGCAAAACGGTAACAGCCACTTTGGAAGATGACTTGGCAGTTTCTTATGGGACTACACATACTCTTACCATATGATCCAGCAATTGAGCTCTTTTGTATTTACCCAAATGAGTTGAAAACGTATGTCCAAAACCTGCAAGCAAATGTTTATAGCAGACTTACTCACAATTGCCAAAACTTGGAAGCAACCAAAATATTATTTAATAGGTGAATGGATAGGCAAACGATGGTACTGCAGACAATGGAATGTTATTCGGTAATAAAAAGAAATGGCCTATCAAACTATGAGAAGACCTGGAGGAAATTCGAATGCAACCTGCTAAGTGAAAGAAGCCAATGTGAAAAGTCTACATGCTGCATGATTCCAACTATATGCCATTCTGGAGAAGGAAAAACTGTGGAGACAGAAAAAAGATCAGTGGTGTCCAGGGGTAGGGGAGAAGCAGAGACGAATAGAATAGAGCACAGGAAAGTTTTAGGGCAATGAAACTGCTTTGTATGATACTGTAATGTTGGACACATGTCAAAACCCACAGGAAGTACAACACCAAGAGTTAGCCCTAATGTAAACTATGGGCTTTAATTAATAATGATGGCTCATCAGTTGTAACATATGTGCTACATTAATGCAAGATGTGAAGAATATGGGAAATTGTGTGTGTGAGGTGGAGGTGGATGAGACAAGGTGATATATGGGGAGTTCTATTTTCTTCTCAATTTTTCTGTAAACTTAAAATCACTCCAAAATATAAAATTAATTAAAGAAAAGGTAAAGGGCTTTAGAAACAGCCTGTTTTGTTTTAACCACTGGATTTATTTAAAAAGTATTATTTATGTCTTAATGCAGAATTCATCCAGTTGTTTCTTTGTGAAGAAGAATATACAATTTTGTTTAAGGAAAGGACACCTCCTCCCCTCTGACTGCAAGGAGGTCCGGTTGTGACATTTTGGCATTAACATTCAGCATTCAAGTGAGTCACTTTGGCAGGCCACTCGACGTCTCCATGCCCAGGTTTCATCATCTGTAAAATTAGGATGATAATGCCTGAGGATGCTTAAAATCAGAGGCCTGCAGAGGGAGAACAGGGGCGCCTCAAGGCCCTTGAGCAATCTCCCAGGATGAGAGACCTCCTAGGGGGAGCTGCCTGGGCAAGGCATCTCCCTGCTGGCTGTGGCTTCTTCTCTGAAAAATGGTCATGTTGTTCTCTCCAGCCCTGGAGCTTTGTAATTCCTATTATGGTACTTAGCTTGGGAAATTGTCTATGAATCAAAAACGCAGCAAATTGGATATCAACCAGATGCAAGCTAGAAGGCCAGTATTCAGTTACTAAAAGTCAAAAGGTAGAGGGAAAAGTCCGGGAAGCAAATAGGATAATTAATTTTAATGGTTTATATTTGATATTTGTTGGCTGTGTTCTAGGACAATTTTTTTTCCTCCCACCTTCCTTTACTTCCTCTCATAAACACTTCCCATGTCCTTCCACTCAACCACCCTTTTATGTTGCAGGATATGTGTATTATTTACTGGATCTCCAGTAAATAATATAAGGTACGGGGAGAGATGAGGTAGTATATTTAGTATTTCATAACTATGCATTATGGGAGAAATGACCTCTTATTAAACGAATGTATTGCACTAGCTTAGAGAAACAAATAGAACATGGCTTCAGGGTCTGTCCTCAAAATAGGTCTAGGCAAGCTCCCAAGTTCAAGTGGGAAGTAACACTTCCCCTAGGATCATGTTGCTCACCTTCAAGTAGGAATAAATTAAACTCTATGAGATAATTGAGTTATTATTTCAAATATTCTCTGAAAACAAAGGTCTGGGAGATAAACTTTTGGGAGAGCCTGCTTAAACGTTGAACTGGCCCCTGCAGTATGAATTTGTCAGGCATGGGTAGAGGTCAGAGTGTGTGTTTTGGCATAGAGATAGAATAAAGTCCCTGGCATGTTGACAATGTGATGCCCAGCTCAAGTGAGTGAGCTGGCAGGCGTCCTAGGCTCACGCTAGGAACTCCACATAGCTTAGGCCTGGATGACAAAGGGTAATTTATGTCACGCAAGAAACCAATGTCTCATATGGGAGTTCTCCAAGATATTTCCTCTGGAACACAAGTTCCAGGCGACACTCAGTGGAAATCAAGGGTTCCATGGTCAAACGTATTTGAGAAGTGATTCTTGCTCCTTCATTATAGTTGCATGACATCTATTAGTGTATAATTCTCAGATGTCTTGCAGTAAAGGAATCTGCTTAACTTTGTTGAAGCTGAAGCTGGCACTTCCCAAGCACTTGTTATTTGAAGGTAGTATATATACCTTTTGTTTGATGTAAATCATCCATGATTTTCTGGACTAGTGAATTTCCCTGAAGTAGCTTTTGGGGCACTTCTCCACTTCATGGGGCCATCTAAGGTTTGGCAAAGAGAGTCATGCTCAGACCTCTATTTTAGAGATTCTGTTGGCAGGTGGAGGATGTACTAGGTGAAGGACATGTATCAGGATGCCATTATAAGAATAAAAGGCAATGACAACAAATCATGAGGATGCTGGGTGTGTTTTCAGCATCCTAGGCCAGGAGTTAGCAAACTATGGCCCATGGGCCAAATGTGGTTGGCCCCCCACCTTTTTTTGTAAATAATGTTTATTGGAACGCAGCCATACCTTTTCTTTTATGTATCATCTTTGCACTGAAACTGCAGAGTTGGCCAGCAAAGCCAAAAATATTTACCATTTGGCTTTTTATAGAAATATTTGCTGACCCCTGCTCCAGGTAGTTGGTGGATTGATTTCGGTCAGGCCAGAGTAAGAGAATTATCTGTGTTTTTCAGTTCCAGTTTCTTCAAACAGATGAATGAAAAACTATATATGCAAACAAAATTGCAAATACTAAATTCTAGGAATCAATTCTGACTTGAATTTTTAATAAAAGTGACAGAGACTGGGATTGTCAATCTGCCTTTTCAGCTCTGAACATTGCAGAGAACTGAAGACCTGTTTTCATTCCTGGTAGGCTCTGTTATCCCTCTTGTGGCAGGACTCAGGCTGCAGGGGTATCGAGAGGCCACCTTGTCCTGAGTTTTGGGCACTTAAGCTATCAATCGTTACCTTTGGTCTGACCCTGGGCTGTGTCACGACCCAGTAGGAATCTGGCTGTAGTTCTTGGCTCCTCTGTGCTCAGTTTCCTCTAGGCATGTTGATACTGGCAGATGC
This sequence comes from Homo sapiens, assembly GCF_000001405.40. NCBI lineage: Eukaryota > Metazoa > Chordata > Mammalia > Primates > Hominidae > Homo > Homo sapiens. The sequence continues at coordinate 54,360,685 of NC_000003.12, forward strand.
TGTCTGCCCTGTCCCTTGGAGAGTAACTTTCTACACATATTTCTTGGGGCACATGTATTTATATATCATTCATAATGTAAAGTCTTGTGATGATAAAATATGTGCCCTGAAAAGTAGAGAGGGGCCATTCAACCCCATCACTCCCAGAAGACAGATTTATATGGTCCAATCAAGACCTGGGCTGCCTAACACCCAGAATGTGTTTTATTTGGTTTTTCTATGTCTCATCCATATGGCTTTAAAAAATTCGAAAATGTAGCGTTTCAATGGTGTTAGAGTGTTTGAGAGTCTATATAGTAAAAATTTCAAAAAAGAAGAAGACCTTAAGAATGGTTAATATTTGTCACTGCATTTTTGGTAGCAAGTGTTAAAAAATTCCATATTTTCAGATAGCTGCACACAAAACATAAAAATGTAATGTTTCTTAGCTGTGAAACATGCCAGTGAAAATGTTTACCATAATCATGAGTTGACTGTTGTTTTTATGGAAGGTTAAGTACCAAGCAAAGAATTCCACAGCATACCAGATAGGTGGTCATAAATGGAGTGGGCAGGTTGGTGTGGAACCTGTCAAGTGGGTTGAAGACACTGCATACCTGACTAGGAGCTCTGGGTATCATGCCCAGGTCAAACAAAGCAGGCTAGGCTGGTGGGCTGTGTCCCCTAACATTGCCAGCATGATCTGTCTGGTTTTTGATTCTCATTGCAAAGGAAGTATCTAAGAATGACGAATTTTAGGCCCAGTTCAGCTTCTCAGGTTTTGCTTTTGAGCATATCCACTTTAGTTTTTTCATTTGAGGATCAGAAAATACCATTTACTTTGTGATTTCATGATGGGCAGATACCTGCATTACAATCAGCGACATCCCATGATGTTTGCAAAACTTCATTTTTTAAACAGTGTGAGGCACCTATTGCAGCTAAAGAAAGCTTTAAATTTAAAAATGAGGCAGCTGTAGATGATTTTTAAAGACTAGGCTTGTGGTTGACCATGAACTGACAGGTTTGGTGACCTTGGGTGGGGTCTGAGCCTCAGGTTTTTGTCTGGTATAATGGGAATGATAGTAGCTGCCTTACCAGCCTCCTAGGCTTGCGAAAGTTATCCAGAGAGAGAGACAGGAGAGGATCTAAGAGATGCAAGCTAGTTTTTGAAGTGACAGGCAGCTCCTTCTCTGAGGAAGACTCATGAAGTCTGGTGGAATTTTATGCATGTGCGTGTGTGTCTGTACATGCATACACTTTACTCAGCATGCAGATAGGCCTGTGTGGGTTATGAAGACTAACCATCAACATGAGCGTTAACAGCTCCTGGGAGCTGAGAGATTATGATATGCTCAGCATTTCCCGTAACTGATTTCTCATCTTTTCAACAACACCACAATTAGTAGGCATGGCACCCACCATAACAAATCACCACACATTTAGCAGGATAAGATGATGCCAGTTTATTGTCATCATCTCTAGGTCAGAGGTCCAGGCACAGCAGAGCTGGTTTTCCTGCTCACTGTCTCACAAGGCAGAAATCAAAGTGTCGGCGAGGACGAAGGTCTTGTTTGAGGCTCAGGGTCTTCTTCCAAGCTCCTTCAGGTTGTTGGCAGGATTCATTCTGTTGAGGTCATAGGACTGGGGTCCCCATTTTCTTGCTGGCTTTTGGCCAGGATTTTGTCTCAGCCCTCAGAGGCCGCCTTCAAGTCCTAGTCATGGGGCTCTCTCACCGTGTGGCAGGGAATCAATGGCTCCCATTTCTGCTTATATAACATCTTATATAATATCACCTAATTGAGGGGTCGCTATCCCATCATATTCACGGGCCCTGCCCACACTCCCGGGAGGGGAGTGTGCAGCACATATTGACCAGGGCCATGGGGATCTTGGCTGACCCTGTAAGAGAATTCTGCCTACCATACATCCTCATTCTGCATGTGGGGGAAAATTCAGAGAGGTTGTATTTCTAGTCTAGAGTCACAAATCCAGTGCCGACAAAGCAGGGATTTGATTACTACCAGCCTTCCAGGCATGGTGCACTCCCATTTTATAGTATCAGAAGCATTGAGTGGGCACAGCTGAACAGCGGTGTGTGTCAAGCCTTGAGTCAACTGCAGCAGAGACCAGAACTCCCCAAAGTGTGGACCATGTACAAATGTCAGTTCAGGAACTGTTGATATCGCAATGAGATGGGAACAGAAATTGAGTATAAGTGTTAAATATTTATAAGAATATTACAATGTGCAGCCAGACACGGTGGCTCATGCCTGTAATCCCAGCACTTTGGGAGGCTGAGGCAAGTGGATCATGAGGTCAGGAGATTGAGACCATCCTGGTCAACATGGTGAAACCTCGTCTCTACTAAAATACAAAAAATTAGCCAGGTGTGGTGGTGTGCGCCTGTAGTCCCAGCTACTTGGGAGGCTGAGGCAGAGGAATTGCTTGAACCCAGGAGGCAGAGATTGCAGTGAGCCGAGATTGCGCCACTGCACTCCAGCCTAGCGATAGAGCGAGACTCCATCTCCAAATATATATATATGAGAATGTGCAACATCAATCACTTTTGCATTTTATGAAAGTATTATACTACAGAGTATTGGAAAACACACATACACGATCGGACAAAACAAAACAAAAAAACCAAAAGCTGGCCCTTAACCAGTTATAGTGCAAGGTGTCCTGATGTCAAGCAGTTTTTCAATGCCACTGTCATCATATGGGGCCCCAGTTCCTTGCACTCTAGAGTGAGTATAGGATCGACCTGGGGAATATTAGAATATTGTCACATTGGCCTCCTGGGTTAAAATAATAGCTGAGGTCTTTAATAACTTCTTCTGGTCAGTTCATCTTGCACATTTTTTCTTGCTAGGCCAAGCCTGAAAGCACTCCAATCTAATTTCCCCAGGATTTTGGGCACCCTCTGAATCTGAATATTCAGAAACCCCCAATGAGCATGCCTGTGTCATTGTTTATTGAGTTTATGAAGAAGCTGTCTTACTGGCCTGCCAAGCAGTCAAGGTTGCTTTTGGCAAAGTCGTCTCAAGGTTCTTTGGGTGGCAGATCACCAAAACCCACAGTAAGCAGCATTATGACAATGAGGATTGGATGGTGAAGTAACAGAGGTGCATGATGGAGTGAGGTTGGGTCCAGGGAGTGACCAGGATCTGAGGAAGTAGCCCTACCCACTGGCTTCCTTCTCCTCTTAGCATGCTGGCTTTCTCTGAGCCTCTGTGCACCACCATCACCGATGGCTGCCCTTACTTCAGATATCCCACAGAGACTGATGGACATCTCTAACCTCCAATTCTAGATAGAGAAGAGTATCTGAAGAGACCGACTCGGTTAGATGTCCACTTTTGAGAACATGATTGATTAGAACATTATGGCGCCTGAGCCCCTGCAGGTGGGTTTTTAGCCAGCTCTCAGAGAGGGTTTGGTATGCGCTGGGCAGACCCCAGAATGTCCATTAAACCAACCGATGTGTAGAGGACACATTAATATTCTCTCCATGTAGGGTGTGTTGATTAGCTTCCTAAAAAATAATTAGTAAAGACTTTTTTGACACTTTCGTAGCTCAAACATTGCCTGAAACATGGCCCTGTTTTCATTAAGACCAAATATCAAAACAACAGGGACATACGATTTTATCTTTCTGAAAAATCTCTCCCTTCGGAATAGAAAGACCTTGAGCAATATCTAATTATTCTTGTGCCTCTTAATTTGATAGTTTGAAAAATGTTTTGTAGGCTTTAAGAACATTTATGGAAATTTCCTGTCCTTGCCACAGATCAAATTGTTTAAATGATGGACGGCAATTTTATATTGAGCTGTGATAATAGTATCTCATTTGCTGCTGCTTAAATGATTTCCTTTCCTCTTAACACATGTAGGTCAAGTTACTCCTTCAGCCTAAAAAAATTGTGAACAAAAAAGGATGGCAAATGGAAGAAAGCCAATTATACAACAATTTTAGACTTTTGAAGTAAGACCGTTGCATTTCCCATATTGATTACTTTTCACTTGATTATAGTGACTCTCTTCAGCTGTTTATTACAATATAGACCATAACTCACAGACTGTACTTGTTCCAAACTAAATATAAGTGCAAAGAAGCGGAAAGAGGAAGGAGGTGAATGAAAAGTAGCATTTTTGACATCAATGAATAACCATCAAGTAAATAATCATATTTAGCTTTTTGAAGCGTTGTATTTGACTAATAACATATTGAACTCCTCTTGTCAGAGAAACTCAGATTTCTTAGTATGTACCATCTCATGCATTCTCATTATTTTCCATGGTAGATTGAAGACAAATTTTATGCTCTTTCTGTCTGATAGGAGATAAATGGGGAAATGAAATGGTTGGCAGCAACTGCTGAGGTTTGTCATCTGAAATTGGATAGTAAAACTTGTGTTTCCTCAAACCTGGCTCAATTTACCAATTCACTTTGTTGAACCATTGACATGACTCACAAATTAGACCTTCTGCTTCAAATGAAGTGGGGACCACTTCAAACATCCTGCAGTCCTCTGTCATGTTTGCTGAATCTTTAGTCAACAGACAATTCAGTGACTTCTGGGCTCAAGACGCTCCACTCTGTGGCCTAGACAAACAAGTTCTGGACTTCAGAGGGCTTCTATTCCAGCAGATAAGATGTGTCTATAAACCTCTCAAACTGAAGGTAGAAAATGTGTCATGACATGAGGAATACACAAGTAAAGAAGTCATGAGGAGGAAGCCATTCAACAAATGTGTGGAATGCGTGATGGAGATGGGGCACCACTGGCTTTTTCCTTTCCTCCTTCCCTTTCTTCTTCCCTGCCTCTTTCTCTCCTACATTCATCCTATTTTCACTGAGTAATGACTGTATGCCAGGGGCTGAAGAAACCCAGGTGGATAATACAGGCTATCTGGCCGGTCACAGTGGCTCATACCTGTAATCCCAGCACTTTGGGAGGCCAAGGTGGGCAGATCACCTGAGATTGGGAGTTTGAGACCAGCCTGACCAAAATGGAGAAACCCTGTCTCTACTAAAAGTACAAAATTAGCTGAGCATGGTGGCACATGCCTGTAATCCCAGCTACTCGGGAGGCTGAGGCAGGAGAATCACTTGAACTTGGGAGGCGGAGGTTGCAATGAGCCAAGATCATGCCACTGCACTCCAGCCTGGTGACAGAGCGAGACTCCATCTCAAAATAAATAAAATAAAATAAAATACAGCCTATCCTCTCAGAGTTTACCACAGTAAGAGAGGGATGTACCATGGAAAGATGGGAAGATGCATTCATTGTTGAACAGACACTGATGGAGCACCAGTATGCCTGGATTACTCTTCTAAGCCCAAGGTATCCAGGGATAGAAGGAGGGAAGGGTCTGTTTTGCAGCTGATGTTTACAATATAATACAGATGCAGCATCTCTCTGAGCTCAGTACAGATTTGTCAAATGTTGCAGTGCAAGAGATCCAGAACCCCAGAGTAAGGAGGCATTTTTCTGCTTTGGAGTGTTCAGCAAAGTTTTCATGGAGCAGGGGATATTTGATTAGGGTGTTGAAGGAGGAGTAGGAGCTTGCCAGGCCAGGATGAAATGAGTCTAGTCAGAGACACCACATGTGGAAAAGACCTGCATGCTTATTGTTGGTTTGAATAACATGCAGTGTTCAATGATGATGGCATGGGACTAACTTTTCCCATTACTCTACACTTCATCTAGAAAACTTCTTGAAATGAAAGAGAAGTTAGGGTTTCTTTTTGAGAATTAATATCCCCAGGGCTAGAAAATAGTTTGCTCTGAAACTTGGAAAGCAAATGTAAAATACATTTTTCCTCTGATCAGAAAATGTTTAAACCCATTAGGATGCAAAGATTAGGAGCTTAAATTGGATTCGCAGGAGATGTGCCAGCTCCACATATGTACTAGATTATTTTTTTGAAATGATGTAGGCACTGTGCCCATAAAGTAGAGTAGGGTTTCTTTATACAACTGAAAAACCAGCAGAGAAATCTTTGAGAAGGGCCTATGCATTTCACTTTGGAAATCACTGGCTTAAATATTCAGTAGACATGGTTCCTGAATTTTGAAATCAGTTTTTCTTTACTTTCCTCTTTTTCCTCCTTTGCCCAGATGCCTCTTGATGAGAAAAAGGCAGCTGTTTGCTTAACTCCATGTATATTTGCATTATCCCAAATGATTCTGCAATAATGGTTAAAATTTTTAGAAATGGCTACAATGCTCATAAAGAGAAAAGCAACCTTGAATGGGAAGGGTGTTCCAAATTCAAAGCAGAGAGCAAAGAAAACAAGGGAGACTAAGCAAACACATTTTGCACATAAATGTTGTGGCGGGAATCCAGGCACCTGCCAGGTGGAAGTTGTTAGGAGTGATAAAGTGATTATTGACTTCGAATCTATCCATCGTTGCCCTCTCACATTTGATAAACTGCCAAGTCTAATTCTCTTAGTACCAGCTTACCTTTTCTAATAATTTTCTACTCCCAACAGCTGTCCAATCATATTTCTTAGAGATTTTTTTTTAAACTACAGGATTAACCAATATTTCTGTGTGCTAAATTTTGTTCACTAGACTCACTTGATCCTCCACTAAGGAAGACTTTTCAGTTAAATTACAAAAAGGCAGACCACTCCTGTGAATGGCAGTTCTGCTCCTAGCCCCGTTATGAGTATAGGGATCCTCTGGCCATCGGCACTTAAATGTCCCTGTCTTGTTTCAGATGCCCTCCACCGTATGGGATGAGAGAAGAAAGCCGGCATTTAGAGAAAGGAAAACTGTAGGGTCTAGTTCTGACCACCCATTATTTAATCTCAAGAAGCAGTTGTCAAATGTCCCTAGTTCAGAGAGAGTGCAGGGCTCATGAGGAATGAAACCCATCAGAGTGGTAAAAACACCATGGGGGAGTTAAGGCAAGAGAGAAGCACAGCCTTACAGGGGCTTGAACGACCCCTGGCCACAAGCTCTGCCCATTAACTTAGTGCCCAGTAGAGCTCATCCCAGATTTTTGGTAGTCCTCCTTGCCTTCTCACATGAACTTATTTTAAACTGGGGCAGGACCTTGCCACACCATCATGTTTTCCCAGAGTTTTTTGGGTTATGTTCCTTCCTCCTGCCCCTTTGGACTTTTTAACACTCGTTTGCTCTTTCTTGGCCCCTGACCAAGAAACGTTTTCTGCCATCCGCATGGCCTAGAGCCTTGCCCACCTTGAACTCTAGTATTTTGTGTGTCTGTCCTGTGATTCACCACCACTGTCTGCCTGTGGCTTATAATATTAGTTATCAGCAAAGAAAAATGCGCTGTTGGTGGCTTTCATTGAGTAGCTGTACCTTAGCAGCTGTGACTTATTAGAGAGCATAGATTAGGTGGTTTGTCTTAATGAAGTATTGGTAAATGAGAGTAATTATATAAGGAACAAGATTTTATTGGAATACATAGCTTGTTTTGACTTATTTTTTAAAAGAGTTATTATTTTAATGCTTATTTAAAACCACATCTGAGTTACCTGTAACATTCATCGTACCAAGTACTCCTGTAATCTCAGCACTTTGGAAGGCCGAGGTGGGAGGATCGCTTGAGCCCGGGAGTTCTAGACCAGCCTAGGCAATGTAGGGACTTGTCTCTACAAAAACAAACAAACAAACAAAACCCCAAAACAAATAGTAGTTATTTGATTACCTATTCGTCTCCTTTACTATTTTGTGCAGTCTTCAAAGGGAGATCTTACTAGTCTTTGCTTAATAAATAATGGTTGAACTTCTGAGGGAGAGAAAGAAAGAGAAGGGGAGAGGGGCAGAGAGAGAGTGAAAGAGCAGGAGAGTGAGCACGGAAAGGAGGAGAGAGAGTGAGTGAGCACAGAACAGAGACAGAGAGGGAGAGAAAACCCAGGTAAGTCACTGATCTTTTCTGCTTCATGTAAACTTGAATTTCCATTATATAACTGGCATATGTAGTGTAATCAGTTTAATAATCAGCATACGTGTCCTGCTCCAAGGTAATATTTGGGGGTAGGGTTCTTTTTTTTTTTTTTTTTTTTTTTTTTGAGGCGGAGTCTCACTCTGTCACCCAGGCTGTAGTGTAGTGGCACGATCTCGGCTCACTGCAAGCTCCGCCTCCTGGGTTCACGCCATTCTCCTGCCTCAGCCTCCTGAGTAGCTGGGACTATAGGCGCTTGCCACCATGCCTGGCTAATTTTTTGTATTTTTAGTGGAGACGGGGTTTCATTGTGTTAGCCAGGATAGTCTCTATCTCCTGACCTTGTGATCCTCCCGCCTCAGCCTCCCAAAGTGCTGGGATTACAGGTGTGAGCCACTGCGTCCGGCCGGCAGTAGGGTTCTCTTATAGCTATCCTTCTTGCTATGTTAATTACCTTGCTTACAATCCCCCCAAATAGTGAAAGCTTAATTAATAGAATTGAAGTAATAACAATAAGTATACATATATCAGTGTCTAAGGGATCTGACAGGTCACCAAAAGAGTTGTTGAGTTTCGTTTGTTTGTTTCAGGCTTGAGACTTTACAAAGGAGCATTGTCCTCTTAAACAAACAAACAAACAAACAAAAAACTTGTAAAATAATTTAATGACACAAACCTTAAAAAAAAAAACAGTGGTATAGAGTAGAACTAAGTTCATTTTGCTGGTGGGTGGGATTCGCTTTGACAGTGACAGGGAGCCGTGGTCGTGCAGGCAAGTCACCTGCATGTGCTCAGTGGTGTGGACACTGCTTTAAGTGACTGCCGGCGGGCCTGAGGAACCGGACAAGTCAGGGCCTTGACTTCGTCATAATCTCTTTCCCATTGTCCAGCTGCTGTCCCCACTGGACCCCAGCCTCTGACCACCCTGGATCACCTTTCCTCTGACTCCTCTTTTATTTAGGATGAATCTCAGCCCTTAGACTGATGGTCCAGGCTGGTCCCAGCTCTCCTCTCCACCCTTATTTTATTTGCTGCCCAGACAGGTGTGCCCTCCATTCCCCAAGGGCGTGTCGGCCTTTCCCACCTGGGACATCTGCCTTTTTTCTTCCGAACCTGCATCTGAAAGTTCATTCAGATTCTGTCTCCTCTGTGAAGTCTTCCTGGCCTCAGTAGTGGCAAGTCATCACTTTCTTGTTCAACCCTTATATCCCTATAACTCAGACCTCTTATTTGAAGTCTGGCAAATTGCATTAGGCATAGTTATTATATTTATTATTACTAGATGTGACAACAAATTCCTACAGTGCAGACTGCGATAAGTAATTTGTAGCTCCCTTCAGTGTGTGGCCGTGTTTCTTCCATATAGTAGATGCTTAATAAATATTTTCTGACTAATTAGCTTCATGCCCCTTAAGATTAGATGTTCTTAATTAAACTTGTATCTTCACGTAGCATATGAGCAATGGGAAAATCATTTTTGGAATGAGGTGGGCTATAAATAAACAGTAATAAATTATTATAAGCCTTTCAAAATGTTGTTGCAAATCTATGATCTTTTTCTCCATTTGGTATTTATTTACCCTAGAAGTGAGAACCCTTTTAATTAGCAGTATTCATATTTTAGCTTCGGATTGAGCTAGAATTCTGCTAGATGCCATCAGACTTACAGTTCTTAGATGCCAGTAGTTGAATATTCACAATGTAACACGCTTCTAAGGATTTTAAAAATATGTTTAACTTACTTTTATCTCAATAATATTTATTTAGCGTTTCTTGTTCACAGTTATTGCAAATGACAGTAATTCATCTAGTTAATCTGAAATGGGTCGTTGTGCTAAAGACACATAAAAGATGCAATTAAGAATCCAATCCATATATAAGGAATGCTTAAAGGAGATTTCAGTCTCTCCACAGATTTGCCTAATCCCCTGGTGAGCGGATGAGAACTTTTCTTCTGTTCATGTTGACTGGCTGTCACAGTGGCACATTCTGTGGAGGTGGATTGTACCCACTAAGTTATTGGTGGCCAAGGACTTATTGTACCCATTAAAGAACACCAAACAACATTGCACTCTAATATACTAGAGACACTTTTTTGGTAACAGTTTTATTGAAATAGTCACATAGCATATAATTTTTCCATTTAGAGTATATAATTCAGTGGGTTTTTTTTTGTATATTCATTCAGCTGTACAACCATTACCACAATCAGTTTTAGAATATTTTTCTCACCCCCGACTCCAGAAAAAAAAAAAAAAAAACAGTACACTTTAACATTTTTCCTTCAATCTCAGCATTCCTCCCAGCCCTAGGCATCCACAAATCTTTCTGTTTCTATGGATTTGCCTTTTTTGGACATTTCATGTAAATGAAATAATACAATACATGGTCTTTTATGTTCTTTGATTTCTTTCACTGAGCCTACCGTTTTCAAGAGTCATCTGCTACATCTCAATATTCCTTTTATTGCTGAATGATATTCCATTGTATGGATACATTCCATTTTGTTGATCCATTCATCAGTTCTTGGACATTTGGGTTGTTTCCACCTTTTGGCTGTAATGATTGATGCTGCTTTGAACATTTGTGTATATGTTTTTGTGTGGACATAGGTTCTCATTTTCCTTGGGTGTGTATCTAGGAGTCGAATTGCTGGGTCATATGGTAACTCTTGTATTTAACCTTTTGAATGACTTTCCAAAGTGAACATACCATTTTACATTTCTAGGAACACTTTACTATGAGAAAATAGGGTGATATTTTACATAAGTGGGTTTCTACATTTGAAAACTGCTATATTAACTCACATTTCTGAATGTCTTCCATTGTTACTTTTTTCTAACAACTTCATCGAGATATAATTTACATATAATACAATTTGCTTATTTTAAGTACATAATTCATTGATTTTAGTAAATTTACCAAATTATATATGATTTTAGTAAATTTACCAAGTTGTTTTATACTGTGGTCATGGATGCACATCACATCGTGTGCATTTTCCTCTCTCCAATTTCCATCACTCAAGTAAGATCTCTCCTCCCATTGACATTTATTTGATCTATTTGTACTCATTTAACTTTGTGATTTATTAGCCCAAGTAGAAGCTGAGCCAAAGGGCTCAGAAAACTTTGTGGTCATCAAACATAAAATCAAGAAACTTCTGTCACTTTATTTTTTGTTCAAGTATCAGGAGGTTCACACTCTGATATCTTCAATTTTGAAGTCAAGAAATCTCCAAAAGTTGAAAGGTTTTTAATAACATGTTTGGTGGAAAAACGTGGCCTGAACTGACATGTGGATATGTTTAATATTTATTTGTTCTATTTAATATGAATAATTATTTGTCTACTATAGAAATGTTAATATTTGATTATGGGGTGCTGGCCCAGACCTCTCTGTGTATGAGTTATAACAAATATTTATCATTTTACCTTTCTAAAATCCAAATAATCCTGACCTAGGGTAGCATGCCTGGCCCCAAGGGCCTCAGAGATGGCTTTGTGGGCCTGGTTTGGTTTTCTTAGCCAGCGCCTCAGAGTGAACAAGCCATCAACTCCTTTGGACTGTTAAAGGGAAACTTAAAAACTTAAAAGCCACTAAAGTTCAAATATATTTTATGAATTAACTTCAGCTACGTGGAATTGCTGGTATTCAACTGTCTTAACTCACAAAGTGGCGTTTTTGTTGGGTTTGCCATTTCTCTGTGTGTCTTTTTCACAGTGAAAGAAGAGGGTGGGTGGCAGAGAGGGGAGCATGGAGTATTGTGCTGGAAGCAAGACTCCACTCTGGTCATGTCAGAGCCTTGGAGAGTTGCCAGAGTCCCTGCTGCAGGATGTAGGGTGAGGAGGGGAAAATACGAGCAAAACATTATGAGCCCCTAGAACCATGCACGGGGTACAGGTGAGCATTGTATAGATACCAGGGAATTTCAGTTTCTACTGTCAGTTTACTTCTGTGTAAAATGGGTTTAGTCCTTCTTCATTAGCTCTCTGTCTTTTCTTTAAAAAAAAATCCTCAAATCTTTTATCACTTGCATATGTTCATACATCTGCTTATTTCTTTGTTATTTTGAAATAAAGTTATAATTAGGGTTGACAAAGGAGAAAGAGTTGAAGCTGAGAGAGTCAAGTGTATGAATAACGTTCCATAAAAATTCAAACCCTGTGTGTAATTTCAGTTCATTACCTGGGCATTAAAAACGGGAGAGCCAGCTTATCCTTTAAGCTAGCTTCTCATCCTTGGAAATTTAAAATGCTAAGTTTGGTTCCAGAGGGTGAAAATGTCATTCCTTGAATTCGAGAGGAATGTGTGAGAATTAGAATGGAAAAATAACAAAAGTGAATTTCAGGCACATACATTTCATTCATAACCCAGGCCCTTGTTTGACCCAGCCCCCTGGGACTCAGAAGTTCACATGCGTCCTATCATGCCAGTGCTGGTTCCCTCACTGCCCCATGTTTCAAGTTGGAGCAGTCATCTCTTGAAAGTCTTGGGCAAAGTTTAGAGTCTTGGCCTCAGGATTTTATTTCTGCACCTGGGGGAGGAAGGCTTTTTCTGAGGACCCTGAAGCCACCAGTGTCGTATTAATCGAAACCAGGGACTTGTGTAAAATGTTCAGGGACCAGAGTCAGGGCAATAGTCTTATTTTTCATTATTTGTTCTTGATTTCATTTGGAATAAGCTTCACATATAAGTGCATGTGGTTGACTTTCCCTTAGAGAAGTAAATAAGCCCGCTTGGTCTTATTACACAGGGTCCTTCAGAAGTCGAGTGACTCAGGTCATTTGGATTTTGTTTTCAAGGCCCCTGGTATGTTATGAATGAACAAATGAGAAAACAGTTGAAAACTGTGGTATGTTTTAAATATATACATTTCACAAATTGCTGCTTTTTAAGAAAGCATGCCTATATTATATATGTAATTGGTCTCTTCCTAAGCAAATTAAGGATACAGTAGAAAGAAATTATAATGCACTGTAGGCTGTGTGGTCCAGGAAAGGGATGCAACTTTAAACAACTTCTCCTTCCAGTGCCATGGTGTCTTTATGACTGTATCTGTAACCCCTTCAGGAAATAAGGTGGAAGGTTTAAGTTTAAGCCTCCTTTGAATTGGAGGCTTGCTCAATGGCTTTCTGATCCTTGGAGAGGATCCTGGAGTTGCCTTGAGCTGGGTCTTCTGGGAGCTTCCCAGGGCAGTTCTTATTACTACCTTCATTGCTATGAGCATGTTTTCATCTTAAAGCCTTCTTTCACCTTGCATTTTCTTCCTGCTGTGGCCCAAATCGGTTTCTCAATATAGGAATCTGGATGTTTTATCCCAAACTTCCATCCCTCCCACTTTCACAGCTCTCTGCACTTTGGCCCCTGCTCCTTCCTGTGCTCTGAAGTGGTTCTTACACAGGTACCCTGTGGATCACCCAGTCGTGTTTGATGAGAGAACAAAAACCCTTTAGGTTTTATTTTTTAAGGAATATCTTTAGGCGTTTCAAGTAGGCAGGGGTTTAATAAAGGGAATTAAAGGCTTATTTGATAGTTAGAAAAACTGAGGGAGTGAGGGTCAGGGAAACTGCTGTCTGAGTTGACAAATCTAGGAAGTGCTGCGGTTGCAGGAAGCCACCACCAACGATCTCCGGTGTCTGCAGCACGAGTGGGTAATTCGTGGGAGTGTGTCTGAATGACCAAAGATACCTGCCATCTGCACATGCCCACATACATGCCCATCACTTCAGCTGGAGAATATTGGTTTCTTCTCTTTCAGTTTGCAGACCTCTCAAGAATCTGACCTGGAGCCCTGCTCAGGGCGAGGGAGTCAAGAGCATGTGGTGGTAGGCCTCCAGCCCTACCGTAGAAGACACAGCTTAGATGGTGCTGAGAGTCAGCAGGCATTCTCCAACACACACTCTTAGTCACAAGATTGAATGGACTTCACTTTTAAAAACATTCTGTGCTTGTATTGCCTGGTCTTACTATGAGATTTTATCATACCTGCTAGCCCTTCTTTCGTTCAGTGTTCCTCCTGAGCTCAGCTCCTTCTCTGGTTGTTGCTGGACACCCCCTGGAGGCAGTACCAGGTAGTGAGTAAGGGCACCAAGCTATAGGTTGGTGAAAAAGTAATTACCTTTGCACCCACCTAATAGTTCCATCACTCTGCCTTTTCCCTTATTCTCTGTATCCTGTTGGCCTCCAAGTCCTGTATATTCCTCTTCCTAAATAACTTTCAGATGTTTTGTCTTCAATCTTTCTCGTTATTGTCTTGGATCACCTTTTGCTCATTTGAGAACATCTAGATAACATCAATAATCAATAATATTTGGTCTCCAGCCTCCTTTCTCACTAGCTCCCTGCCCCCGACACAGGCTCCCCTCCACATAATCTTCATATGCCAAGCCACTCATGATTGCCTGAACATGTCATGCCTTCTTTTGCCACTGTACTTGCAGTTCCCTCATCCTGGAAGGCCCTTCCTTTGTTTTCTGGGCTGGCTCTTGTCTTTCAGGTCTCAGTGTAGATGAGAAGGCTTCTTGTACCATACGTGAGGAGCCTCCTTGTACCCCGTAAGCCTGGTCTAGTTGCTCCCTTGGTGGTATGTAGGATTCCTTGCTTAGCTCCTGTTAGAGCCTTTATCATGTTGTGTTGCAGTTGTCTACTGGTTTCTTTCCCATCCTGGACTCTAATGTCCTTGAAGACAACAGCTGTGTCTTATAAACCTTATATTCCCAGATGAACACAGTGCCTGGCACCCAGTAGGGTGAGTAATAGATATTTTTTAATTTGTCCAACTGCATTTTGAGCACTAGCCATATTCTCAGTGCTGCTTTGAGCACAAAGTGCTCAGTCCTTTGTTAGGGGGTGGGGTGGGGGTGACATCCTTGAGGAGGAGTCATTTGAGCTGCAGAGTGACCAATGAGGGGCAGTCAAACATACAAGGATCTGGGACAAGAATATCCTTGGTCAAGAGAACAGCAGGATGACAGAGACAAGTTGGTAGTGGTCTGGGGCCAGAAAGATGGCTGGGGGTCAGGATCTGAGGGTACTGGGCCAGATCAAAGGACCTTTTGGGTCATAGTCATGATTAGTGGGAAGTCACTGGTGGGTTTCAAACAGGGAGTGCTGCCATCAGAATTGTTCTTAAAAGGCTTTTTCTGGCAACCATGTGAGATTGCCAGAAAAAGAATGGGATCCAGGGCACTGAGTGCCAACTGGACACTTGTTAGGATGCTGAGGGTTTCCAGAGAAGAGATGGCCGTGGCTTTGCTAGGGATATAACAGGGGAGAGGGTGACAAAAGTAGTGAAACATGGGGTGTATTTTGGAGGGAGAGCCCACAGGAATTGCTCATGGATTAAGGTATTTGTGGAATAAATGTCATTAAAGCAAGTGGTCTCTCTGCCTCAGTCTCTGTTCCAGGTTTATCCTTTTTAATTTTTTTCAGCACTGCCACCAGATTACTTTTAAAGGTGAATTAAAGTTCAGGTCTGATCACGTGGGTCTTATGGCCCATGAGACCTCCCGCTGCACACAGGCCACAGTACTCCTTAGCCTAGCTCAACACCCTTGCCTATCTGAGTCCCACTTGCCTGCCCTTTTGCACTCTTCCCCCTTCCCATTCCACACCTGCAGCTCTGCAGACAGGAGAGACTAGGCAGAGGGAGGCTCCCACCCTGGAGCCTTTGCTGCTCCTTCGCCGTCACCTCTCTCAGTCACCTGGCTAACTTCCACTCCTTTAACCCCAGCTTACTGTTGCATCATTTATGAGCATTCCTGCACTGGTGCTCTATGCCCTTCGCTTTCATAGTGCTATAACCTCTCTTCCCTTTGGTTTCCCTTTGGTGTAAAGTTAGGATGGTATCTGTGCTTTGTTTTATAGAGCAGTTGTGAGGATTTGCTGGATTCAATGACTAAAGCACTTAGGACAGCTTGGCACATAGGTCAGGCAGTGTGAAGCTCAATAATTGCTGTTATCATCTTGTGTGGCCCTCCTATTGTAGCCCACGCCACATTATCTAGTTATTTGCCTCTTCTCCCAACTGAACTGTGTGAGAGTGCCGTTATCTTCATTGCGTCAGCCCTTAGTGTAATTCTTCCCACATAATTAATCATCATCATCAGCAGCAGCAGCAAGATAACATTAGTGGACATTTACTCAATGCCAAGAACATTGGCTCAGAGAGGTATTATAAAGTTGCTGGAGTCAGGATTTGAATTCAGGTTGTTGGACCTCGGGGCTGTTCCCTGGACCAACACGATATATTCCTTCCCAAACTGAAGTTGCCTGGTAAACATTTGGTTGGATAGTTGGAAGGAAAGAACAACAAGGGAATTGGAACAGATTTTTCTCTGCATCAAATTTATATAAAAATCCATCTTGAGAAGGTAAAGTCTGAAAGGACATGGAAATTGTTAGTGTTATTTCATTTTCGAGGAGAAAGAAAAATTTTCTTCCCTGGCCATAGTTGGGGCCTGGGGGCAAGGAGCTGCCTGCCACACTCACCATCCTGTCCAGTGTCTCACAGGTGCCATCTGTCACAGGAGCTTGCTTTGGCAAACAGCTTAATTTCTGTGTTTGTGCCATTCTGAGGACATCAGTCAAACCCTTCCATAAAGGCCTTTGCCTCATTCCGTTTTCAGCCTCACTGATCACAGATTTTACCTCTGGAACTGAAAGAGTGGTGGATTCTGAAAACCCGCCCTTAAGGAGCAGATGCACAGCCTTGTGTTTTTGAACACAAGATTTGGAGTCCTTTTCTTGGCAGCAGAATTAACTTTCACATAACCTCCATGTAACTGTGAACTTGGGGAGTTGTTCCAAGTTCTCCCTATATGAGAGCCAACCGTGGGAGGCAGTGATTCTGGGAAGTTTCCTTGTTTCAATCAAGCTGTTTTATGCTGGAAAATCTTGTCTCTTCCTCTACCCTGTCTTAATAATATTTTACACTTGTGTGGAATCCTTTGGGAAATTTTTGTATGTATATTCTCACCAGATTCACACACTGAGGTACAGACTAAAGGTTTTATTATTTGTGTTCATCAGATTAGAAAACCAGGACTCAGAGAAGTTAAGACTTGCCCAGAGTCAGTGAGTAGGAAGACCTGGATTCAAACTCTTGTCTTTGATTTCTGAGACCTGTTCTGACTCTACTGTAACAAAATGTACCCCAAACTTCTTGAGGCCTAAGACTCAGTTATCTATTTATTGGGGTTCAGTTTTTGGTGATGTTCTTGTTACCTAATAGGTTCTCAACAAGTACTTGCTAAACTAAACAGAAGTGACAGAAAAGTGATACAACCAGGAATGGAAACTCTCTGCAGGACAGACTTCCTTACCAGTACCAACACCTTGTTATGTTGACTGTGACTTATCTGGGGCAGATGTCCCTGTCTTCCTTGGCTAGTTGGGCAATACCTTCAATACTCTGCCATGGTGAGTTCTAGTCAACACCTTCTGAGTAAGCCCTGGAAACGTATAATTAAGGGCTGGAACAGAATTTTATTCACCACAATCAGAGGCCTTGGTGATAGGAAATTTCCTTTCATTTTGGAGAACAAATGGTCATCCTTCAGGTCAGCGGTCCCCAACCTTTTTGGCATCAGGGATCGGTTTCATGAAAGACAGTTTTTGCATGGGGGAGTGAGGGATAGCTTTGGGATGAGGCTGTTCCACCTCAGATAATCAGGCATTAGTTAGATTCTCTTAAGGAGCGTGCAGCCTGGATCCCTTGCATGCGCAGTTCACAATAGAGTTCATGCTCCTATGAGAATCTAATGCTGATGATCTCACAGGAGGCTGAGCTCAGGCAGTGATGCTCGCAGGCCCTCCACTCACCTCCTGCTGTGCAGCCCAGTTCCTAACAGGCCACCGACCAGTACTGGTCCATGCTGGGGGTTGGGGACTCATGCCTCAGATGATGTAATGTCATAGTCCCCATTCATTGTGGACTATCCCCTTGGGAAGTTAAAGATAGTTCCATTGCCCACAAAAGAAATAGTGCAGTTACCTCAGAACTGAAGGGTCCTGCGGGGACTTTTTAAGTTTCATGGTTAAATAGCCTTGATTTTGATAATCAACTCTAAAACATTCCCAGGAGAGCTATGTAAGCAGAAGAACATCATTTAAAATACTTGGTCATTTGGAAAAATTACTTGGGCTCAAATCGAAGGTTGTCTCTTCTTCATACCTCTCCCTGAGCTGCCTTGGTCCTTGGGCAGCCCTTTGAACAAAGTTTGGCTGTTTCCATCTTCAGCAGCTTTGCAAATGTTGCACTTTGGCAAATGCAGGCTTAGATGTAGAATGCGATGGCTTTGGTTTGCAAATTGGCCATTCACACTGATAACGGGTATTAATTTAATCAGCCTCAAATTGATAACAGGTATCTCTTGTGGAAACAAAGATAATTTGTTATTGATTGTGATCATGTCTTCTGATGTAAACTCTAGGCTTATTTTGTCTTGTAAAAGGCCAGTGTAGCCTTATACAATCTGAAGGAGATAGGAAAGGGGAGGAGTGAAGGAAGGGAAGAAAGCTCCCCACATACATGCACGATGTGTTTTCTCTATTGTTCTGTTACCTGCTTTCTCTAGAAACTTTATAGATTAGCTTTTATAATCCACTTTGAAATGTTTGCCATTTTTAAAGCAGAAGCAATTTTTGCAGCTTTCAGGCAGAAGGTCATTTTATACGAAATGTTCATTCATGTGCAACAAAGCTTATTTCTTCTACAGGAACAAAGAAATAATGAAGGCTCCTTAAAAGCTGTGTTTCTCCAAAGAAATGATCACCTTGATAGTTGGTGATTTATATGTGCCATTTCTATTGGAATCGAAAAGTAAAAAACATTTGTATCAATAAGGATTACTGAATATTATTAAGGTTTCAGCTATGACTCTAACTGCAGTTGCAGCATTGCAGGGTGGCAGGGAAAGGTGTGTTGGCTTTCTTCTTGTCTAATTGTGTCCATTTCTGCAGGTTATTCATTTCGCCTTGGTTTATTATCTGATGGTCATCCAGTCATTGTTGTGGCCTCTGTGTAGGTCCCAGAGCACTAGCTGTTTCCAGAATATTTCTCTTAATTGCTGTTTCCAGAACATTTTCTTACCTCCAAAACTTTGTGTGAAATGTTCCTGTTGGCTGGAACGTTCTTTCAGCACTTCTCTTTCTCCTGCATCCTTCCTGTTCTCCTTCAGAGCTCAGCTTAAATGTCATGTCTTCTGGGAAGCTTCCTTGGCTTCCTGACAGCATTCTTTGTCACTTGTCCCTTCTCATTGAAATAGCTATTTTCCTTGTGTGTCCCTCACTATTCTGTAAACCATCTTACGTTTTTTTCATGGATCACTGGTGGTACCTCTCCGATACTTTGGGAAATACTCGTCTAATTGCTCTAGCTACAAAGCAGCAAAGATTAATCTACACTGTTAACGGAGTGATAAACAACTCTATCCCAAGGACAGAGGGGAAGGAATCTCAACACCAGAAGGAATGAAAATGTAAATCTGAACAACTTACTTTATTTCTCCAATGTAACAGTTCTTAAATGGATGATTTCTGACCCTTGGTACAAGACAAGAGTTTGAAATAAGTACGGGAAACAAATCAATCTCATTTTGCCTGGGTTCCTGGAAACATCTTTTGATGTGCTCAGTGCCCTTAATGAGGGTAGAGATTTTTCATTTTAATCCGTGATGGATTGAGTTTGAAATTTGTGACTGCAGAGAGGACTTAGATCTCCTCTGTCTTCACTTCTGTAGACTGTCAGCATGTCAAGTTCAAGCCCTGCTGTGTAACACGCTGCTAGGATCGCATTAGTCCCAGGTACACACTGATGGACAAATGGTGTAACTCCAACTCTTGCCCTTAAAACAAAAGCCAGCCGGGTGCGGTGGCTCACATCTGTGATCCCAGCACTTTGGGAGGCCGAGGCAGGCGGATCACGAGGTCAGGAGATGGAGACCATCCTGGCTAACACAGTGAAATCCTGTCTCTACTAAAAATACAAAAAATTAGCCAGGCATGGTAGCGGGCACCTGTAGTCCCAGCCACTCGGGAGGCCGAGGCAGGAGAATGGTGTGAACCCGGGAGGGGAGCTTGCAGTGAGCCGAGATCACCTGGGCAATAGAGTGAGACTCCGTCTCAAAAACAAAAAACAAAAAAACA
Source organism: Homo sapiens (assembly GCF_000001405.40). NCBI lineage: Eukaryota > Metazoa > Chordata > Mammalia > Primates > Hominidae > Homo > Homo sapiens. The sequence continues at coordinate 54,380,743 of NC_000003.12, forward strand.
AAAAAACAAAAGCCACTGAATCTAGGGTAACAGTTCAACCATGCCGCTCTGGGTATGGTTGTGATAGTAATTACTACTATTTCTTAATTCCTCTGTTTGGCCATTTTTCTACACATTGAACTCTTGTTGATTCAAAGGAAAAGTCATGTGATCTCTAACTCTGGTATTAATGACAATTCAATAACTAACTCCAAGTTAACCCTTCGTGTAGCCCAAATCCATGTTCATGATTATGGATTTGAGTTCCCCCCATTTGAGCTTAAACCTTATTTGAGAAAGAATTATGTATTCATTCCAGAAAAAAAGGCAATAAAAAGCCTGGTATGAGTATTAAATGTGTTGTTGCAAAACATTACATGAAAACCACTAAATATATTAAGTGCTTTGAAATCTTTATTAAATTCCAACACCCCATTTTAACAGTATTTTACAACCCAAAGGTTTTTAGCTTTAGCATAAGAAATAAAAATAACTTTTTACATTGCTCTTCCTTATGGTTTTTATATTTCTGTTTTGTTTTGAGGATTTTCATCCATAATTGTCCCTACCGCCCATTTTAGGGATTTTTATTTGAAATTTTCTTTATTTGTACACAATTTGTTCATTGTGATAAAATCAGGAGTCCAGCAATTAAGTTACGTTGGTAGTGTAGTAACATTTTCCATTACCTTCCCGCCTCTCACCGCACAATTCTTTCTCTCTTTTCTCCCCTTGTTAAGCCAAAATGGCCAGGAACAAAAACATAAAATACATGAAGACAAAAAAATCATTTTCTTTTTCTGATCCAATTTTTACTTAGACGTGGTGTCCGGTTTTCCGCTTCTGGCCCATGACGGAAAGTTTGACCTCTACCATGTCTTTAACGCTAGTCCTGATTTAAGTGTCGCGGGGAGGAAACGGGACACTGTGCATTCTGTAATGTTGTGCGGATATACATAGGGTCATTGTAACAAGAAATAAGATGTGATTTTAAATGAAATGCTTTAATATCCCCGCTATTCCCCTTGGCAGCTTCGCCTTCACCAAAGCTGTAAATACTATCCATGGTCTATGGCTTCTAGCATTGTCTATTTATACAAATGGCTCTTGTTTGTATTTATTTCACTAAAAGGGATGAGTTATATAGAAATATAAAAAGCCAGTGAAATGTGCATCAACTCATGAATTACAACCTTTTAGCTTATAGGTGCTTTTTTCCAAGTCGAGCATGTGTATTCCAGTATATTGTTATCATTTTTATTGAGTAAGGAAAAGCTTTGGCATTAAACAAGGGATAAAAGATTTGTGGACAAAACTGCTGTTTTCTCTTACCTCACAGCTCAGTTCCATAGGCTGGAGTCTTCAAAGCCATTTTTGTTTCCAGTGTTCACGTTTAATTAAAAACCACATTCACAATTCTATAATCCCATCTGTTGACCTAAAAAAGGAATTCATATAAAAGAAAATTAACATTATTATTAAAAGTACACTGCCTTTATAATAGGTATAATAGAGTAACAGTTTTCCCCAGGCTCAGTGGCAGTTTCTTATATAATAACTAAAATATTAGCAAATTTAATGGATTTTTCTTACCTGCAGATTTGTTTTAAAAACGTATTTCATTGGACTTAGATGATTATAATGACATTTGCTAAGAAAAGAGATGTCAATAATAGGCTGTTACTTTCTATTGGCAAGCATCAGAATTTGAAGTTCTATGGTCTTGACTTTGTTAGATGATGAATCAGTGTATTTTAATTTTATTAACTGGAGAAACTTGGCCAGGTGCAGTGACTCACGCCTGTAATCCCAGCACTTTGGGAGGCCCAGGTGGGCAGATCACCTGAGGTCAGGAGTTCGAGACCAGCCTAGCCAACATGGTGAAACCCCATCTCTGCTAAAAAATACAAAAATTAGCCGGGAGTGATGGCGCATGCCTGTAATCCCAGCTACTCAGGAGGCTGAGGCAGGAGAATAGCTTGAACCCAGGAGGCGGAGCTTGCAGTGAGCCGAGATCACGCCATTGCACTCCAACCTGGGTGACAGAGCGAGACTCCGTCTCAAAAACAAAACAAAGCAAAGCAAAACAAAACACAGTAGAAACTTCTGTCCCCATGACTCAGCTTTTTTTATTTTTATTTTTTGAGATAGGGTCTTGTTCTGTTGCCCAGGCTGGAGTGCAGTAGTATAATCTTGGCTCACTGCAGCCTCTGCCTCCCAGGCTCAAGTGATCCTCCCACCTGAGTTTCACCGCTAGCTGGGACTACAGGTGGGTGCCACCACGCCTGGCTAATTTTTGTATTTTTTGTAGAGATGGGGATTTGCCATGTTGCCCAGGCTGATTTTGAAGTCCTGGGCTCATACGATCCGCCCCCCTTGGCCTCCCAAAGTGCTGGGATTATACCACACCCAGCCTGTTTTAGGTAAATCTATGGGAGATGGTTTTCTTCTTAAATAACATTTCTTTTAATTTGTTTACCTTTATAAGAGTACTTTCAGAGGAAAGATTACTGTCCTTTGTTCTTTCCACAAGACACATATTTCTTGATGATGTGCCATTTTTCATGACTGTCGTACACAGCAGCTGAGCCTGTTTTGGGAGGGCATCTTCTGAGTTCTCTCAGAAAATGTAGGCCTGTCTCCTATTGGCATCAGAGGGCAGGTTGGGACAACCCGGTGGGTGCTGCATGCAGGGCGTATCCATTCAAAGAGCTCCCTTCTGGGATACCTATTTGCTTCATAAGAAACAACCATTACTTGTAGCTGCTGGTTGATTGTCATTTCTTGAATCATGTTTCCTAAAGCTTTCTAGTGAGAATGATGGAAAAAATATCTTCATGGATGGAGAAGGAAATATGTGGGGTAAATTAAGTTTAAAAAAAGACATGCAGTGCTTGCTTCGGCAGCACATGTACTAAAATGAGAGCAATCCAGAGATTAGCAAGGATGACACGCAAATTCGCGGAGTTCCCTATTAGAAAAAAAAAAGGCAGGAGGCAAATTTAACTTGAACGTGAACATAAAAACTTGCTAGCAGGTCAAATTCTCATGTATTTACTTCACTCAGCACAGAATGCAGTGTTCTGGCTGCTCTTAGTAGTTAATACAATATTATCAGATGCTTTCCAGTGTTTACCTTCTTGTGTTGTTACCTACTTTGTATTGCAGTGTTTATGGTTGAAATATACTTTATGTTTTGTTATATAGGAATATGTTACATAGTTTGCATGACTGTACAGTATACATATATATACATATACATACACACATATGTAAATAAAATATATATGAAATACATTTCATGGATACTGTTTCATGGTGATTTCAACTTGCCTATTATTTTCATCCTGTTCTCTTTTTTGTTGGTCCTACATGACTTTATTATTATTTTTTCCTTTCCAATTCTTTACTTTTTTTCAGTATTATCTGTCTTGGTAATTGTGTAGTTTTACTTTATCTTTTGATCATTTAAACATTTTATCAACTTTTTTTCTCTAGATTCTCAGTGCGTAGACACCATCAAAAATCCATTTTTTATGTGTTGCAGTAAATAAATGCTCAAATGCATGACTTGTTTTGATAATGTAAGTATTCAGACATGCATAATATTTAATACACATTCTGTAAAGCTCAATATGTAACTGATTTCATGATACATGCACAGAAATTCTAAATCTGTTACAAAGATTAAGAGAATATGCTCTCAGAAACACATAGTTTTCTTTCTTTTTATATATCACTGCCTGTCACTCATCTGTCAGGATCCACAGTGTGTTTGCAGATTGTACCACATGATCCCAGAAGGCTTTCAAGCTTCATTGACTAGGATGATTTTAGGAAGAGAGTGACCCAATGAACGCTTGGGGCCCACTTACCTGATCTTTGTAGATTGTTCCTCTTCTTACTTTTCTGTTTCTCATCCCCTCCATCTTATGTCTTTTTTTTCTGTAAAGAATTTTATGTCTTAAAGTGACAGTATTTTAGGTAGGAATACATAAGTTTTGTGTTTTGTTTTTGAGACAGAGTCTCACTCTGTCGCCCAGGCTGGAATGCAGTGGTGTGATCTCGGCTCACTGCAGCCTCTGCCTCCTGGGTTCAAGTGATTCTCCTGCCTCAGCCTCCTGAATAGCTGAGACTACAGGCATGTGCCACCACGCCTGGCTAATTTTTGTGTTTTTTGTTGAGATGGGGTTTTTGCCACGTTGACCAGGCTGGTCTCTAATTCCTTACCTCAGGTGATCTGCCCGCCTCTGCCTCCCAAAGTGCTAGGATTACTAGTGTGAACCCACCATGCCTGGCCTAGGTACATGGATTTTACAAAGTTAAATAAGAGTTGAGAAACCTTGGAGGTTTAATCAAGCATCAGGAGTGAGGTGAGGAATGGGATGAATGGTATTTTTAGCCAGTGGTTCTCAAACTTTAGTGGCATCAGAATTACCTGCAGGGCTTGTTAGACCAGATTGCTGGTCCTCACCTCCAGAACTTTTGATTCGGTGGGACTGGGATGGGCATTTCTACAATTTCCCAGGTGAAACTGATCCTGCCAGTGTGGGTCTGCACTTTGGGAAGCACTGCTCTAGGGTCACCACTTTTTGTATTTTCAGGTGAGGAAGCTGAGGCTCAGACAGGGGAAGGGTCCTGCGCAAGATTTCACACCTGTAGTGAGTTAGCATCCGGGCTAGAATGAGGACCAGGTCTCCTGGCTCTGGCCTCTGATGTTCTCTGGGGATTGTTCTTTGACCAGTGAAGGAAAAAACCCTTCCTGACCTTCTGATCAACTGAAGATAGTCTGGGAAATCACATTTCCACCCTTCCCAAATCTCTGTCTGTGGGCAGCACTGTCTCTGGCTGGCCTGTCTCTTTCTTTGTATGTCCTGTGGCGAAAGTGGGCTTTGGTACTCTACTGCTGCTTAAAGTTACCCGAATGTATTTCAGCCTCTTCACTTCCATATCCAGTTTAATAATTATTCATGGGACATTTGTCCATCAATTTGTGACCGTTTAGAGATTAATATTAATGCCATCATTTTTCACACGTGGCCTATTAAACTCAGGCCTATATTATGTCAAGAAAAAGCAAGTTAAAGACAGCATAGGATACAAGAGTGACCACAGGAGAAATAGAAGTGGTCAAATTTTTGCTTGGATCTAAGATTTTGCTTTTAGTTTGATATAATTTCAGTGAAATATTATTTCACCAAATGAGAGTTTTCTGTAATATCCTCTAGCCTATATTTTCAAGGTGGGAAATATCTTATTGTAGGCAAAATCAAATTAAAGTAAAAATGATTTTGATTGTTGACTAATTATCTAAATGAAGGCATTATGAAATGGGTTTCATAAGAATATTAATGTGTTGAATTTCGCTGGCTGAGAAGAATAACAAGAATTGTGTTGTTGTGGGTCCTGAGTATTAGTTTAATTTAAGTGATTGCTTTATTGGGTTGCAGATTGTCACAGTGGCATTGATGGACCATAAAATGCAAATAACTGTCACCTGATAATTACATATTAGAACTGGGTACAGAAAGAATTGACCTTGAATGATTGAGGGAATTAAAATAAGTACTCTTTTCCAAAATATTGGGGAAGAAAGCTAGCCCACTTAAAGTTGGACTCAATTCAAGGCAATAAATCTTGACTAAGGGCGTTCTATACCTAAGGAATGCACTATGCTAGGTGGGTTTTGGATCTGCATTGGGCCTCAAGGACCAGTGTCTGAATTGTTAGGTAAATGGATGCAGAACACGTGTGCATTTATAAATGTGTACATAACAATAAATATTTATTGGAAGAATTATTGATTGAATGATGGAGGCAGAAACCCAGTGTTGACACTGATGTGATTATTTTCAGTTTCATGGGAGCAAAGGCATCAGATCACAATGTATGAACCACGATATAATATGTCACTTTTGGTCAATGGAGAAATGGGGTTCAGGCCACAATTCTGATCCTTAATGCTGTCTTCTGTTTTTTTTTTTTTTTTTTAGCGTCTGGTGGAGGCTGCAGAAGAAGCACACCTGAAACATGAATTTGATGCAGACTTACAGGTAACTGATTATAGTTTGAGTTAAATTGTTTTGTGTGTTTCCTGCCAAAGGACAAGTACCAGGTATACCAGGAATACTGATTTTTCAGTGATTGGGAGGGAGAGGCTTTTGAGAGGATGGTACTGAGTTGGAATCTTTGACAGGATTCTTAAGCAATCCGCAACCACCTTCTAACAGTGACAGTTATAATGGGTGATGTCAAACACTCACATGTGTGTAATCAGATTTCAATAAACTATTCCCCAATTTAGGGGGAGTTAAATCGGTCAACTGACAATAATCACCAGATCTCTCAATGGTGAATTGATAAGATAGCAGAATACATCCAAATCCCACTTGGCTGGCTGCATTTTGGAATGCAAGTGACTGAAAGCAATACTGTGATGGATCTATCCTTGAATTGATTGTTAATAACATTTAAAAATTGAATCATTCACTGATTTGAGATTCAAATATCCATTTCATTAATTTCTTGCAGTAGATCTTGTACCTGATCCTGACATGACTATGTCTGATAGAGAAGGATTTTGATGTCGATGTGTATAGAAAACATAGTAAAGGGCAACAAGTTAATTAAATAATACTTGGAGGTTCCAGCTGGGTGTGGTGGCTCATGCCTGTAATCCTAGCACTTTGGGAGACTGAGGCAGGTGCATCGCTTGAGGCCAGGAGTTCGAGACCAGCCTGGCCAACATGGTGAAACCCCGTCTCTACTAAAAATACAAAAATTAGCTGGGCGTGGTAGCGCACGCCTGTAATCCCAGCTACTTGGGAAACTGAGGCAGGAGAATTGCTTGAACCTGGGCAGCAGACGTTGCAGTGAGCTGAGATTGAGCCATTGCACTGCAGCCTGGGTGACAGAGTGAGAGTCTGTCTCAAATAAATAAGTAAGTAAGTAAGTAAGTAAGTAAAACTTGGAGATTCCTTTGGGTCTCCCTGAAAGAACTTTTATCTAAATTGGCACTTTGAGTTTTGTGACCTTTCCTCACCACTAGGAAAACAGAAGGAGCAAATCTTAAAGTTTGAGCTTTGCTAGACATATTTCTTTTAGTGGCATGTGGTCACAATTTGGAAATAGTGTTGACTTTCCTATATTCCCATTTATATGGGGAATAGAAAGGCAGACATAAATCATTAAGCACAAAAAAAGATGGCAGTACCAAAGCTGACCACCGGCTGCATGTCTCTCTGGAAGATGTGTCCTTGTCATCACCCTCATCTGTGTCTTTTGCTTTGTGGGTACAACAATGCATATTCAAGTGGGGTGATCAAGGAAAGTTTAATTAAGGAAATATTTTCAAATGTATACTCGGGGTTAAGTGAAACCAACATGCAGTGGTGTTCAGATAGACCAAAAGGCAATGGTGGCATACCCCAGAGCTGGCCATACTTATGACCTGAAGAGAGGAAAACTAGGGTTTCCAGAACTCAGGGAAGATGGCTACATGGAAAAAGGATTTGATAGAGGAGTATAGACACCCATGGTGAGCTGGAAAGGGTGAAATTTGGGATAATGATACCCAAGTACTCTCTTGCTTTCTTATTTCTTGCCAGTACTCACCGTTGGCTGAATCCAGCTGTTGGTATGGTTGATGCAGTTCAGTTCAGTCATTGAGCTGGGTGAGGAAGGTTGAAGAATGGTTCTGGAGGGGCAAACAAAAAATATCAAGTCCATCATCAGCAGTCTTTTTAGGCATAATACTCAACATTTGAAACAAATAGAGCCAGAGGTATAGCTAAGCATAAGAGGGGAATGAGGAGAAGCTCTGAGGATGGTTGGAAACATTGGAAGAGGAGTCGGCAGCTGGCCCAGCTCTTTGAGCGAAGCTGCTGAGAAGGGACAGAAGATAGTGAGAAGAACCTTGGATATAGCAAGAAGTACCTTACCTTCCTAAAGCCATACTCAGTTCTCACAAAGATCTAGGGGCCATTTACTGGCCACATTTGTCTTCTTTGAGCCTGATTGTCAGAGAATTTGGACTTGTAGAGTGGGCCAGAAGGGATTTAATGGCAGCATCAGGAAGCACTTTGGCAGGTGTGAAGATTATAAGGACCTCTTGAGTGCAATGCCCAGGGAAACTGTGTCACTTTTCTCAGAAGTTCCTGAAGGCTTTTCAGGAATATTCTGATTTTAAGTGACAGAAACTCAACTCATATCAACTTAGCTTGTAACAATGAATAAAATAAGAATCCATGAGTCCGCTTGATAATAAATAAACAGATAGATAGATTAAAAAATAGACAAATGGGCCAGGCTGGGTGGCTCACACCTGTAGTCCCAGCACGTTGGGAGGCCAAGGCGGGTGTATCAGGAGTTTGAGACCAGCTTGGCCAACATGGTGAAACCCTGTCTCTACTAAAAATACAAAAATTAGCCGGGCATGGTGGCAGGTGCCGGTAATCCCAGCTACTCAGTAGGCTGAGACAGGAGAATCGCTTGAAGCTGGGAGGTGGATGTTGGAGTCAGCCGAGATCACGCCAGTGCACTCCAGCCTGGGCAACAAAGAGCGAAACTCCGTCTTAAAAAAAAAAAAAGACAAATGAGGGGGAATGTCTTAGAAGGCAACTAATGCATATAGAAAAATGATTGAGTTAGAAAATTATGGTAATTAACTGAGGCAAGAATCTTCAGTGGATGCTAAAATTAGTTGGCAAAAGTTTGGTGAAGAACAGGACACTTATAGTCTCAAACTATTTGCCCACAAGTTACTCATCAATTACAAAGGGAAAAATAGCAATTTTATTGTGGAGAAACCTGATAGACACCACCTTAAACAAATAATCGAAGTTAATGTCACCAATAATGAGACAAAGTGACATCAAGTGCCTCCAGATGTGATGACTCAGAAAAATATAACACAGTTATGTAGAATTCTTGCCCAAAATGTGTAGCCTGACTGTAATCATGATAAAACATCAGACAAATCTAGACTGAGGAACATTCTACAGAGTAACTGTCTGGACTCGTCTTCAAAAATGCCAAGATCAAGAAGGAGAAAGAAATGTTGAGGATTTGCTCCTAATTCAAAGAGATGAGGACACATGACTACTACATGCAATGTGTGATCCTGAACTGGATCCTGAACTAGAAAACAAAGTTTTAATATGGACTGTGCATTAGAAAACAATGCTGTATTAATGTTGGATTGTTGGATCTTCATCCCTATACTGTGATTATGTTAAGGAATGTCCTCATTCTTTGATTTTTTCTGGCTTCATTGGTTCAACAGGAAGGAGTGATTGTGCGGGAGAGAGTGAGAAACATTATTGGAAGTGATGACTGCTTTGTAAAATCTGTTATTTATGGCTCATGTGGTCAGTTTTACTGAGAGACAAGGGTTGGTGGGATGGGGCATGGGAGGGGATGATGTGGTTGACTTTTGGGGATTACTTATCCTTCAGCAGATGAAAAATGTTTTGTGGTTTTAGTTCAGCCAACATAGAGACATTCTTTTTTGTCCATCTGAAGCTATTATTATTTTCCAAGAGTGTTCTGATTTCCTATTTCCGAAGTTTTACAGTAAAATTCTGGTGTAGCACAAGCAATTCCCTCTGTCAAAGAGGGTGCTGTGATTGTGAATGCAGCATTGGCATCTCTCTTGAAAAAATGAGGCACCAAGAAAATAAGTCTCTAGTTTTTGTTCTCTTGGGAACAAGGAAAGGGAGCTAAAGTTTTCCTCCCCAGTCACCTGTTCTGGACATGTACAACAAAAGCATCAGAGGGTACCATTGTGGTCTGAACATAAGAGTAGATGTTGAAATACTCTGTCAATATGACAATGCCATTCACACTGGTGCTCCGACCTCAGTGAACTCCTCTATGGGTCAAAGTAAACCACATGCACTTTGGTGGAGACCTGTGAAAGAGAGGCCTTTGATAAACTGGCTGTGCATGGAAGGATTTGTCTTGGCTTAGATGAAGGTTTTGAAGCTACTGAAGCTTCTATGCTATTAAGTGCAAGTATATTAACAGCTTGGGTGTCAGCCCCATTGCTATTACTGAGGTGGCAGGTCTGTGTACTGGCTCTGAATTTATTACTATGATGGTCCGTTAGAGCTGATCAATTGTTAATCTGGGTTCTGCTGACCTCTCAGCAACCCCTGGCAGATAATTGTTTTTATCAAAAAAATTTCAGACTACCATCTGCTCACTGTGAAATAACGCTGAGAAGGAACCTACCCTATTAGCTCAGGAGGAGTACAGGGAGCTGGAAGTCTGTTTTCATACTGAAAAATAAAAAGTGATTTTGCAAAATTTCCTAACCTGTGTAGTTTTAACTCATATATATCTTAGCTTCCGTCTTCCCAAAACAGAAAAGAGATGATGGATCTGCCCCTTCTCTCGCTTTAGACTGGAGACGTTGCATCATTGCAACATTCATGTGCTTCAAAGTGAAGAATTTGCTTTTCGTTGGTAAAATAATCAAAAGTTAGAAAAAGAAAGTTACAACTCCTTTATTATTACAATTTTATTTTCCATTTAAATTCCCCTTGCCATCTTTTCAGAGGTTTAACTTTTCCCCGTGACCTTATGGCTTGGACATCTACAGCCCCCTCTGTAATGTCCTTACTATGGCATTAGATTGTTAGTTGTTAACAAAAACTGTATTGGGGCAAGAGGCAAAATGCAGCTCCTGAAGGATAGCATGTGTGAACAAACCAAAATGCAGAATCCTCCATAGAAAACAGATGTGCTTGGCCTTCATTGGCGGGGTGGCTTTCTTTCTTTCTTTCTTTCTTTCTTTTTTTTTTTTGAGACAGAGTCTTGATCTGTCACCCAGACCGGAGTGCAGTGGTGCGATCTCAGCTCACTATAACCTGCGCCTCCCAGCTTCAAGTGATTCTCATGCCTCAGCTTCCCCAGTAGCTGGGATTACAGGTGTGCACCATGACACCCAGCTACTTCTTGTATTTTTTGTGGATACCGGGTTTCACCATGTTGGTTAGGCTGTTCTCGAGCTCCTGGGCTCAAGTGACCTGCCTGACTTGGCCTCCCAAAGTGCTGGGATTATAGGTATGAGCCACCATGCCCAGCCTGGCAGGGTAACTTTCTTGTGGACACTGGTGTCAGTTCAGCCCTCTGGCTTGTCCCTCTTTCTGGTGGCCTGTGGGTTCTAGATTGGCCTTCTCTTGGTGTAGTTCTTTATTCCCTGATATCTTCATTGGGTCAATTTTCAGTCATAATTGACAATAGAGGCCTTATTATAATAGCATCTCTCTCCTTTTTTACTTTATGCTGCGAATTAACATAGGCTTTTCTTAAAAGATTGATAGTTCCAATGAGAACAGAGTTTTAAAAAATACTACCCTATGTCTCAGTTATTACATGTAATTATTTTAGTGTTTCATCCTCATTATTTTGATGGCAAAACCCAATTCCAGGTGGAGAAGCAGGAGACCCTAGCTTTGAATACCTAGCCATTGATGAATTTCCAGAAAATTAAGTCTATACATGTTCTAGTACAATTCAGAATGCGTTCCCCCTCTTACATACTCTTTCTTTTTGAGTTTTTCCACTGGCAGTAAAGAAGAAAAAAAAAATGTCCTTTTGACAGTTTACTAAAAACCTGCTTATCTTTGAACCACAAACATATTTTCTTTGAAAGCTGTCTCAAATAAGTGCCAGTTGCACAGAGCGGGTGCACAGAGAGAGAAAAAAATATGGTTTTGAATTGTGTATCCTGCAGAAGCTTTTTCTATTACAAAGTTTTCTATGATAGTTTTTCTTTGTTGTTTTGTAAGTAATAGGGAAAAAGAGAAGTGTGGTGACATTCAGAGGGATAACAGGTATGGAAGGGAAAGGAGCTGGCAGCACACTTCCTCCTGGTCCTCACCAAGCTGGAAGAGCCTACCTTGCAAATGTAGTGGCCTGATTTCAAAGGTGGGGTGGGGGCTTTGGAGTGGAGGGGGAATAAAGACTGTTGGTGGGAAACCTCTGAGATAAGATGACTTCCGATACTTCCTAGAGCAGCTTACTCTACCTGCTTACCTGTTACAATGGGAGCTTTGTGTTGAAGGAAACCCAGGAAAGGAGAGAAAGGGCAGCTCAGGAGCCCCAGCACTCAGTGTAGAACTTCTTTCACCATCCACTAGGAAAAGGAAGCCTTTCTAGGAAAAAGGATTAGCAAGGACAGTGGGAGAGTGATGTCAACAAGATGGCTGGCTAGAAGAAGCCCTTAGTGCTTGTCCCCCGCCACCCTGCAAAGACAGCCAAAGCAAAGAATAAACTGCTGGATTTTGATGAAAATAACTAAACAGGGCTGAAGTGCATCAAAGGAGTAACAGAAGCCCTGTAGACCACAGAAGCTCAGGATGGACGCATAGAGAAGGGAAGCGCCTTGCTTCTGCTACCCCATCCCCAAGGTGGGGTCAGTTCAAAACCAGGAGTTACTTCTCCCTGTGGAAAAAAGGTGAGCAAGAAGACTGCCGGAAGCACCCATCGTCGACGTGGAGACTTGTAGTGCTCTCCACTGGGGACTCCTACCGACCTCACAGGTGCTCAGGTCAGCTGAGGGAGCTGGCTGGTGTCCACACAGCTGCACTTTCCCCAGAGAAGCAGCTGACACTGTGTCCTGTCCCCTGTGACCCATGTGGGTACTGCACCGTCTTTGAACTTGAACCACTGCTGGAGTGTGTGTCTGGCTCTGGTGCAGTTAGCCACAGCACCCTGTCGTCCCTGAGGCTTTGTTGCCACTGAACCACCCTTGCCTGCTGGCCCACCATCCCTAAGCTGAGCTGCTGCTACATGCTACCCCAGGGGCCAAGCTGGTGTGTAGCTGCTCTACCTACCCCTCCCAGTCACTATCGTGCTTCGCCCCTCAGAGCTTAAGCAGAAGCAGCACCCTGCATCCTGGGGAATTGGTGCCTTGTCTGCCCAGAGCAGTAAGGCTTCCTGTGCCTGAGCTAAAGAGGTACATCAACTCGTGGGGAAATGGAGCCATAGCCAGACTGAGCAGCCACACATCCCTGGGCTGATCTGACGTGGTATCCCACGTCCCAGGGAAACAGGGCGTTGGTTGAGCTGGGACACCTTGCCCTACTGGCTGAAGAACTGTAGTACCCTGCTTCCCTAGAACTGGACTGTCCTTGCAGAGTATGAGACACCCGTCTTCTTGGGGAGTGGGGTCATCACTGTGCTGTTCCCTGCCTTCCAGGATGCAAGCAGCAGCTAGGCTTTGCCATTTTGGGTACCTTGTTGCTGCTGCATGTGTCCATACAGGGTCTAGGATGCTTCTGTGTCTCACCATCTGGGGGTCCAGAGTTACCACTATGAGGTAGGCATCTCATTCACTGGGGCCTGAATTGCCACTGTGCCTGTTGGCACTGGTTCCCAAATTGCAGCTTTACCTTGCTCCCTGGGCTCAAATCGTCAGAGCACCCCTTCTTCCTCAGAGAAAGGCCAGTTCTGTGTCCTGTCCCCTGGGGTCAGAGTTACAACTACAACCCAGCTCCCCGGAGCGGCCTTAGCTGCTTGGTTGTGCCCCAGAATCACAGATCCTGGTGTGTAGGCAATCTGCCTGCAACCCTGCCTTGGAGAGTGAACATTTTTTTTTTTTTTATTATTATACTCTAAGTTTTAGGGTACATGTGCACATTGTGCAGGTTACATATGTATACATGTGCCATGCTGGTGCGCTGCACCCACTAACGTGTCATCTAGCATTAGGTATATCTCCCAATGCTATCCCTCCTCCCTCCCCCGACCCCACCACAGTCCCCAGAGTGTGATATTCCCCTTCCTGTGTCCATGTGATCTCATTGTTCAATTCCCACCTATGAGTGAGAATATGCGGTGTTTGGTTTTTTGTTCTTGCGATAGTTTACTGAGAATGATGGTTTCCATCCATGTCCCTACAAAGGACATGAACTCATCATTTTTTATGGCTGTATAGTATTCCATGGTGTATATGTGCCACATTTTCTTAATCCAGTCTATCATTGTTGGACATTTGGGTTGGTTCCAAGTCTTTGCTATTGTGAATAGTGCCGCAATAAACATACGTGTGCATGTGTCTTTATAGCAGCAAGATTTATAGTCCTTTGGGTATATACCCAGTAATGGGATGGCTGGGTCAAATGGTATTTCTAGTTCTAGATCCCTGAGGAATCGCCACACTGACTTCCACAATGGTTGAACTAGTTTACAGTCCCACCAACAGTGTAAAAGTGTTCCTATTTCTCCACATCCTCTCCAGCACCTGTTGTTTCCTGACTTTTTAATGATTGCCATTCTAACTGGTGTGAGATGATATCTCATAGTGGTTTTGATTTGCATTTCTCTGATGGCCAGTGATGATGAGCATTTCTTCATGTGTTTTTTGGCTGCATAAATGTCTTCTTTTGAGAAGTGTCTGTTCATGTCCTTCACCCACTTTTTGATGGGGTTGTTTGTTTTTTTCTTGTAAATTTGTTTGAGTTCATTGTAGATTCTGGATATTAGCCCTTTGTCAGATGAGTAGGTTGCGAAAATTTTCTCCCATGTTGTAGGTTGCCTGTTCACTCTGATGGTAGTTTCTTTTGCTGTGCAGAAGCTCTTTAGTTTAATTAGATCCCATTTGTCAATTTTGGCTTTTGTTGCCATTGCTTTTGGTGTTTTGGACATGAAGTCCTTGCCCACGCCTATGTCCTGAATGGTAATGCCTAGGTTTTCTTCTAGGGTTTTTATGGTTTTAGGTCTAACGTTTAAATCTTTAATCCATCTTGAATTGATTTTTGTATAAGGTGTAAGGAAGGGATCCAGTTTCAGCTTTCTACATATGGCTAGCCAGTTTTCCCAGCACCATTTATTAAATAGGGAATCCTTTCCCCATTGCTTGTTTTTCTCAGGTTTGTCAAAGATCAGATAGTTGTAGATATGCGGCATTATTTCTGAGGGCTCTGTTCTGTTCCATTGATCTATATCTCTGTTTTGGTACCAGTACCATGCTGTTTTGGTTACTGTAGCCTTGTAGTATAGTTTGAAGTCAGGTAGTGTGATGCCTCCAACTTTGTTGTTTTGGCTTAGGATTGACTTGGCGATGCGGGTTCTTTTTTGGTTCCATATGAACTTTAAAGTAGTTTTTTCCAATTCTGTGAAGAAAGTCATTGGTAGCTTGATGGGGATGGCATTGAATCTGTAAATTACCTTGGGCAGTATGGCCATTTTCACGATATTGATTCTTCCTACCCATGAGCATGGAATGTTCTTCCATTTGTTTGTGTCCTCTTTTATTTCATTGAGCAGTGGTTTGTAGTTCTCCTTGAAGAGGTCCTTCACATCCCTTGTAAGTTGGATTCCTAGGTATTTTATTCTCTTTGAAGCAATTGTGAATGGGAGTTCACCCATGATTTGACTCTCTGTTTGTCTGTTGTTGGTGTATAAGAATGCTTGTGATTTTTGTACATTGATTTTGTATCCTGAGACTTTGCTGAAGTTGCTTATCAGCTTAAGGAGATTTTGGGCTGAGACGATGGGGTTTTCTAGATAAACAATCATGTCGTCTGCAAACAGGGACAATTTGACTTCCTCTTTTCCTAATTGAATACCCTTTATTTCCTTCTCCTGCCTGATTGCCCTGGCCAGAACTTCCAACACTATGTTGAATAGGAGCGGTGAGAGAGGGCATCCCTGTCTTGTGCCAGTTTTCAAAGGGAATGCTTCCAGTTTTTGCCCATTCAGTATGATATTGGCTGTGGGTTTGTCATAGATAGCTCTTATTATTTTGAAATACGTCCCATCAATACCTAATTTATTGAGAGTTTTTAGCATGAAGGGTTGTTGAATTTTGTCAAAGGCTTTTTCTGCATCTATTGAGATAATCATGTGGTTTTTGTCTTTGGCTCTGTTTATATGCTGGATTACATTTATTGATTTGCATATATTGAACCAGCCTTGCATCCCAGGGATGAAGCCCACTTGATCATGGTGGATAAGCTTTTGGATGTGCTGCTGGATTCGTTTTGCCAGTATTTTATTGAGGATTTTTGCATCAATGTTCATCAAGGATATTGGTCTAAAATTCTCTTTTTTGGTTGTGTCTCTGCCCGGCTTTGGTATCAGAATGATGCTGGCCTCATAAAATGAGTTAGGGAGGATTCCCTCTTTTTCTATTGATTGGAATAGTTTCAGAAGGAATGGTACCAGTTCCTCCTTGTACCTCTGGTAGAATTCGGCTGTGAATCCATCTGGTCCTGGACTCTTTTTGGTTGGTAAACTATTGATTATTGCCACAATTTCAGATCCTGTTATTGGTCTATTCAGAGATTCAACTTCTTCCTGGTTTAGTCTTGGGAGAGTGTATGTGTCGAGGAATGTATCCATTTCTTCTAGATTTTCTAGTTTATTTGCGTAGAGGTGTTTGTAGTATTCTCTGATGGTAGTTTGTATTTCTGTGGGATCGGTGGTGATATCCCCTTTATCATTTTTTATTGTGTCTATTTGATTCTTCTCTCTTTTTTTCTTTATTAGTCTTGCTAGCGGTCTATCAATTTTGTTGATCCTTTCAAAAAACCAGCTCCTGGATTCATTGATTTTTTGAAGGGTTTTTTGTGTCTCTATTTCCTTCAGTTCTGCTCTGATTTTAGTTATTTCTTGACTTCTGCTAGCTTTTGAATGTGTTTGCTCTTGCTTTTCTAGTTCTTTTAATTGTGATGTTAGGGTGTCAATTTTGGATCTTTCCTGCTTTCTCTTGTAGGCATTTAGTGCTATAAATTTCCCTCTACACACTGCTTTGAATGCGTCCCAGAGATTCTGGTATGTGGTGTCTTTGTTCTCGTTGGTTTCAAAGAACATTTTTATTTCTGTCTTCATTTCGTTATGTACCCAGTAGTCATTCAGGAGCAGGTTGTTCAGTTTCCATGTAGTTGAGCGGCTTTGAGTGAGATTCTTAATCCTGAGTTCTAGTTTGATTGCACTGTGGTCTGAGAGATAGTTTGTTATAATTTCTGTTCTTTTACATTTGCTGAGGAGAGCTTTACTTCCAAGTATGTGGTCAATTTTGGAATAGGTGTGGTGTGGTGCTGAAAAAAATGTATATTCTGTTGATTTGGGGTGGAGAGTTCTGTAGATGTCTATTAGGTCTGCTTGGTGCAGAGCTGAGTTCAATTCCTGGGTATCCTTGTTGACTTTCTGTCTCGTTGATCTGTCTAATGTTGACAGTGGGGTGTTAAAGTCTCCCATTATTAATGTGTGGGAGTCTAAGTCTCTTTGTAGGTCACTGAGGACTTGCTTTATGAATCTGGGTGCTCCTGTATTGGGTGCATAAATATTTAGGATAGTTAGCTCCTCTTGTTGAATTGATCCCTTTACCATTATGTAATGGCCTTCTTTGTCTCTTTTGATCTTTGTTGGTTTAAAGTCTGTTTTATCAGAGACTAGGATTGCAACCCCTGCCTTTTTTTGTTTTCCATTGGCTAGGTAGATCTTCCTCCATCCTTTTATTTTGAGCCTATGTGTGTCTCTGCACGTGAGATGGGTTTCCTGAATACAGCACACTGATGGGTCTTGACTCTTTATCCAACTTCCCAGTCTGTGTCTTTTAATTGCAGAATTTAGTCCATTTATATTTAAAGTTAATATTGTTATGTGTGAATTTGATCCTGTCATTATGATGTTAGCTGGTGATTTTGCTCATTAGTTGATGCAGTTTCTTCCTAGTCTCGATGGTCTTTACATTTTGGCATGATTTTGCAGCGGCTGGTACCGGTTGTTCCTTTCCAGGTTTAGCGCTTCCTTCAGGAGCTCTTTTAGGGCAGGCCTGGTGGTGACAAAATCTCTCAGCATTTGCTTGTCTATAAAGTATTTTATTTCTCCTTCACTTATGAAGCTTAGTTTGGCTGGATATGAAATTCTGGGTTGAAAATTCTTTTCTTTAAGAATGTTGAATATTGGCCCCCACTCTCTTCTGGCTTGTAGGGTTTCTGCTGAGAGATCCGCTGTTAGTCTGATGGGCTTTCCTTTGAGGGTAACCCGACCTTTCTCTCTGGCTGCCCTTAACATTTTTTCCTTCATTTCAACTTTGGTGAATCTGACAATTATGTGTCTTGGAGTTGCTCTTCTCGAGGAGTATCTTTGTGGCGTTCTCTGTAGTTCCTGAATCTGAACGTTGGCCTGCCTTGCTAGATTGGGGAAGTTCTCCTGGATAATATCCTGCAGAGTGTTTTCCAACTTGGTTCCATTCTCCACATCACTTTCAGGTACACCAATCAGACGTAGATTTGGTCTTTTCACATAGTCCCATATTTCTTGGAGGCTTTGCTCATTTCTTTTTATTCTTTTTTCTCTAAACTTCCCTTCTCGCTTCATTTCATTCATTTCATCTTCCATTGCTGATACCCTTTCTTCCAGTTGATCGCATTGGCTCCTGAGGCTTCTGCATTCTTCACGTAGTTCTCGAGCCTTGGTTTTCAGCTCCATCAGCTCCTTTAAGCACTTCTCTCTATTGGTTATTCTAGTTATACATTCTTCTAAATTTTTTTCAAAGTTTTCAACTTCTTTGCCTTTGGTTTGAATGTCCTCCCATAGCTCAGAGTAATTTGATCATCTGAAGCCTTCTTCTCTCAGCTCGTCAAAATCATTCTCCATCCAGCTTTGTTCTGTTGCTGGTGAGGAACTGCGTTCCTTTGGAGGAGGAGAGGCGCTCTGCGTTTTAGAGTTTCCAGTTTTTCTGTTCTGTTTTTTCCCCATCTTTGTGGTTTTATCTACTTTTGGTCTTTGATGATGGTGATGTACAGATGGGTTTTCGGTGTAGATGTCCTTTCTGTTTGTTAGTTTTCCTTCTAACAGACAGGACCCTCAGCTGCAGGTCTGTTGGAATACCCTGCCGTGTGAGGTGTCAGTGTGCCCCTGCTGGGGGGTGCCTCCCAGTTAGGCTGCTCGGGGGTCAGGGGTCAGGGACCCACTTGAGGAGGCAGTCTGCCCGTTCTCAGATCTCCAGCTGCGTGCTGGGAGAACCACTGCTCTCTTCAAAGCTGTCAGACAGGGACACTTAAGTCTGCAGAGGTTACTGCTGTCTTTTTGTTTGTCTGTGCCCTGCCCCCAGAGGTGGAGCCTACAGAGGCAGGCAGGCCTCCTTGAGCTGTGGTGGGCTCCACCCAGTTCGAGCTTCCCAGCAAGCCTGGGCAATGGCGGGCGCCCCTCCCCCAGCCTCGTTGCCGCCTTGCAGTTTGATCTCAGACTGCTGTGCTAGCAATCAGCGAGATTCCGTGGGCGTAGGACCCTCTGAGCCAGGTGTGGGATATAGTCTCGTGGTGCGCCGTTTTTTAAGCCGGTCTGAAAAGTGCAATATTCGGGTGGGAGTGACCCGATTTTCCAGGTGCGTCCGTCACCCCTTTCTTTGACTCGGAAAGGGAACTCCCTGACCCCTTGCGCTTCCCAGGTGAGGCAATGCCTCGCCCTGCTTCGGCTCGCGCACGGTGCGCACACACACTGGCCTGCGCCCACTGTCTGGCACTCCCTAGTGAGATGAACCCGGTACCTCAGATGGAAATGCAGAAATCACCCGTCTTCTGTGTCGCTCACGCTGGGAGCTGTAGACCGGAGCTGTTCCTATTCGGCCATCTTGGCTCCTCCGAGAGTGAACCTTCACCTTAGAACTCAGGTGCCAAAATAAGCTCATGAAACCCTGAGCCCACGACTCCTCTTCCATGGATATTCTGAGCACCTGTTTCCTGGAACTCAGCACTGTTGCAGCTGCTTGAGGGCTGTGTCAGACCTGACATCAAGAAATATCTTCTCATCTAAGACTCACCATTGTGTGGAAAGAAAGAAGAGGAGGACATCAAAAGTCCTTGTCACCAAGGACCCTGACAGCCTTTGCTACCACCACCACTGCCCCAAACTCCTACAGCCTAGTCTACCAGACACCCACAGTCATTTCTGACATTGATCACAGCTGAAGAAGCTTCACAGAGGATATACAACTGCTTCTACTAGGAGCTTAGAGTCACCATGCCCTACCAAATTGGCACAGTAAGACCCATCTGCAAGTGAAAGTCTTTCCCTATAAAAGCCAGTCTGTAAAGTTTGGAAGAGGTGATTGTTTCACCAGATGTGCAGACATCAATGCAAGGAACAAGAAACATGAAAAAGCAAGGAAACAGGACATTGCCAAAGTAACACAATAATTCTCTAGTAACTTACTCCAAGAAAAGGAAATTTATGAATTTTCTAAAAAGGAATTCAGAATAATGATTGTGAGGAAACTCTGTGAGATTTGAGATAAGATAGGCAATTCAGTGAAATCAGAAAAAAAATTCATGATCTGAATGATAATCTCAACGGAGATAAATATCATTAAAAAGAACCAAATAAAAATCTTGGAGCTGAAGAATTCAATGAATGAAATAAAAACTATAATAGAAAACTTCAACATCAGACTAGATCAAGCAGAAGAAAGAAACTCTGAACTTGATGATAGGTCTTTTGAAATTACCTAGTCAACGGAAAAAAAAGAAAAATGAATGAAAGATTGAAGACAGTCTGCAGAACTTATGAAATGCCATCAAGTGAACAAAGATTCATATTAGGAGAATTGCAGAAGGATAAGGGACAGAGGTAGGAAGAGGAAGCTTATGAAATAATGAAATAATTGCAGAAAACCTCCAGATTCTTGGAAGAGATTTGGACATCCAGATCTGTGAAACTCAAAAGTCCCCAAACAAGTTCAACCCAAAGTGGTTCTCTCTGAGGTACATTATAATTAAACTATCAAAAGTCAATGACAAAGAGATAATTTTAAAAGAACAAGAGAAAAGTGTCAGGTCACATATAAGGGAAATCATCGTTAGAATGTCAGTGAATTTCTTAAGAGAAACGTTGCAAGCCAGGAGAGAAAGGGATGAAAATTTTAAAGTACTGAAAGGAAAAAGAATGTCAGCCAAGAATACTATACCCATTAAAGGTGTCCTTCAGGAATAAAGGAGAAACAAAAGTCTTTCCTAGGCAAGCAAACGTTGAGAGAATTTATCACCACTAAACCCGTCTTAGAAGAAATACTTAAGAGAGTTCTTCAAGTAGAAACAAAAGGATGTGAATTACTAATGTAACAACATATGAAAGTATAAAATTCAATGGTAAAGGTCAAGTCCAGAATACTTCATTGTTGATATGATACTCTGTAAATCGTATATATCTCTAGTATAAAGGTCAAAAGTCAAAACAGTCAAAAATAATGATAGCTACCATTAATTAAGAAATGCTTAATATAAAAAGACGTAAATTCTGACATCAAAAATATAAATTGTTGGGAGAGGGCAAAAGTCAAGAGTGTTTGTATGAGAATGAAATTAAGTTGTTATCAGTGTAAAATATCCTATTATAACTGTATGATGTTTTGCATAAACCATATGGCACTACAAAGCAAAACCTATAGCATATATACCAATGATAAAGAGAAAAGAATAAAAACTTAGCACTACAGAAACTTACTAGATTACAAAGATAAAAAACAAGAGAGGGAGAAGGGAACAAAGGATCTGTGAAACAACCAGAATACAGTTAATAAAATGGCAGTAATAATTCTTTACCTATCAATAATTACGATGAATGTAAATGGATTAAATTCTCCAACCAAAAGACATAGAGTGGCTAAATTGATTAAAAAAACAAGGTCCAACTATATGCTACCCACAAGAAACCCACTTTAGCCTTAAGGACACACATAGGCTGAAAGTAAAGGAATGGAAGAAGATATTGCATGCAAATGGCAACCAAAAAAAAGAGCAGGGCTGGCTATACTTATATCTAATAAAATAGATTTTAAGTATGAAACTGTCACAAAAGACAAATAGGGTCACTATTTAATGATAAAGGGCTCAATTCATCAAGAGGACATAATGTCTGTAAATATATATGCACCCAATCTGAGAGCACCTAAGACAAATATTAATTGACATTAAGGGAGAAATAGACAGCAATACAATAATAGTAAGGGACTTTAATATCCCACTTTCAACAATGGACAGATCAAGCAGATGAAAATTAATAAGGAAATACTGTAATTGAACTGCACTTCAGAAAAAAATGGACTTAACAAATATATACACAACTTTCCATCCAACAGCAGCAGAATATACATTCTTCTCTAGTGCACGTGGAACATTCTCCAGGACGAACCATATGGTAAGCCACAAAGTAAGTCTTAACAAACTTAAGAAGATTGGAATCATATCAAGTATTATTTATGACCACAAGTATATGAAACTACGAATCAACAATAGGAAGATTTTTGGAAAAGTCAATAATATGTGGAAATTAAACAACATGCTCCTGAACAACCCAGTGGGTCAAAGAAGAAATCAAGAGGAAAATATCTTAGCAATATCTTGGCCAGGCACAGTGGCTCACACCTATAATCCCAGCACTTTGGGAGATGGAGATGGACAGATCACTTGAAGAGTTCGAGACCAGCTTGGGCAACAAGTGAGACCTGTCTCTGCAAAAAATAAAAAAAAGTAGCCGGTCTTGGTGGCACGTACCTGTAGTTTCAGCTATTCAGGAGGCTGAGGTGGAAGGGTGGCTTAAACCTGGGAGGCAGAGGTTTCAATGAGCCAAGATTATGCCACTGCACTCCAGCCTGGGTGACAGAGCCGGACCCTATCTCAAACACACACACACACACACACACACACACACACACACACACACGCACACACAATAAAAATATCTTGAGACAAAAGGTAGTGAAGACATAACATACCAAAACCTATGGGATACAACAAAAGTGGTTCTGGAAGGGAAGTTCATAACTGTAAATGCCTACATTAAAAAATAAGAAATATTTCAAATAATAAGAAGAAAGATTTTAAATAAGTAGCCCAACATTACACCTCAAGGAACTAGAAAAAGAAGAACAAGTTAAACCCAAAGTTAACAGAAGGAAGGAAATAATAAAAATCAGAACAGAAATAAATCAAATGAGGGATAGAAAAACCATAGAAAAAATTAACTGAATTGTTTATTTTTTGAAAACTTAAACAAAATTAACAAACCCTTAGCTAGACTAAGAAAAGAGAGAAGACTCAAATATATGAAATCAGAAATGAAAGTGGAGACATTATAACAGAAGCCTCAGAAATAAAAAGCTTCATAAGTAACTATTAAGAACAATTATATGCCAAGAAATTTTGATAACCTAGAGGAAATGGATAAATTCTTTCTAAAACCAAGGTTTTGCCAAGGTTGAATCAGGAAGAAATGCAAAGCCCGCATAGAGCAATAACAAAGAGATTGAAGTAGTAATTAAAAGCCTCCTAAAAAATAAAAGCCCAGGACCAGATGGCTTTACGGCTGAATTATACTACATTTTCAAACAAGAATTACTACCCAAACTTCTTAAACTCATCCAGAAAATAGAGCTGGAGGGAATACTTCCTAACATGTTTTCTGAAGCCAGCATCACCTTGGTACCTAAACCAAAGACACCACGGTAAAGAAAACTACACGTCAGGTCAGTATCAATATCTCTGATGAATATTGATGTAAAAAATCATCAATAATATTTTAGCAACTCAAATTCAAGAACAAATCAAGAAGATTATACATCATGATCGAGAGAGATGTATCCCTGGCCATGTAAGACTAGCATATACAAATTAATCAATGTGATACTTTCATTAACAGACAAAAACCACACGATCATATAAACTGATGCAGAAAAAGCATTCAACAAAGTTCAACATCCTTTCTTGATGAAAACTCTTAACAGTTTAGGTATAGATGGAAGGTTTCTCAGCATAATAAAGTTCATTTATGAAAAACCGACAGCTGGCATCATAATCAATGAGGAGAAACTGAAAGCTTTTCTTTTAAGATCTGCTGTAAGGTAAGAATGCCCACACTTGCCACTACTATTCAACATAGTACTGGAAGTATTAGCAAGAGCAGTTAGACAAAAAAGAAATAAAAAGCTTTCAGATGGGAACAAAAGAAGTAAAATTATCACGAATTACAGATGACATGATCCTTTATGTAGAAAACCCCAAAGACTCCACCAAAAAGCTGTTAGATCTCAATAAAGTTGCAGGATGTAAAATAAAGATACAAAAATTTCTTGTATTTCTATATACAAATAACAACCTAGATGAAAAATTCAAGAAAATAATCTCATTTCTAATAGCATCAAAAATAAAACAAGATGAAATACTTAAGAATAAATTTTACCAAGAAAGTAAAAGACATACACTGAAAACTATAAAACATTGATGAAACAAATTGAAGAGTACACTGAAAACTATAAAACATTGATGAAAGAAATTGAAGAGGACACAAATAGAAAGATATTTCATGCTCATGAATTGGAAGAATTAATATTGTTAAAATGTCTATACTATACTATACTAAAATGTCTATACTATACTATACTATACTGTACTGTACTATACTATACTAAAAAGCAATATGTATAGATCCAATGCAATCCCTATCAAAATCCCAATGGCATTCTTCACATAAATGTAAAAACCCTAAAATTTATGTGGAACCACATTAAACCCTGAATAGCCAAAATACTACTCAGTAAAAAAAAAAAAAAAAAAAAAAGTTGGAGGCTTCACATTTCCTGTTAAAATTATATTACGAAGCATAACAATCAAAACAACATGTTACTGGCAAAAAGCAGACACATAGACTTGTAGAATAGGATAGAGAGCCCAGAAATAAATCCAAACATATGTGGTCAACTAGTTTCTGAGAAGGGCAGCAAAAAGACACAATGGGGGAAAGAATAGTCTCATTAATAAATGGTGCTGGGAAAACTGGATTTCCATGTGCAAAAGAATGAAATTGGACCCTTATCTTATATACAAAAATCAACTCAAAATGGATGAAAGACCTAAATGTAAAACCTGAAACCATAAAACTGCTAGAAGAAAATATAGGGGGTAAACTCCTTGACGGTGACCTTGACAGTGATTTCTTGGATGTCACACCAAAAGCTCAGGCTACAAAAGCAAAAATAAATAAATGGGACTACATCAAACTAAATAGCTTCTGCACAGCAATGGAAACAATTAACAAAAATATTGGGAAAAATATTCACAAATCATGTATCTGCTAAGGGTTAATATCCAAAATTTATAAAGAACTCATACAACTCAATAGCAAAAAAAAAAATGACCCAATTAGCAATGTGCAAAGGACATTAGTATACATTTCTCCAAATATGACATAAAAATGGCCCACGGATACACAGAAAGGGGCTCAGCATCACTAATCATCAGAGAAATACAAATTAAAACTGTGCAATATCACTTCACACCTGTTAGGATAACTGTTGTCAAAAAGACAAAAAGACAAGTGTTGGTGAGGCTGTGGAGAAAAGGAAACTCTTGTATGCTGTCAGTGGGAATATAGATTGGTGTAGCCATTATGAAAAACAGTATGGAGGTTACTAAACAAATTGAAAATAGAATGACTGTATGACCCAGAAATTGCTCTTCTGGGTATATACTCAAAGGAAATGAAATCACCACCTCAGAAAGATACCTGCAGTCACATGTTAATTGCGCCATTTTCCACAATAGCCATGATAGAGAAACAACCTAGGTGCCCATCAGTGGACTAATGGATAAAGAAACTGTGTGCATATATATATGTATATAGTGTGTATGTGTGTATATATATGTACACTATATATATTTCAGATTGAAGAATACTCCATTGTGTATATACACACACATTGTACAATGTGTGTACACATATATACAATGGAATATTATTCAACCTTAAAAAAGGAGGAGGTCTTAACATTTGCTACAACATGGACAAATGGGGAGGACATTATGCTAAGTGAAATAAGCCAAACACAGAAAGAAAAATATTTCATGATCTCACTTATGTGTGGAATCTAAAAAAACAAAAAGTGGTTAGATATATAGAGATAGAGAATAAAACATTCATTACCAGGTTCACGGTGGGAGAGAGGAAATGGGAGTTGTAGGTCAAAGAATACAAAATAGCAAATATGTAGGAAGTACAAGTTGATCTAATGTGCAACATGAGAACTATAGTTAATAGTAGTGTATTGTATTCCGGACTTTGGTTAAGTGAGTAGATAGATTATAGCTGCTTTTGTCACTGGGAAGGGGGATGGGTAACTACGTGAGCTGATGGATATATTAATTTGTTCCACTGTAGTCACCATTTTACTGTATATATATATTATACTTTAAATATATGCAATAACATTTATTTTTTAAAAAAGGACAGTGGAACAGCAAACAGCAGAGCAGAGCTATCACCTACTTCTACAGAATTTTTCTGCTGTAAAGTAGGGCTTTTGCCTTGGGGAAAACTATATTGTAAACAAGAGCAGTGGAAGGGTTTAGCAGAACTACTTCTTGAGTGGAGGAAATGACTATTCTCACTGGGGGTTTTCCTGAGTTCTTACCAAGCTCCAATCTGTCAGTCTCCACTTTGAGTAAGGTGTTGAGCTTCTAGCTGTGGGGCGATGGGAAAAAGCAAGGAAAACCCAGGCCCAGAATCAGAATTGGTGTTTTTCATAGAGATAGGGAATTGGCTTTTGTGCAGTAAACAAAATAGGGGTCACATCTGTAGGAGAAATAAATGAAAAGAGATGGAACTTTCACATTTTTATGTTAAAATAACCACCCCCACAGTCATCTAACTGATGAAAGCATGCCTATTGCTTTTGTTTTTTAATGTGTATCAGCTTGGCAGGTGGACACAGTGTCTTCTTCATCTTAAGATCTTAGATTAGATGTTTCTTAGTTAGGACTTGCCACATGTCATTTATTCATAAGACTGATGTATAAATAGTTTCCAAGGAATCCTTAAGTGTGATAATTTAAAAATCAAAGCTACTTCTCAGTTGTTACACACACACACATCTGATCCAAACACACACTATCATTTCATTTGAGTAGGCATTATAACTTGTGAATAAGGCCAGTGTTATGACTTTGAGCTTTGTGTTAACCAGTTATTTGGTGGTCACATGTTATGCTCATGACCTTGACTATTGGTCAAATGAGAGTGGAAGAAGGGGCAGTGGGCAGAACCTTAGCTTGATCCAATAGGGAGAGCCTTGGCCTGGAGGTTGAGAAATTTAGGATCTAGTAGTTTCATTCCCAGCTGGACCATTTACATGCTCAGAGATCTGCTGCTGTGGCTTCTTTGCTCATCCGTAAAAGGATGCACTTATAACATCTAGGTGATTTCTAAGATCTCATCCACCTCACATACTATGATTCATTCAGCCAATAGTTGTTAATGGCCTCCTGTGTATCAGGCACTGTACTGTGAATATGGCCCTGAGCTGGACAGAGAGATGCTGTCTTTCTTCTCCTAGAACTTACTGTCTAATGGGAGGGACAGATATTAAAGATGTGATGATGTAAGTAATCATTTAAATAATTTAAATCAAATTTCAATTGTGATAAGTGACATGAAAGAGAAGTACAAGGTATTATCACAGTGCTTGACAAGGAGACCTCACCTAGTTTGGGAGTTCAGGGTACCTTGGAGAAAATCCCCAAAGGTCAAGTCTGGATTGAGTGGAGCTTCTAAGAGCTCCACTCAATATCTCCAAGCACAGAGAACACATAATATCGTAATTTTCCACAAATGCAAAATTAAAATTGCCTAACAGACCAGGCAAAACCAAAATGGAGTCAGTCATGCTAAATGCCACGTAATCAAACTGAAACTTTAAGGAAGCAGACAGATACCCTGAAAGAACAGTTTTTTCCCTGAAAACAGAACATTCCAGTCTACCTGAGTCAGCATAAATAGAAAGACCCATCTGCTTTAACTATTACCGAAAAAGTAACCTGTAGTAACCAGATGTTAACCAGTTCCTCTTTTTTCTATTGTTCTGTCTCCTTTTTCTCATCTTACAAAACCTACTGTTCTGCCATTGCCCAGTGAGAGCTCTCATTCTGTTTTGTAGAATGGAGACTAGCCTCATCCATGAATTATTAATAAGAGCCAAGTCAATCTATAACCAAATTTGTTGTAATTTTGTCTTTTGGCAACTCTAATGACACTTTATTTTTGCTTCTTCGATGATGCTTATTACTTCCTATCTTGTTAATTTTTTTCACATAAGTGTCCATTTGTTGCTTAATTTAACATTTATTCAGAACTAAGTCCAGTTGTAGGTTATGGGACTCCCACAAACTGAGAGGGGACCCTAACTCTCCAGGAAATTAGATAGGCATGTAAGCAAATGGCTATAATATAACATGAACAGGAGCTAACCAGTTAAGAAAATGTTGTGAGCTCCATGAGGGTAGGATTGATTGTTCTGCAACCTTTATTCATTTATGTATTCTTCCAACAAATACAGATATGCTTCATTTTATTGTGCTTTGCTCTATTGCCCATCACAGATACTGTGTTTTTACAAATTAAAGCTTTATAGCAACCCTGAGTTGAACAAGTTTACTGGTGCCGTTTTTTCCAACAGCACATGCTCACGTCATGTCTTTGTGTCACACTTTGGTAATTCTCACAATATTTCAGACTTTTTCACTATTGCTATATGTGTTATGGTAATCTGTGATCAGTGATCTTTGGACGTTACTATTGTAATTATTTTGGGGCACCATGAACCACACCCATATAAAATGACAAACTTAATTGATAAATATTGCATGTGTTGGACTGTCCCACCAACCAGCCATTCCCTCATCTCTCTCCCTCTCTTCAGACCTATTTCCTGAGACACAAGAATATTGAAATTAGGCCAATTAATAACCCTACAGTGGCCTCTAAGTGTTCAAGCGAAAGGAAGAGTCACATGTCTCTCACTTTAAATCAAAAGCTGGAAGTGATTAAGCTTAGTGAGGAAGGCATGTTGAAAGCAGAGATGGGCCGAAAGCTAGGCCTCTTGCACCAAGCAGTTAGCTAAGTTGTGAGAGCAAAGGAAAAGCCTTGAAGGAAATTACAAGTGCTACTTCAGTGAACACAGCCTTATTGCTGATATGGAGAAATTTTAGTGGTCTAGATAGATCAGACCTGTCACAATACTTCCTTAAGCCAAAGCCTAATTTGGAGCAAGGCCCTTACTCTTTTCAGTTCTATGAAGGCTGAGAGAAGTGAGAAAGCTACCAAAGAAAAGCTTGAAGCTAGCAGAGTTGGTTCATGAGGCTTAAGGAAGGAAGCCATCTGTATAACATAAAAGTGCAAGGTGAAGCAGCAAGTGCTGATGTAGAAAGTACAGCAAGTTATTCAGAATGTTTAAGATCTAAGATAATTGATGAAGGTGGCTATAGAAAACATATAAGGCTGATGCAACAACCTTATATTGGAAGAAGATGCTATCTAGGATTCTCCTAGTTGAAGAGGAGAAGTCGGCTGGGTGTGGTGGCTCACACCTGTAATCCTAGCACTTTGGGAGGCGAAGGTGGACAGATCACAAGGTCAGGAGTTTGAGACCAGCCTGGCCAACATGGTGAAACCCCATCTCTACTAAAAATACACACAAAAAAATAGCCAGGCGTGGTGGCTTGCATGTGTAATACCAGCTACTCAGGAGGCTGAGGCAGGAGAATTGCTTGAACCCGGGAGGTGGAGGATGCAGTGCGCCGAGATTGCGCCACTGCTCTCCAGCCTGGGCAACAGAGCAAGGCTCTGTCCCAGGAAAAAGAAAAAAAAAAGAGAGAGGAGAATTCAGTGCCTGGATTCAGAGCTTCAAAGCTCGGGCTGACTCTCTTATTAGGGGCTAATGCAACTGGTGACCTTAAGTTGAAGCCAATGCTTACTTACCATTCCAAGAACCCTAGGGCCCTTAAGAGTTATGCTAAATCTACCATACGTGTGCTCTATAAATGGAACAACAAAGCCTGGATGACCGCACATCTGTTTGCCGCATGGTTTACTGAATATTTTAAGCCTATTATTTAGACATACTGCTCAGAAAAAGGATTCCTTTCAAAATGTTACATCTCATTGACAACTCACATGGCAACCTAAGAGCTTTGCTGGGGATGTACAAAGAGATTAATGTTGTTTTCATGCCTGCTAACGCAACATCCGTTCTACAGTCCACGGATCAGGGAGTAATTTCAACTTTCAAGTCTTATTATTTAAGAAATGCAGTTAGTAAGGCTGTAGCCACCATAAATAGTGATCCGTCTGGTCTGGACAAAGTAAATTGAAAAGCTTTTGGAAAGGATTCACCATTCTAGATGCCACTAAGAATACTTCTGATTCATGAAAGGAGGTAAAACTATCAGCATTAACAAGAATTTGTCAGAGTCTAAGCCTCATGGATGTCTTTGAGGGGTTCAAGACTTGAGTGAAGGAAGTTACTGTAGATGTGGTAGAAATAGCAAGAGGACTAGAATTAGAAACGGAACCTGAAAATGTGACTGATTTGCTGCAATCTCATGATAAAAGTTTAATGAATGAGAAGCTGATTCTTATGGATGAACAAAGTGGCTTCTTGAGGTGGAAACTACTCCCAGTAAAGATGCTGTAAACATTGTTGAACCAACAAGGAGGGATTTAGAATGTTTTATAAAGGTAGTTGATAAGGCAGCAGCAGGGTTTAAAAGGATTGACTCCAGTTTTCGAAGTTCTGCTGTGGGTAAAATGCTATCAAACAACATTGCATGCTACTGAGAAATCTTTTGTGAAAGGAGGAGTGAATTGTTGAAGCAAACTTCATTATTGTCTTATTTTAAGAAATTGCCACAGTCACTCCAACCTTTAGCAACCATCACCCTGATCAGTCAGCAGCCATCAACATGGAGTCAAGACCCTCCACCAGCAGAAAGATTACAACTCACTAAAGGCTCAGATGATCATTAGCATTTTGTATCAGTAAAGTATTTTAAAATTAAGGTACACACATTGATTTTTAGACATAATGCTATTGCACACTTAATAGACTGTGGTATAGTATAAACGTAACTTTTATGTGTACTGAGAAACAAAAAAATTCATGTGATTTGCTTTATTGTAATATTTGCTTTATCATGGTGTTATGGAACTAAACCTACAGTATCTCTGAGGTATGCCCATATTCACTGAATACCTGTTGTAATCCAGACGTCATGCTAAACAAAGGGGATAGAAAGATCCAAGTGAAACAAA
The DNA here is from genome assembly GCF_000001405.40 of Homo sapiens. Lineage (NCBI taxonomy): Eukaryota > Metazoa > Chordata > Mammalia > Primates > Hominidae > Homo > Homo sapiens. The sequence continues at coordinate 54,411,814 of NC_000003.12, forward strand.
AAACAAAAAAGAGCCAGGATATCACCTGTTTGATGTTCATTTACACAAACTGCTGCTTAACTACACTTGTGATGAGTGTTATTTTTTATTTCACTTTGTAAAATTTGCATACAGTACAATGTGTAGGTCGGAAAACTTGAAGTTTGACTTCATAAGGAGAGTTCCTTTCTGCCCTCTTTGAATTCAGCTTCCTTCTGTCCTTCACAGTAAACCATTCTTGTGATTGCTAACATCATAAATTAGTTTTATATATTCTTGAACTTTATAAAAAATAGAATAGTATAGTACGTAGTCTTTTGTGTCTGGTTTCTTTTATTGATCATAATGTCTGATATTCGTCCACAGTGTTGGATGAATTCTTTCTTCTTTTCTGATGTAAACATTGGATACTGTACATTTCTTCTAAATGGTGCTTTCACTGCATTCTCCTCTCTCTCATTTTAATATATCCTGTTTTCATTATCTTTCAGTTCAAAATGTTTTCTAATTTTCCTTGTTAATGCTCCTTTAACCTGTGGTATTAAAGTCTTCAAATATGATTGTGGATTTGTTTATCTGTTTAGTTCTGATGGATTTTTGTTCATGTATTTTGAAACTCTTTTTATTAGGTGTTACACATTTAGGATTGCTTTGTCTTCTGGTTAAGGTTATCATTTTATCTTTTAGATTTTATCTTTTATCATTAAGAAATATTCATATTAGTGTGAATATTCCTGGTTTTGCAGCAGTAGCTTTTATATGGTGTATCTTTTTTCTGTACCTTTACTTATAACCTGTCTGTAATTCTGGTCTTGTTCTTTTTTTTTTTAGTCTGACAACCTCTGCCTTTTAGTTGAATGGTTTAGTCATTTACACTTTATGTAATTATTCATATAATTGGATTTGCCTTCTTATATACTTTCTCTCTGTTTTTGTTGTTGTTGTTGTTCATTTCTTTTCCTGTCTTCTTTTGAGTTAATTGAATGTGCTTTAGCACATCACTTAATTTCTCTATTGTCTTTAAATCTACCTTAATTTTTGGTATTATCATTTATCTTTTATATATGTTATAAATCTCATAATGTAACATTTTTGTTTTGCTTTTGATTTTGCTTTAAATGGCTATCTTCTAAAGAAATTAATGTAAAGACAATAATATATTTACCTACATATTTACCATTTCTGACACTCTTCATTCCTTCATATAGAGTTGAGTTTCCATTTGTTATTTCTCTTCAGCTTAAAGACCCCTTTTAGCAATTTTTAATTTTTGCTTTGCAAGTCTGGTAGCAATACCACTCAGCTTTTGTTTATCTAAAAATATCTTCGTTTTAACCTCATTTTGGAAGGATAATTTTGCTGGAAATAGAATTGTGAATTGACAGCTAATTCTTTTTCTTTTAGCATTTTAAGGATGTAATTCCATTCTCTTCTGATCTTTAGTGTTTCTGATGATATATCCGCCAACATTTGTATCTTTGTATCTTTGTTCTCCTGTATTCAGTGAGTCATTTTTCTCTTCTGCTTTCAAGAGTTTTCTCATTATGTTTGATTTTCAGTGTACTACACAGTGTGATAAGGATGTTTCTAGATGCATATATATATCTATATATATCTATATATATAGATATCTATATATATATATATCTGCTTGCTCTGCTTGGAGTTTGCTGACATTTTAAAATATTCTAACTATATTTGGAAATTTTTAAATAATTATTTCTTCAAAATGTTACCTGCCCCTTTCTCTTTATATTTCCTTCTGGAACTTAAATGATATCTATGTTACATTGCTTAATATCCTCACTGTGGCTCTTTTCATTTGTTTCCAACCTGTAATTTATCTACAAGTTTATTAACTTTTTCTTCTGTACTCTCCAATCTTCCATTAAAATCATTTAGTGACTGTTTTATTTCATATATTGTATTTTTAGTTCCTGGATTTTCATTAAATCTTTTTTTTATTTTCTATTTCTTTGCTGAAATTCTCCATCTATACACTGATTATGTTTTTTTTTAAGTCTTTGAATATACTGACAATAACAGTTTTAAATTCCTTCTCTGGTAATTTCGCCATCTGGTTCCTTTCTGTTTCTTTTGACTGCTTTTTCTTTTTAAGTCACTTTTTTTTTTTTTGCCTCTTCACTTGTCTAGTAATTTCTTATAGTATGCTAGACATTGTGTTATATGTTTTACTGATTTGTATACATTTACTTATAAGATTCATCCATGTAATGTAAGTTTAAATCAATTAAATTTATACTAAGAAATAGTATAGTTTAAATCAATTAAATTTATATTAGGAAACAATTATTAAAGAGATGAAAAGGAGAGAATGATATACTACATAGCAGGGCAGCCTCCAGTTTGATCTTGTGCATTCTAACATTATATCAGCAGTGAGAACAACATTGACTTATTCATTCCAAAAGAACTACACAAGGCCATCTTCTAGATAAATGAAAGAGAAAAATGCATTTCTGTTATAGAATCTTGAAATGTAAACATTGTTTCTGAAAACCTTATAACTTTGACAGCTTAATTGTATTAGTACCATCCCTTTCTAAATCTATATTAATGTATTGATATTGACAAGTTTAAAGACAAAAAGTGCAACTTTACAGTAATGATAATTGATAAGGTTTTGTTTGAACAGTCATTTTATTTTGCAATTTAGAGGGAGAAAATACCATTATTTGCTTCTTCCAAAGTTGTCTTTTATTTGCCTGTGCAAAGTTACCACGTTAGTGACCCTCTTTTTTTCTTTGCCGCTTATGTGTTTAGAAACTCTGGTCTTTTTATTCCTAATTGCATGAATAATGAACAACTTGGAAAAACTCCTATATCTTTTCCCCATTGCCCTAATTTTTCTTGTTACAACATTTTTTTTTCTATTGTGACTATAAGTCTTAATTTGTGGGTAATGGTGGCTACAGAAGTCTGAACTGTTCATTTATAAAGTGAATTCTTTCCTACCAAAGTCCTTGGCTCTTTTATTATTCTTTTAACTTTTTTTTTTTTTTTTTCCAACTGGGCTTTCTCAGAGCCTGGGGATATTTATTTTAAATAAATAGTTGTTTCAAACACATTTGTTTTAAATAATTCATTTTAAACACAATATGTCACCAATTTCAATTTTATTAAATATTTCAATGAACAAATACTTCTGAAGTTTCGTTTTATTGTTTTTACATACACAGTGTGATTGCGGTGTTTCAGACGTCAAAAACTTTGTAAAGGGGGCATTTGGGGACACCAGAGCGTTCTTGGCATATCCGAAATTATGCTAGACAAACCCTTCATGGTTCTGTTAATTATAATATTCAGAGTCCCACAGTACATTTCCATAAAACTTAGTGTTTCTTTCATTAAGATGGCTGACTGCAGAAATCATTGGCAGACCCCAGAAATTACCTCAGGATCTTTCTCCAGAAAATTCTCTGACAGTAAAGGGGAATGCCCTTAGGTTGTTGATTATTCACTAAGAATCTTGTGATCCAGGGATTTGCCAACTACTGTTTAATTTTTAAATTAAACCTTGAATCTGGTGGCAATCCCGAAAGTAGACAACTCACCATAAATTTTCCACTCTTATTTATGTCTGTTAATTTACCTGATAGGAATTAGAATTAATTCTTTTCTACTTTCAAGTTATTTTTTGATGTAGATTTTCATAATATACATATCTCCAAGCATATGCCTGTGGCATGGTAATCCTAATTTCTTCCAATTAAAAATTATTTTATGACTAACAACTTTAGGATATTTCTCCTTGTTGGTAATAATACTAATAGGATATAGTAACAATGATAAGAGTAATAGACACCATTATTGATAATGTGTTAAGTACAGGCAGTGGCATAAGTCCTTCACAGACATTATTTCATTTATTCTTCTCCCTATAATCCTGTGGGGTAGATACTATTATCTCTGTTTTACATATGGAGAAACTAAAGATTGAGAGGCCAAGTGATGGACCCAAGTTACAGACAACAGTGGATGGATGAATCACACCTAAGTCTTTCTGGCTTCAAAGACCAGTAAGCCATATTGCCTCAGAGGACCATAGGTTGTAACATTGACCTCATTTTTCACTGGACAAAATCTTGTGAAGAAATAAATTGAAGATGAAACTTAGGGATTATTTGAAAGATCTGTCAAGTAATTCAAAAATAAATTTTCTAGAATGGTAAATTCTGACCCAGAAATGCGTGAAACCCAAAAAAACCCCTCTAAATTAGATATAATAACTTAGTAAAAATGATTAAACATTGCTTTATTATTATTACAGATGTATACATAAGGCGAACAGTTTGTCATTTGGCAATTGGATCTATTCTCCACATAGCACGTGTAATCTTTTAAAATACAAATATGGTTAAGCTACTTAGTTGTTGACACTTGCGTGTTGCTTACACTTAGAATAAAATATTAACTCCCAGGTCACTTGCAAAGCTCTGCACACCTGCCCAAGATTATGCAGTGGATTGGCAGCTACCTCCAATGTTTTCCCTTGGTGTCTGCTCTGCTCCTGTCTCATTCCCTTCCATTTTTGGAGCCCCCAATAGGATTCTTTTTGTCCCTTTTCTGTCTCCTCCAGCAAAATATAAGCTCTGTGAGAGTAGGCACCTGACATCTAGTAGCATGTCCACAAATGTTTGTTAGAATCTGTTACATCCATAATGGTGACACAGTTAAAAGCCACAGGTGATTGGTTATCATCAGAGTTGTGAATTGTTAGTAATTCATGAAGTTGTCATCTGTTTATTTCAATTAGAAAAAAAGCTGATTCTTTCTTTAAAAAATACTTATAGCTTAATCATAGGAGATTCAATTATTGCCGTAAAATTCAAACACATTTTCATATACTGACAGGAGACCATTAGTGAAACAGCTGGCTTTTGTTGTTACTTATAATAAATTCATCAGTTTGCTGGTTTTCCTCATCTAGATGATATTTTTCTGCCACTTAATATGCAATTATAAATATATAACTATACAATTAATTATGAACAAGGTAATTGATTATATTTAATGGCTGTTAAATTAATACTTATAAGGTTATTACACAGATCTATGCTTATAAAGAAAACATTTTTTAAATTGGATACAAAAAATTGGAAGGGAAACATACTCATACAACTCAAGTTGCCACTGTCAGGCAGGTGTCCACCCGTCTCCACAGTCCCATACTCAGAGCTATAGACATGGTATGTCTTTGGCAGGCAGTCTCTTAAAAAATACAGGTAGGAACTCAGAGGGAGGCATAATCGGCTTCTAAGGATGAGTGCTTCATAGCAAAAATTGTGTGTGTTGAGGTTCTGCCTGAATATTTGTGTCAATCAGAAAGTATACTTCTAACGTTATCATCTTGGAATACCTTTAAAAGCCATGAGAGTCAGTCTTTCATGGAAAATCCTAGATCTGACATTTCACTTGTTCACAGCAAAATAAAACAACAACAGCACAAACAATTGGGAACACAAAGCAAAACAAAACAGACTTTCCCATGCTGGTAGGTATTAATGGAAGGTAAAATAATAATTTTCTTGTTTGGAGTATTTTCTTTAGTAGCCAGAGATTCTGATGTTTTACTAATCAACTGTGTGAACTTGGGCAAGTCATATGTTCTTTCAGACTACGAGTTGGGACTAGTTTATTTTCTTTCCTGATCTAGAATTATCTGAGTCTTTAAGATTCTGATCTTTTACATGGAAAGGATAGCAACTATTTTTCTGCAGGTTGTATGCTCATTCTTTTAGGAAATCTAGCAACTTCTACAGATATAGCATTATCCTAAGGGAAATAATGTCTGAGAATAAAATTACCTATTATCTCCCTACCCCCTCAAATAAATATAAACTTTCTACTTTAAAACTGAAGCAGGTAAATTCCAAGGAAAGATTGATTGGATCATTCACACACAGATCCTGCAAATAATTTTATTATTTTAGATGACAGGGGTTCATGTTTGTTGTGGTGTGTGTGTGTATCTGTGTGTGTGGGGGGGGGGGTGGGGGGGTTACTCCTGTCACCCAGGCTGGAGTGCAGTGGTGTGATCATGGCTCACTACAGCCCGGACCTCCCAGGCTCAGGTGATCCTCCCATCTCAGCCTCCTAAATAGCTGGGACTATAGGCATATGCCACCACACCCAGGTAATTTTTACATTTGTAATAGGAGACAGGGTTTTGTCATTTTGCCCAGGCTGGTCTTGAGCTCCTGGGCTCAAGTGATCCATCCGCCTTGGCCTCCCGAAGTTCCGAAATTACAGGCATGAGCCACTGCACCCAGCCAAGGGTTCTTTTGAATAATATAAAAGGACTTTTTTTGGGTAATTTTAAGAACTTAACTTTCAAACCGTAATGCCTGTTTTACTCTAGACGTTAGTTTGCTGTCTAGTTGAAGATATTAATACTCAGAACCAGATTAAGCCTTTGCTTTGACTTACTTGGAAGTAATTCTGTCCTGCATATGAATGTATTCATAATCTATCCTTCTTCCTCAGAAGTTTCAGTTTCACCATGAAATGTTTTTGTGTGTGTATTTTAAAGCCTTTTGTCTTGTTCTACTTGAGATTGGCTGAAATGTAGAGGTCACTCTGATTAAGAGGAGGAAGGCTGGGCCAGAGGAAAAGGAGGAATTATAGCTTAAAGGCGATATTTTTTGAAATCCAGGTCAAGAAGAATGATGAGCCACAACACAGCTTTTGTCTGGTCAGAATGCCTCTTCGATTACAAGGAAATAAAAGATGATTCCTTATGTCTGCCTCTGCTGTTTGCTGATTAATATTCTGGATGAGGTAGATATTCACCTTTGAGGAAATGTCTTCTGAAAACAGAAAGACACAGATTTGAATCTTGGCTTTTTTTCTCACTGGTGGTGAGACTGGGTATATTTCTTACATGCCTAGTTTGTATAGTTAGGAAGAGGATACCCTCCCTACAGGGTGTCAGGCTCCCACAGGCCAGTTGATCTACATGAAGTATTAATATTTGGTATACTGTTTGGTAGAGATGATGATCCCAGTTTGGGGTAACCTTTATTATTATTGTCGTTATTATTTTGCCCCATACCCTTGAAATACAAAGATGTTGATTATGTTTATAATTGCATATTTAACCTCTACCTCCTTTGTAGACTGTGGCCTCCAGGGACCACGTCTGCTTTCAGCCCTGTCAGCAGAGCTTAAGCACACATCTGGCACTCAGTAACTATTTGAAGGACTGAATGACTCAAGGAAAAAGTGGAGGATCATCTCAAGAGTTAGATATGCAGTAGGATGAGAGTTAAAATACAATTTGCCAAAGAGGAAAAGTGACAATGCCGCCAGCAGAATTGGGAGTCACTTCCGCAGTAGGAAGGCTGTTCAGTCTCGGAACTTGAGCCATGTCAAGCCTCTTTGGACCCTGGTGGCCCACAGGATGGGGTGTCCTGTGTCCACAGAGGGGCTGTGCTTAAACCCTTGGTCACACTTATACCCTCCTGGGTGTGGGTGGCAGATAGAAGCCCCCATCTTACTAGTCAGAGAGAACAAAAGACCTGGAACAGTTTCCCTGTGCAGTCAGCCAGTTTTGGGCGCTAGGCCAGCTGACTGCTCAGTTTCATTTCTTGTTGTTTTACACAAGTACCTTTATATATGAGTAGAGAAACACGAACAAGAGACTGCTGTGAGGACACATTTTATACTATTGTTCCAATTTCATTAATGGCCTTGAAGGATATCCCTCTTATGATTGCCACAAGTATCCTGCTTTCATTATTAAATACCAGTTATTTATTATATTCTATACTTCTTTTTGGCTCTGTGTGCCAACTTTTTCTGGGACCTCCTGAGTTAAAAGTGACATTTAACTCTAGGGCAGGTAGTCTGAGAAAATGCTGTCCCACTGAAGTTTCCAGGAGCACCTCCATGCTCTTAGACATATCTTAGCACTTACAGATGTCTGGAATCTAGGCCTTTATTCATTCAGCTTTAATTTTTTGTTTTATGAGATGGAGTCTTGCTCTGTCACCCAGGCTGGAGTGCAGTGGCATGATCTTGGTTCACTGCAACCTCCGTCTCCTGGATTCAAGCAATTCTTCTGTCTCAGCCTCCTGAGTAGCTGGGACTACAGGTGCGCGCCACCATGCCTGGCTAATTTTTGTATTTTTAGTAGAGACGGGGTTTCACCATGTTGGTCAAGCTGGTCTCAAACTCCTGACCTCAGGTGATCCACCCGCCAAGGCTTCCCAAAGTGCTGGGATTACAGGCGTGAGCTACTGCACCCGGCCTATTCAGTTTTTGTTTGTTTGTTTGTTTGTTTGTTTTCAGATGGAGTCTCGCTCTGTCGCCCAGGCTGGAGTTGAGTAGTGCAATCTCAGCTCATTGCACCCTCCGCCTCCTGAGTTCAAGTGATTCTCCTGCCTCAGCCTCCTGAGTAGCTGGGTCTACAGGCACACGCCACTATGCCCAGCTAATTTTTGTATTTTTAGTAGAGATGGGGTTTCACTATGTTGGCCAGGATGGTCCCGATCTCTTTACCTCGTGATCCACCCACCTTGGCCTCCCAAAGTGCTGGGAGTACAGGCATGAGCCACCGCACCTTGTCCCTATTCAGCTTTTAAAGACAACATTACTGTCAGATTAAAATCAGCAAAATTCTCTTTGGTTTAGTGTCGTCTATATTGGACTTTCACAGGTCTCATATGCCCCAACTTCATCTGCAGGTTTTGACCTCAGATCTCAGTGACATCTCCTGCCAGGTCCACTTCCAGTCTCAGGTTATTATTTGAGAGGAGTTACAGAACCTTGGCTCAGATTCACAAGGTGTGCCTTACACTTTAGACTGTTAGGCAGCATTTGGGGGTTATGACCATCAAATTGAATCCTCAGACCAATCTCAGGGGAGGAGATGTACTATTATTGCCCCTACTTCATAAATGACCAAACTGACACCCAGAGAAGTTAAATAAATTACCAAAAGTCACAGGGGAGGAAGTGCTGCACCTGGGATGCAAAATTAGCTGAGTTTGTTGTTGTTTGTTTTTTCTGTGACCAGTGGGTAAACGTTAGGATTTCTGGAAAGCAGCTTTTGTTGATGAATATTTGCCACATTTTTCTTTGATCTGGTAGTGTGGAGTGATGGGAAGTTGTAATAAATTTGGAAAACAGACTATCAAAGGTACAGGTTGAATTGAGTCAGGTAGGCGGCTTTTCTGTTTTCTTCCTCTATTGGGTTACAGCATGGTGTCCTGTAGTATCAATGCTATTGCATCTGTATTTCCTAGTCACCCTCTACAATATCCATGATGCTCTTTCCTGGAAGTTTTGCTCTGAGATGAAGCAAGAGGCACCCGTGGTCAGATAGATGCTGGGGCAGTGAATGTGTTTGTGGTGTGTGGGAACATATCTATAATTGGCAGCATTTCTATACCAAGGGCCTTGTGTGCTTCTTACTGTAGAAGACAAATCTTTCCTTGGGTGAATATCTTTGTTTGTTTATTGTTTTCTTGGATGTGCTTGCAAAAGAAATGTTCTAGAATATTTTCCCTGAGGAGGAAAGATTCTAGAATATTTTTCCTGAGACTTGTGACAGTCGGAGGTGCCTGATAGAGTGAATCAGACACTGTTCTTGTGTTTGCTTTTGCTCCCTCTGCCCTTTTTTCTATTATCTTTCAGCTTAATAGACTAAAGAGGGGAAAGAGGCAGAGCAGGTGACACCTGCTCCTGAGCCAGGAGGGCCTCAGGGGTCCCTTGGGAGTGTCTGCGGATGGGATTCTATATACCCTTCCAGTGTGGCAGCAACCAGCTCTGGATTTGAAAAGTTCACCTGGACTCCACAGAGGGGTGGGGCAGCGGTTGTTGTCATATTTGCTTTTTCTGGGAGAGGTAACTGTTTCCTGCTGCACGGTTATCATGTTGAGGGTTGGGAAGCAGGGCATGTTGACGATAAGAATTTAATGAATGCATATGAGAAGAGGAGATTCAAGCCACTGAGCAGTGTATTGCCCTAGGCGACTTCACGTTTCAGGATGGTGAGATATTTAAGGGAGTATATTTCAGATCATCATGGAAGAAAAGATGTGCAAGAAGCACTGGGATAAGAGCCCTTGTCCTTCCCTGTGTTTCCAACAGCAGGTGGGCAGTCCACCACACCGAGAGCCTTATGAATCACCTCTCAGTTTTGTCCATTGTCCTTGTTCTTATAATTCATTTGTAGCTTTAAAAATATGATTAGGTCTGCCCTTGTGCTCATTATTCCATGTGGCAGAGAGGACGTGTTTTAATATATCCTTCGCTTCTAATTGTAGTGTCTGCATGTCAGGGTTCACTGGTTGGAGAAAACGAGCCCTGCTTTTGTAAAGCAGTTAATTGAACCTGGTAACGATGATTGCCTGCAGTCCCCTGGGGTGGTTCTGGTCCCTGGGCTTCACCCCTCATGGTGGTTTCCAGCGGCTAATGTGCTGTGACACTAAAGATTTTTCAAAAGGTAACAGCAATAGCAAATTGGAGTTTGTGTACTACAGGCCCTAATTGCAGTAGTGTTAGTAACCTTTTCTGAGTTTGTATCCGTCTCTGGTGCTAGGGACGTTTGAAGAGCATGTTTCCAATTTTGAAATGTTTAAGAAAATGTTTAAGGAAACAGACAAAGGACCAGTATGAAGGATATAGAAAGAACCCCTTCCATATCAATAACAACAATATCAAAATAAAAACTCATCAGTATCAATCTGCTGCAAAGAAACAGTAGATATATAGGCAACAGATACGAAGAGTGAGTTGACAGGAGTGGAATTCCATGGACAAAGAAAAGATGCTCAATCTCATTAGTAATCAGGGAAAAGTAAATTAAGGCAGCACCATTTTAACAATCAGTTGGCAAAATAATAATGATGATGATGATGATGATGATATCAAATGTTGGTAAGGGCCTGGGGAAATGAGGTTCTTGCTGGTATAGCCACACTGCAGATCCATTTTGCAGAAGATTTTAAAACTAAAAATGCACAGACCCTACGAACCAGCAACTCCACGCCTTGCAATCTGCCTACAGAAACACTAACTAACACATGTGCACCAGAATGCGGTGTTGTTTGATTTAGCAAAAATTGACTAACTGCCTAAATGTTTGCCTGTGTGGGAAAAGCTAAAGCAACTGTGGCCTATCCGTGGAATGGGACAGCAGGCAGAAACGTTATTCCTTCTAGAATGAAGCAATTCTACAGGTAATGGCTGGGATGATGCCCAGAGAATATTGTTAACTTTAAAAGGCAGAGGCAGGATTCAGAATTATTTGTACAATATGATATAATGCAAGTTAAAAGGGAAACTGATCATATATATTTTGCATGAATAGCTAAATACGTCTATCATGAGAGAGGAAAAAGTCTGTTGATGACATCTGGGAAGGGCCTGGAGTTAGCAGTGGGATCAAAGGGGATATGTGCCTTATCTGGGATGCTTAGATTTGTGTAAGAAAATTATTTGGGGGTAATCAAAATTGAATTTAAAACATTTTTAAGATAAAAAGAAGAAATGAATTAGAGGGTAAATATTCATTGGTGTCTACAACTTGTTTATAATAGCTTGCAACCTGGCATTTTTTAATTTAAGCCTCAGGATCCTACCTGGCGTTTTGGGGAAAGTCAACTGAGACCTGTGTGCCTCCCTCTCCTTTGCACCCTCAGCCCCTAGTACCGTGCCTGGCACAGAGCTGGTACTGATTCGCTATGCTCTGAATTCATATTGAGCTTGGAGAGCAATGCTTATGTGGAGGGCTTTGTTGACTGTGGGCTGCAGGCATGTATCAGTGATCAGTTATCATCATCTGCCTTGTAGTCAGAAGTGTGCCCCTGGCTTCTGATTCTGGAGAGTGGACTCTGTACATAGGCCCTGGTTTTGAATAAGCCTCTCTGGTTTTTCTGAGTAAAAAGTGCCTTAGCCTGTGTCAGAGTGGGGATTCCATCCTTTCCAGCTTGATGCTTTTCTCTGACCTACCTGGAGCGTTAGGAACTAGGCCCACCTCATGGGTCTGTGACATGCCCGGGAGCACAGGCTCCATATTCAGGAGGGTGCCATGCTGGGTTTAATGCTCTTCTGTTGCCATCTTGAAATTCTTATTTTTTTTTTTTTTTTGAGACAGGGTCTGACTCTGTCACTCAGGCTGGAGTGCAGTGGCGTGATCACGGCTCACTGCAGCCTCAAACCCCTGTGGTCAAGGGAGCACAGCTCAGCCTTCCAAGTAGCTGGTACTATAGCTGCACACCACCATGACATGCTAATGTTTTCCGGGTTTTTGTTTGTTTGTTTGTTGGGTAGTGTCTGTGTGTGTGTGTGTTTGTAGAGACAGGGTCTCACTTTGTTGCCCAGGCAGGTTTAATAATTTTTGAACAAGGGGCCCTGTATTTTCATTTTGTACTGGGCCTATAGATTATGTAACCAGTCTTGGTTAGAGTGAGCTATGGGACCTTCCCACAGCCAGGCTGCAAAAAGAGGCAGGAGCCCCTGGGGTGCAGGTGCAGCTGTGAGGAGAAGCTCCTAGCTCCTGGTTCCATGAAAAGCAAAAAGTGCTAATGTTGATTGAGGTACAAAAGGAGCTCTTTATGACAGAATGGACTTTCGTGTTTTTCAAAGGAGGCCACAGAATCTGTTGGTGTTTTTGCCCTGAGGACAATAACCACTCCCTCCTTTTGTGCCTGGATGTACATTAGCTGATCACATTTCCTGATGGGCCTGAGCCTCTCTGAAGGAAGGCTTTACTACATGACTCCTGGAGATGACGAGGCTTTTATCCTCTGCTGAATAACTCTGTTTTGCATTCCAGTCAGATGCTGAGCTGCAGATGGAGCCAGGACCTGGGGGTGGGCTCTGTACTCTGGGGATGGAGCAAGTGGCCAGGAGGCAACACCTGGTCTACTGTGGTCCACTGCACTTAGATTTCTCCGCACTGCCTCTCCTATCCTTGCCATTCTCTCCCTGCATCCTCCCATCCCCACATCCTGTATTTCCCATATCTGCATCTCTCACATCCTCTTCATCTCTGCATCCCCACTTTCCTGCATTCTCCATATTCCTGCATCGTCTGCATACCTGCATCCCCAAATCTTTCCGATTACCACGTTTCTGCATCCCTGTGTCTCTGCATCCCATCTGCTTTGCTCACAGAGCTGGACGTGGGGGTACAGAAAAAAGAGAGAAGGACCCCTGACCTGTTCTGTCTCCTCCTTGAAGCAGCCTCAGCTAGTGAAGGAACATGGATTTAGAAGTCAGAAAGAGCTGGGCGCGGTGGCTCACGCCTGTAATCCCAGAACTTTGGGAGGCTGAGGCAGGTGTATCGCCTGAGGTCAGGAGTTCGAGACCAGCCTGGCCAGTGTGGTGAAACCCCGCCTTTACTAAAAATACAAAAAAATTAGCCAGGCGTGGTGGCAGGCACCTGTAATCCCAGCTACTCAGGAAGCTTAGGCAGGAGAATAGCTTGAACCGGGAGGTGGCAGTTGCAGTGAGCCGAGATCGTGCCATTGCACTCCAGCCCGGGTGACAAGAGTGAAACTCCATCTCAAAACAAACAAACAAACAAACAAAGAAGTCAGAAAGATTTAATTTCAAAGGCCAGGTAGCCATTTAATAGCTGCGCAAATTCTTAGGCAAGTTACTAACTCCTCTGATACACAGGTTAAGGATAAAATGAGAGAGGAATCTAAAGCACCAGGCTTAAAATTGTTTAAGCATCTTCCCACTCTGCTGTTCATCTCCTTTTCTGGAATTTCCCATGTATCCCTGTTGTCCTCTCTCCAACCCTCAGCTCTACCCCACCTGAACACCTGAGGATACCAGAAATGGCCAAGGCAGAGTGGGTTCGGGTTTTCCTCTGAAATTTAGGTAAATCAGTGAACTCACCTCTCTCTCATGATCACTTTTGGGGGAGCTCAGATGTTGCTTGTGTCAGTGAACCAGCACTGAGTTCCAGACTCTGAAGCACTAGGCCCTGGGTCAGGCCCTAAGGCTAGAGAAGGGATGAGTTCCCTGCCCCGGAGCATCCCACTGCTCTGCCTTCTAACAGCAGACTAAAGCTTTTGGAGGTCTGGCTCAATGAGTGATCTTGCTGCCCTTCCACAGACGTAGAGGGGACGTACACAGATGGGCCCTTTGGTAGCCCAGATTTCATCAGGGCAGTTAAAATCAGCATACTCCTAGCCTCAGAGACAGTAGCCACCTGCATGGCACGTTGGAAATTGGTTAGTTTAGATAAGAGTTGAGTTGTTCCTTCTGGTCAGACAGTTGAATTTCATGACTATAACTCAGGTGTGTGTCCTGGAGAATTTTTCAGATAGACGTCATCTCTGGCTTACATAGTGGTCAAGAGAAGAGGGGAGGGGCCCCTCTGTATCATAGATTAGCTGGTTGGAGACAGCTGGTAGACACATTATTATTTTATTCTGAAGGCACAGGATATTTGCAAAGTTTACTTCAGGCACCAAACACTAATTTGAAATATATATATGTTTAAGAATGCCATAAAATAGCAGTAATTTTTATAGCTCTAAGTTATGTTGTTGTTCTTTAGCCTTCCGTCTTTGTTATAAACTGCACTTTAGAGATGTGTCATAATATTTGCCTTTCCACTCCTTTTAATGGGTTGGGATATTTTGGAATCAATTACACAGTGCTTTTGTTTCTCACATTAAATTTACCACCAGTTATTCCCTTAAATATTTTGAATACTGAAAATAATTTCTTAGGTGACATTAATTATGATGCACCTCCCTACTGAGCTATTCTTCCCTGGCAATATTAATGATAGTGTTTCAGCATTCCTGACTGGCTCTGTCATTAATCCTTCATAAATACCAGCCCCAATTAGTGTGCACAAGTGAAATCAGTTGAGCAGTGAAATGTGTGTGCCACAAATAGAGGATAGATGCTGTGTCTGTCCCTTGAGGAACAACTGAACTTGTCAGCTGTCAAATCTGAATTCTTAATAGTTCTTGTGTAAAAATGCATTCTTTGATTTTTTTTTTCATTTTACAAAGTAATTTGTAACCACAGTTGGTGGTGATGTCTGTTTGTAAAGTCTTATCCTTTGATTTCTTTGCATTCTGTTAAATCAGAAAATCCTTTCTAGATTCAAAGATAATATGCTGTTAATGTGTCTGCTTGTACTGTTTCTACCTTTGTGTCTTCCTTGACCCTTCCTTGTTTTTCTTTCTCTTCTCTCTCCTTCTCTCTTCCTTCCCTTCTTTCTCCCTCCCTTCCTCTCTCTTCTACCCACCATTCTTTCCTTTCTTTATGTTCTGCGTACCCTTTCTGTGTTTTGGACTGCATTACCAGAAGGCAGGAACGAGACTGTTTACTTGAGTATGTTTACTTGGGCGTGAACTGGGATGCCCTCTGCCTGGTCATTTGGTGTTGTAGAGTGCCAGAAAGCCCTGCACATGTAGGTTATCTGTGCGTATCTGTTGATGAATAAAATTTTTCATAAAACACAATTTTTGAAATGTGTTAACAGAGAGCAGTATTTAAATTAGCAAACATCTCGGACACATGTGCTTCTTCTCCTTGGGTCTCCCATCCAGAAAATGGCCGTTCATTTGGTTAAGATGTGCCGGGAGGGCCTCAGCATCATGCTTGGTGTGCACTCCCAGTTAGGGACCCAGGATTATTTATTTTCAAATTAAGATACTTTTAAAAATGAAAGAGGAGGTATTGATGATTACTCGGACAAGAGCTGGAAGCCAGAACTACCCTAGGCAAATGGTAGGATCTCCAGATACAATATAGGACACACAGTTAAATCTTAAATGTAAATTTAACTGTGCCTCCTGTATTTTTATTTGCTGAATCTGGCAACCTTATTTGTAGTCATAAACACATGAGCCATGCTCCCTGCCAGTGCGGAGCGTCTAGTCTAGTAAGCATAACTCCAGGTTACTGTCCTCAGGCACTATGCTGATGATCTAACATGTCACAACAGGATTCACAGGTTAATAACATCCCCAAGGTCAGACAGGTAGGACATGGTATGGGGAACAAGGGATCAGGACCTGGACCAGAAATCCAGCTGCCTACAAAGCCCTTGTTTTCTCTGTGATACCCTCCTCCCTGACCAGCATTGTGGCAGCAAGGAGCTTCTTTTGCGGGCTTTTAAGAGATTCTGCAGGGAAGTTAAGAGCCCTCAACATGATTTCTCCACTGCTAGATTTTCCAGGCAGCAGGAGGCAACCAGCTGTTTTCACTGTATCAAACCCAAAACATGTCAGGCAGAAAAAATGTCAAGTCATTTTGAAAAATGTCTGAAGCATAATGTGCTTGACAGGGGTGAAATAGCATTGGCCATAGTCACGTAATTACTACCTCAGTGTTTGTTTACCATGCAGCCCTTTCTTCTTCCACTTGAATTAAATCAATCTGAGCAACAATGTGGCTTTATAAAACCCAGGGCTCGGCTGCACACAACAGTTAGACTTTCTCAGGTTCTTCGTAAGCGTGAAACTTGCCAGGTTGACTAAGCAACTTAACAGTTTCTTCCATGTTCATATCTTTAGACTAAACTCAGACAGACTTATTGAATTAAAGTAAATGAAGGTCACCTATTTTTTTCTGCAAACAATAAATGTTAAGATAGGATGAGGCACTGGGGGCCGAGATCTGATTTGAATTTAAGCTGCAGCCAGACACCATAATGTGACCATCCACTAGATGTCGCTGATGATTCGCACCAGTGCAGCTGCAAGTCCATTTATGGATGTTAAAAAAAGTCTTTAAAAATGTTGGGCCAGAGTTAAAAAATCTGGAACTTTGATATATTTCTTTTTTTTTTTTTCACCTTTTACTTTTAAATATCTTCTTTGTGTCCACCCAAATGGGCCTTATTTCTGCTATCAACGATCTCTTTCTACCTTTCAAAATTTAGCAAAAAACAAATTAAAGAGGGTAACAAAAATCTGCCTTATTTAAACCATCTCACTCTTTGTGTATGTTGCCTTTCTTCCAATATTTTTGTGAAACTCCTCAGATGTCATTTCCTTGATGCATTGGGTTAGTCTGTATTAACATAATTTATCTAGTTACTGTAGTGTTCCTACATCCGATGAAGTTGATTTTCCTTTTTACAGATTTATGCTTGATTTATTGTGAGGAAGGAAAAATCTGTCTTACCATTGGGGCTTTGCCCTTGACACTAGTAGAGATCAGATGCCTGTTGTAGCCCAAGGAGGGTGAATCTTTGGTCAGCCCTTATGGCTTAAAGACCCAAGCTGGTGGGATGTACCTGGAGGAAGATGCGATGGTTTGGGATGGGGATTATAAAGCCAGCCCTCTCTGGTATATGGAATAAATTCTCAGTTGGGCAACAACAAAAGCAGAAAGACTGGCAGCTGCTATAGATTTCCACTCTTAATGAGCTACATTTTTTTCCCCCAGAGCATGGCTAATATGGGATAGGATCCTCAAATTTAAAAAAGGAATGTTAAAAGGGAGCAAGATTAGCTTTAATCAACTAAAAAAAAATCATAAAACTAAATTGCAGAAAAACTTGAGACCCATGGAAAGTTCTCTTGTAAATATTATAATGGCAAGCAGTTTTTTTCCTTTCCTTTCCATTTCTTTTCTCCTTGTTTCCTTTATTTCTTTCTTTCTTCTCTCGTAATTTTCAAATGGCAAACCACCTGATTTGGGGAGGAGGGACTGGGTAGGTGAGTGTGTCTGTGATTGTGAATTTCGGCTAGATCCTGTTTTCACAGGAGAATGCTGGTATTTGTAGTACCCTCTTTAAGAGTGGTCATAAGCTTCTCAGCTGTGGCTGAGGAGCCGTTCAGTGAGAGTTGAAAAGACTGGTAGATTTCCTAGGGGTTATATCATGATGGTGCTCTGTAGACAACTGGACTGCGAATAGCACTTTGCCAGACTCTACTCAAGTCCCATGCCTACCCTTGGTACCCAGCAATATGAAGCCCCCTAAAATGTGAAGTACTTGTCTTTTGCCACAGATTTTTCTCGGATGTTGGAATAGCATTCACTTGAGGTAATTTCTGTTTCATTTTATTTTTGAGGTAATTTTTAAATAGCCTTCTATGGATTTCATTATACTGCAGAAAATTTAACATCCGTGAAATAAGAATAACGTAATCATAAGAGGGTTAGATTTCCCAGTCATTGGGAAGAAAAGGCTCTAATTCCCTGATGATAATCTGACAATCTGTTTAGAGCAATAGGGAATGAATGCCCTATAAATGTGTACTTGACTATATTGGAGATGGAAATTGGAAAAAATGCAGCATCAAAACACAAAACACTTTCTGAGTTCCACCATAGTATGAATTAATCATATTTAATGCTAATTATGTCCTTGCTGCGCAACTACTTTCTATGTAAATTGTGGGAAAATGTGAAAACATTTACAAGCCCCAAGCAAGTTTTACAATGAGCTTATATATGCGGATTTGTTATTTATTTGCTAGGTGTCTCTTTCAATCCAAATTATTCTGTGCAGATTTATCAAAATGTTGTGTTGCTATTTTTTACTTTCAAAAACATTACTGATATGTTCCCTCCCCTTCAATCAAAGTGTTAAAAATATTGAGGTTGGGTCAGTAATACAGCTTTCATTGAGTTGTTGAGCTTGTTCAGAATTCTCTATGCGGATATTATGAAGATTGCCCATGGATTATTTGGCTTTTGTGATTTATAACTCTTTGTCTCCAGAACTGACAGTTGGAATTTATACCATCAAGTAACCAGTTTTATATCTTTGATTAAAGTTTTCAACTCAACACATGCAGAAATTGGCTTAATCCTGGACGTGATTTGGTTGCTTGATGGGTTTTGGGTATTCTGGATCCTTTGGATATGTCTAGGGTCTCCCCTGCACTAAGCTCCAAACCACTTGTATCCATGAGTCTCTTCCAGACCTGCAATGACTTTGACTTTTAGACTACAGTTAATGCCTTAAATATATGAAGATTCTGTCATTGGAGGGTTCCTCTACATTTTTTGATTATTAAGGAAATTTGCTTGACAACTAATTCTTTAGTGCAATAACTGATAACAGTTGACCCTTAAACAACACAGGGGCTTAGGGGCGCTGACTCCTGCACAGTAAATAATTTGAGTATAATTTTTGACTCCCCAAAAACTTAACTACTACTAGTCTCCTTTTGACCAGAAGCCTTACCAATAAACATAAACAGTCGATTAACACATATTTTGTGTGTTATATGTAGTATATACCATATTCTTAGAATAGATTAGCTAGAGAAAAGAAAATGTACTAAGAAAAATCATAAGGGGCCTGGTGCGGTGGCTCACGGCTGTAATCCCAGCACTTTGGGAGGCTGAGGTGGGTGGATCATGAGGTCAGGGGATTGAGACCATCCTGGCTAACATGGTGAAACCCCGTCTCTACTAAAAATACAAAAATTAGCCAGGTGCAATGGCAGGCGCCTGTAATCCCAGCTACTCAGGAGGCTGAGGCAGGAAAATCGCTTGAATCCAGGTGGCCGAGGTTGCAGTGAGCTGAGATTGTGTACAGCCTGGGTGACAGAGTGAGACTCCGTCTCAAAAAAAAAAAAAGAAAAAAGAAAAATCATAAAGAAGATAAAATATAATATAGAATATATTTGCTATTAAATGAAAGTGGATCAATCATAAAGGTTTTCATCCTCATTGTCTTCACATTGAGTAGGCTGATTAGGAGGAAGAGGAAGGCTTGTTCTTGCTGTCTTGGGTGTGGCAGAGGTGGAAGAAAATCCACATATAAGTGGACCTGCTCAGTTCAAACCCACGTTGTTTAAGGGTCAACTGTATATATGTATATTTTTAAAATTTTATGGTTATGAAAATATGGCTTTATTTTTATTTATTTTAGACAGTCTCGCTGTGTTGCCCAGGCTGGAGTGCAATGGCGTGATCTTGGCTCACTGCAACCTCCATCTCCTGGGCGGATTCTTGTGCCTTAGCCTCCAGAGTAGCTGGGATTATAAGTGGTGCCATCATGCCTGGCTAATTTTTGTATTTTTAGTAGAGACGGGGTTTCAGCTGTGTTGGCCAGGATGGTCTCGAACTCCTGTCCTCAAGTGAACCACCTGCCTCAGCCTCCCAAAGTGCCGGGATTACAGGCATGAGCCACCACACCTGGCCGACTTTATAGCTATATTAAAATATACATTTCTAGCTTTATCAAAATATGAACTTATAAAATGCATTGATAAAATTGGTTGTTTAAACCTAATGTCCATTCACAGAGGCTCCTTAGATAAATTTCAGCCATCAAAACCATAAGGGTCTATCTGTGGCTGTAATGGTGGAAAAAATATACATGACTGTGTTTTCAGGCAACACGAAAAAAATCAAAACTGCAGAATGCTTTGTATTTTTGTGGTCTCATTTTCATAAATGTGTGTGTTCATAGATATACATCTAAAAGCCTGTAAATCATCAGAATAATAGGATTATAGCTATCTCAACATTCTGATCCTTCTGAACCTTCTAATTTTTATATTATTTTTATTATCAGAAAATAAACTCTTTTCTGTCTGGGATAAACAATGATCTTGTTATTATTATTATTTCAGATCTCTCGACTCACTGTGTGTTTTCAGATGGTGTTATCAATATATAACTAGAGCAAAAAAATGCAGATGTGTTTCTGTAATGAGGTGAATTCTAGAATACAATGTTTTTCTCCAAAATATTTTAATTCATTTTAAAGAAAGAGGAAACGAAAAACATGCTCTTTCCCTAATTATCTGTGATTTTTTTTCCCTTGAAAGCAAAAGTACTGACATCGCATTCTAAGTGTTCAGTGCCAGCGGACCCAGTTGATGTGTTTCTCCCCACCCAGGCTTGGTTAGGATTCTGTTAAGGTATTATTGAAACACTACAAACACATTAAGAATGTGAGGCTTTCAGCATATGCATATTGCTGCTGCTCTGTATATAGATTTTTTTCTTTTCTAAATCCCTGCAGGCATTAATTTTAAGAAAGCCTACTGGATTCAGTGTATTTTAATTAAAATACAAAATGAATATGGAGTAAAGGTTGGCACTTTGGTCAGTTTCCCTAATATGCTGTCTGCATTGTATCTTCTGAGTTCCAATCTCCATGTGTTTAAATGAAGACCCAGGATGACTGGGTCTTGGTTTGATGTCATGGTCTTTTTCACCATGCCTTTTGCGTGGGTCAAAAAAAAATTAAGTGGTGGAATTATTTTTTTAAAAAATTCAAAAGTTTTAAATTTGGGTAGGCTAACACATTTTAATCAGAATATTATGGAGATGATGTTATGATTCCAAGCAAAAAATGAACACACATCTACTTGCCAAATGAATAATAAAATGACTCTGTTGAGCTCAACATTCCAACGCTGGAGGTTGGAAGAGGGAGGAGTGCAGCTAGCTCATTTGGGACCATGAGTGTTGCTTATTGCAGCTATGACTGGAGGGGGATTTATGTACTTGTCCAATGTCTAGGTCTCTTTCCAGTGTAGACTCTATCAGGATGGAGACAGCATCTGTTGCCTTCTTTGTTGATGTAACTACAGGGATAAGCCAGTATCTGCAGCTAAATAGACATTTGATAAATAAATATTGAATACATGAATGTATTCTGGAAATAGAGCTTTCATCTTCAGATATGTCTGTCAAGAAATAGCTTTCCTTTGATCAAATATTCTTTTGGCTTTTGTAAAATTAAAATTTGAATTGTACAAAGTAACACCTGAATCCATCCTCCTTGGACAACATTAGAACATGACTGATATTTCTGGTTCCAGCAAAGGAGTATCTCCATTACCCCTTGCTTCTCCCTCTTGTAACTAAAAACATTTAGATATCACATAACAAATGAGCGTAGGAAGACTTTGAAAGATGGGAGAAGACAGACGGCCTGCGGACCTTTGCACTTGAGGAAGAGCATGGCTGTGGGTCCTCTGAGTTTCCTTGTTACTTCTCACACATTATGAACAGAGTGCTCCAGAAGCCTGCCACCTGGACCTCTAATGGGTACAGACTGCAAGAAAAGCCTGTTCCTCCTAGACAAAGGACGAGGAAAAGGGTGGCCTAATAGCATAAAATCTTTTGGGTGATATTCACCCAGTAGCAGCCAAGGACCAATGGAAATACTAATTATCCAACCCCCTGAAATGATCTTCGCATGCTCCTAACTAGCAGAAGCAAGCAGCATTGCTTCCATTCCCCCACCTGGTGGTGTCAGCGGAAATGAGCAAGGAGCTAATCGTTCCTTGCCTGATGGAAGCAGCAGCGCTCCGGTTCTCCCACTGGGTGGTGTTTGCATGGCTGAGCAGGAACCCAATCTTCCATTTCCTCCTTGGTGGAAGTAGGCAGTGCTCCTGTTCCCCTGTCAGAGTACTGTCAGTGGGGGCCACTAGTGAAACGAGCCTCCACTCCTGCCCAGCATCAGCAAGACTGAACAAGGCAATGCAAGTTGGGGGTAGTCAGCTTTCTGTTTTCTTCCATTCTAGTGGTGAGCTGTGCTTACACTCCCACCCAGCATCATCAAGACTGAATACGGCGATGAAAGTTTGGGCTATCAACATTCCTTCTCCTATGCCGATGAGGAGCTGGACCTCCACACCCACCCAGCAGCAGTGAGACTAAATGGGATGTTGTAAAGCAGAGCTAGCTATCATTTTGATTTTGGCCCACTCCCAGTCCCCCACCAGTGTCAGTGGGACCCATCTGGCATCAGTGAGACTCATCAAGGTTGTCTTGTTCAGGGCTTTTGGGTGGTCCCAGTTAACTAACCTCCCCAAGGACGATATTTCTTCTTTGGTTTGATTTGCATCAGAGGTGAGTCTTAGGTGCTGCCATCTGATGCGCAGGCAGCTTATTCTGGCAGTCCTCTGACAGCATGCTCAGCAGTAGCAGGCTGGTGGCCTGGGCCAGACACAGTCAGGGGTCAGGCCCACCCAACCAGGAGGGTCTCCATCTGGAGACCATTCTCAGAGTTGAGGGGATTCTTCCCCCTTTCTTATGCTTGTATTCAGTCCAGGCCAGTTTCCAAGTGTTTCTTTCATAAAGAAAGTTTAAGCTATTCTAGTAAGGGTAAGCTTCGTTTTAAGGTTTATGAAAGTTGCATCTGTGCTAGGCGGCCTTATCTTTAGGGTAACCAGGATTTATAGGTCCAGTTGTCATAGAGACCCACTAATCCCTGGGCTAGGTTGGAAATCCCCAGGCCAGGTTTCATCATACTTCTAATGGACATGTAGTGTAAGCCCAGCAGGATGTTTGATTAGGCCTATGGCTGACATTAATCCTATAACCACAGTATGCCTTTTATAGTATACTACAAAGTTGATGGGAGGTAGGGCTACTCAGTCTCCCCAGCCCCAGTGTGAGTGGGACTCAGTGGGTTTCCACTCTACCTAGCATCAATGAAGTGGAACAAGGTAGTGGGAAACAACCAGTCAGCACTCCACTCCCCTGCCCTTTGGGGTCAGTAACTCAGAATGGTCCTAGTTCTGCAGGGAGAGAAGCAACTTTCGTATGCATTCTGCACCAACAAAGATTGTGTCATCTCTCCGATCCTGCGTGCCTCTGGTGTTAGTGGAGTCCCATGGGGAGCTGAGCTTTTACCTGAACTCAGCTCTAATGGGGAGCTGAGCTTACACCCCTGCAACTCAGGTGATGTGAATTGTAGCCCCATGTTCACTGGGAAGATGTCAGCAGGGCTGAGGGGAGAGCTGAACTTCCACCCCATTTAAATGCAATAAGGCAGTGTGACTCAGTGCTCCACTTTTGCTAAGGTAGTGTTGACAGGGCCCAGTGGGAAGCTAACGTACACTCCCACCCAGCCCTTCTGCCACACCTTGGCAGGGGGAATGCCTGCAAAATGAAGAGATGAAATAGAATCCAGAGTCCCATAATGTAATATCCAAAATGTCCAGGATATAATAAAAATCACTCACCATACCAAGAATCCAGAGAAATCATAACTTTAATAAGAAAAGACAATCCACATGAATCAGTAATGAATCAGATGTTGGAATTATCTAACAAGAATTTTAGAGAAGCTATTATATAAACACTTCAAGAAGCAATTACAAATTCTCTGCAAACAAATGAAAATTAGAAAATCTTAGCCAAAAACAGAAGTAATTTAAAAGAGAACCAAGTGGAAATTATAGAAATGAAAAATACAGTCACCAAAATTAAGAAAAAACCTCACGGGTTACACTTACTAGTAGAGTGGGAACGACAGAGGATAGAATCAGTGAAATTGAGAACAGATCAACAGAAATTATCCTAGAATTTACTTAGTTTGAAAAACAGAGAGACCTAAAGGATCTTTGGAATAATAACAAAAGAACTAGATTCACATCATCTGAGATCCAGAAGGAGAGAAGAGAATGAGACCAAAAAATAATGGCTAAACAAACATATTAAAAAAAACTCATCATCACTGGTCATTAGAAAAATGCAAATCAAAACCACAATGAGATAACATCTCACGCCAGTTAGAATGGCATTTATTAAAAAGTCAGAAAACAACAGATGCTGTTGAGGCTGTGGAGAAATAGGAACACTTTTACACTGTTGGTGGGAGTGTAAATTAATTCAACCATTGTGGAAGACAGTGTGGTTATTCCTCAGGGATCTAGAACCAGAAATACCATTTGACCCAGCAATGCCATTACTGGGTATATACCCAAAGGATTGTAAATCATTCTACTATAAAGTCACATGCACACATATGTTTATTGCAGCACTATTTACAATAGCAAAGACGTGGAACCAACCCAAATGCCCATCAATGATAGACTGGCTAAAGAAAATGTGGCACATATACACCATGGAATACTATGCAGCCATAAAAAAGAATAGAGTCCATGTCCTTTGCAGGGACATGGTTGAAGCTGGAAGCCATCATTCTCAGCAAACTAACACAAGAACAGAAAACCAAACACTGCGTGTTCTCACTCATAAGTGGGAGTTGAACAATGAGAATACATAGACACAGGGAGGGCAACATCACACCCTGGGGCCTGTCGGGGGTGGGGAGCAAGGGGAGGGAGAGCATTAGGACAAATATGTAAGGCATGCGGGGCTTAAAACCTAGATGACGGGTTGATACATGCAGCAAACCACCATGGCACATGTATACCTATGAAAGGTATACACATCAGAAGAAACAAGACAATTATACTTAAAGAGTGAAGAGGTTAAAGGGACCTAAATGCAAGTAAGGCTTCTGCACTTCATTAGAAGTGGTAGAACATCTGTTACAGTAGGCTCCAATAAATTATGCGTACATATTGTCACACCTAGAGCAACCACTATTTCAAATTGGTAATTCTCCTTTTTGGCATTTTTCAAATCATGGTAATACACTTGTATTCCTTCCAAAATGGGTAGTATTGGCTTGTGAGGATTTTACCTAAATGGTTACATACTCTACATGGCATTCTGCAATTTGCTTTTTTATTCAATAGTTTTTTCAATGAGCCGTCGTAACGACTGTGTTTGCTATGAATGCACCACTTCATTTTTCTGTCCCTTTATTGAGAGACCTTTTTCAAGACATTTTCCCAGACTTAAGCCATTACAGGCAATGCACAATGGGCATGCTTGTTGAAGGCTCCTTCATTCCATGTGTGTGTTTTTGGTTTTGAATTTTTCTAAGTAAAATAAAACCCCTTGGGTATTTTCCCGTGTGTTGTTTCCTTGGCTCATTCTGGCCCATCTGTTAAGTCAGGTTCTTGCAGCTCCCACTTAGGTGGGAATAGCTTTTCTGGAAATGTGAGCTCTAAGAGACTCAGATGCATTCCTGCATTATGGTAGGCCTTCAGCCAAGGGGTGCCGATATTGCCAGTCACTCCTCCTAGACCTCAAGGATGTTCAAGAAATCTTTTCATAATGTCCAAGGAGCCCTGATTACACACTGATCCATATCTTTGAGGATGCCTGGGACCACAAGGAAATTCACTTTTTTACCATCTTCCTTTCTTCACTCTCTTTATTCATTGCAGCATGGATGAACATGAACTCTTGCATTTTTCTGGTCAAACATGATGGTTAGGAAACCAAGTGGATGGTGACCAGAGGTGCCAACACTGCAGTCAGGTAACAAGGAAGACAGACACTCATTGGCTGAGAGTGTTTGCAGTTGGTGCACTGTCACATGGCAGGGGGTGGGCAGACAGTATGGATGCTTAGCAGTTCTTTGATGAGGTAGGAGGATGATGCATAGATAGAGATATTTACACAGTGTATATATGAGTTCTGTAGAGGCTTGTTTAATGCAGATATTAGAAACAACTAGAGTTATAAAAAAAACTAAAGTTTCTCTGAAGATGAAGGCTTGTTAACTCCATGAAAAGGGTTATAGAAGTGCAGAAGAGTCACTCCTTTATAATTACTATAATGCTCTTTGCATGAGGAAAACTGGTTGGTTTCTAAGTGAATCTTTCTTATAGCTCCCTTGTGGGCTACTTCCTAAGTATGAAATAATTCATTTTAAAATGATATGTGAAGTATGTAAAATAATTGTAATATAATTACATAGTGAAATAATTTAGAAGCTGATATGTAAGGGGTTTTAGTTACTAATTTGTGTTTCATGATATGCCTTAGGATGGGTGATTTACCTTTACCAACCAAAATAAGGACCACGAAGACTTTTACAAATAATTGTCAGTTCCAAAAACCTTCCTGAAAAAGTGTTGCTTTGGGAAATCAAGATGACCTTTCATGGCAGATTTTAGAGCAACTCCCTGGGCGATGGAAAAGCTCTTTGAGAAATCAAAGTGTAATTAATGCACATTTCTTTGTTTAAAGGAACGACTGAATTGAATTATTATTAAAAGCATATAAGGTGGCCTGTCTTTTGTAGCTAGGGCATTTAGATGACTAAATTATGACAAAGGGAGTATTGTATTTATCAGCTATTATCATTCTAAATTTGCATAAAAGTAATCATAATAGTGAGAGACATTAAGTGCATTAATTATCCATTAAAGGGGTAATTTAACAATCATTAAGGGAGGCACTAATAGATTGGTGATCATCTTTACAAATGATGTACTTGATCTAAGCTTTATATAACACCAAAAGATTAATCTGCCATTTTTACTTTGGTAGAATATACATTTTGTTTTAGTTTTCTGGTAGCTTCTGGTAAGAATTGAATATTGGAATGAATGAGCAAGCATACATTTTGTACCTCCTATAACTCTGCAGAAGGTATGTGGGAATACAAGTGCCCAATCAGTCGACCAGGTGTGGATTGATCACCTTGGCTGGATGGATTTCATTTCCACCTGCCATTTTGAGAAACCTTGCCATTGTCTCAAGAGCAGCAGCTGTAAAAGCAGCCTCACTGCTCTCCTCAGTGTCCCTATCCCATTGATCCTATGGCAGTTGGGGGTGCCCACCTCCCATCTTCGGGTTATCACAGCTAGCAGCCTAGAGCCACGTTTGTCCAGCTAATCTCATGTCTTATTTTGAAATATTTTGTCTCCTTTGAGGTTACTGTGCTTGCAAATTAAGGAAACCCACTCAAGCTAGCCTACATAAAGGAGGGTGTGTGTGTGTGTGTGTGTGTGTTTGTGTGTGAAGATAGAGAATTAGCTCATGGATCTCAAGGGCAGCAGAATAATCAGGCCTCCTGAGGGCTTCGGGCAGGGAAGAAGAGAGTTCTTAGCAACCAAGGCAGTCTCTGTCACCCACAAGCACTTATGGCTTTCCTGTCAGCCTCTTTGCAGACCTGGTTTCTCTGCTGTGCCAGAAAGTGACTCCTGCCCCCTGAATTTCTGTGTCTTTTTGAGGCCAGTGCTGGCAGTCCATGGGCTGGAGGGTTTGAGTCCCACTCCCAGATTTTTAGGAGGGAGAAACAGTGGGTGGCTGTGTTTTCGTGGTGCTACCACGCCTGGTTCAAGAAGCCATGGCCAGGGGACAGGCTTGTGTCATAAAGCATGGCTTGGGGGAGGCAGTCACAGAGGAGGCTTGCCCTTGACCTCTAGGAAATACACTTTCCTCATGATGGGAGACTGAGTCCTCCTCACACATCAGGAAAGGGGGAACCAGCTCTCACTGTTTTCCTTCCATCCCGTCTGCCCTCTTTCCCCCTCCCTGCCCCACAACTGTCTGCAGTGCTTCTCCAATGTGACATTTATATTGTGTCACCATCACATTTAATAAGCTGAGGTTGTTTTGATACTCTGATACCCACAAATCCAAGTGTCCTGCTTGTGGTCAGGTGTTACTCTGACGTTGCCTGGCCAGCCTAGCATTCAGTCACCTATGGACCATCCCAGCACCCAGCAGGGCTGGCTTGTGCCCTCACCCTTTCCTTACCCACACCTTTACCCACTCCTTGACTGGGATGCCCTGATCTCTCTCCTCTCTAGTAAAGGAGGTCCAGCCCAGCCCAGTGGACCTGGGGTTAGCCCTGTAATGCATGAATGGTTATACCTACCTTAAAGGATTAGTATAAATGCCACCCAGCTCTGACCTTTCTCCTGTGGGCTGACAGCTGTGTTAGGAGGGATATAAGCAGTAGTAGTTGTTTTTCTTTAAGGCTCAGATGAAACCCACCCTCTGGAGGAAGCCCACCCTAACCATGTTCTTTTCTATCTTCAAACTGCTTTTATTAGCAAACAACTATTCTGTAAGATGTACTGGTTGTCCTGAGCTCCCTTTCTGAATTGCAGACTTTTCAAGGGTAGGAATGGTGTCTTCTATTTCTTTTTAAAAAAATTATTTTTATTTTTATTATACTTTAAGTTTTAGGGTACATGTACACAACATGCAGCTTAGTTACATATGTATACATGTGCCATGCTGGTGTGCCGCACCCATTAACTCGTCATTTAACATTAGGTATATCTCCTAATGCTATCCCTCCCTGCTCCCCTCCGCCCACAACAGGCCCTGGTGTGCGATATTCCCCTTCCTGTGTCCATGTGTTCTCATTGTTCAATTCCCACCTATGAGTGAGAACATGCGGTGTTTGGTTTTTTGTCCTTGCGATAGTTTGCTGAGAATGATGGTTTCCAGCTTCATCCATGTCCCTACAAAGGACATGAACTCATCATTTTTTATGGCTGCATAGCATTCCATGGTGTATATGTGCCACATTTTCTTAATCCAGTCTATCATTGTTGGACATTTGGCTTGGTTCCAAGTCTTTGCTATCGTGAATAGTGCCACCGTAAACATACGTGTGCATGTGTCTTTATAGCAGCATGATTTATAGTCCTTTGGGTAAATACCCAGTAATGGGATGGCTGGGTCAAATGGTATTTCTAGTTCTAGATCCCTGAGGAATCGCCACACTGACTTCCACAATGGTTGAACTAGTTTACAGTCCCACCAACAGTGTAAAAGTGTTCCTATTTCTCCACATCTTCTCCAGCACCTGTTGTTTCCTGGCTCTTTAATGATTGCCATTCTAACTGGTGTGAGATGGTATCTCATTGTGGTTTTGATTTGCATTTCTCTGGTGGCCAGTGATGATGAGCATTTTCTCATGTGTCTTTTGGCTACATAAATGTCTTCTTTTGAGAAGTGTGTGTTCATATCCTTCACCCACTTTTTGTTGGGGTTGTTTGTTTTTTTCTTGTAAATTTTTGGAGTTCATTGTAGATTCTGGATATTAGCCCTTTGTCAGATGAGTAGATTGCAAAAATTTTCTCCCATTCCGTAGGTTGCCTGTTCACTCTGATGGTAGTTTCTTTTGCTGTGCAGAAGCTGTTTAGTTTAATTATATCCCATTTGTCAATTTTGGCTTTTGTTGCCATTGCTTTTGGTGTTTTAGACATGAAGTCCTTGCCCATGCCTATGTCCTGAATGGTATTGCCTAGGTTTTCTTGTAGGGTTTTTATGGTTTTAGGTCTAACATTTAAAAATGTCTTTAATCCATCTTGAATTAATTTTTGTATAAGGTGTATAATTCATTGCACTCAACACTCATTTCTTCATCATTAAACAAATGTGTTCTAGTTCAATTCAAAAAACATTTCTAAGTGCCTTTTATGTGCCAGGTATCATTCATTGAAAAGATTATCCGTTACCCAACAGGGGCCCATGGGCTGAATGAATAATGACGAATGATATATTTGATTGGCATGGAAATGACACAGAAACTGTCATATTCAAGTCTCTACTTATGCATTGTTTTATACTGGCTGTTGAACAAAGAAAACCACAAAGACCTGTTCCCTTTGCTCAAATATGCTTAAATAATTTAAAACTTTTTTTAGAGATGGAGGTCTTACGACTGTGTTGCCCAGGCTGGTCTTGAACTCCTGGGTTCAAGCAATCCTCCTGCCTCTGCCTCCTAAGTAGCAAGGACTATAGATGTGTACCACCGTGTCCAGCTCATACGCTTAAATTGTTGATATGGACTTAAGTAGTGGCTATATCTAGTGGTCTCTATAGGATAATTCACAGTACCCATTCCATCTGCCTTCTCCCTTGCCTCATTCCCCTTGATCTCTCAGCCTCCCTTGCATCTCTGAATGCTCATGTGGCCTAGTTTTGGCCAATGAGACATTGGCAGAAGCTTCTAGAGAATGCTTCTTCCATCACATAAAAGCATACATTTTATAAAGAGGGCCCTTTACTCCTTCTCCCTTCCTTTGGCCTGGAGCACAGATGCTGTGCTTGGAGGTGTAGCAGCCATTCTGCTACTATGAAGATGAAAGCCACAGACTAAAGATGGTGGGCTTGGAAGATGGAATCTGGTACATCAATGATGTGCTTCAACAGCTCCACTTTCCCTTAACTGTCCACTTGTGAACATCATTATCCTTGAGAAAAACAAAGATCTTACTTGTTTAAGCCATGGTGGGGTGGCTTTTCTGCTCCTTGCAGCTGAACGCGCCGTCAATGGGCTGATATTCATGTAGCAGCATCAAATCTTTAGCTGAAGAGTGATAAGAATTCATGCTGTGTGGTTCATGTAGCTTAATTCAGTAGTTCCCTAAGTCAGCCTTTACTCATCCATTAATCCAATCAACCATCTAGGTGTCCATTCAATATGTGTGAACAGGCGAAGGGCCCTGCCTATGTACAGCACTCAGCCAGGTCTTCTGAGAAACAGAGGGTCCTGTCGTACCCGTCGCCAGCCTCTTCATGAGTCGCTATTTGAGATGAGGGTCAGAGACTAAATGGGGACAGAACTCAAGATTTTGGTTGCTTATGAAACCCATTCCACCATATAGTAGCCTCTTGGGAATTTATGCCCCACATCTCCCTGGGTCTGCCTTGTCTGTAGAAATGGCTGTTAATACCTACCTAGAAGAGGGGGCTAAATGGAACTTTTAAAGGTGTAATGTACTGGAAACTCCTGGCTCACAGTAGGTGCTGAATAAAGTTAATGGAGAAAGTAGCAAAGGGAAACTCTTGCAGAACAACACCTTGAATAAACTTCTCTTATTTTATTGGTGAAAGAGACAACATATAGTCGGGGGATATGGGGCAGCTTTATATGCCAGAAGCAGCCTCTGGGGAATTCAGGCTAGACCAGGAATTCTTCCATACAGCCAGCCATTTGCCTTTTCCTGTGGTTGTTTAGTTTTGTCATATGAAGTGTATGCATGTCTGTGTGTGGTGGGTGGGCGGGCACAGTAATGAGGCAAAATTCACTTTAGGCAGCGTCTTAGATTGTGGTACATTTGTTGCAAAACTTATGATTGGCAGGTTGCAGTTTCTGTATATTTGGATCCCCATGTAAAATTGCTCCTTGTCCATAGCTGTTAATTCTTTTGGGCTTCTTCACTAGGAAGAATTAGAGAGTTGGCAGGGGGACAGGGCCTCCTGGATTGGGTATGCTTTCTTCCTCTCACCTGACATGTCCACCAAGTGTTTTCCTGGTGGAGCAGACAGATCCTTGGCCGACGACCCTGGCATTTGCTCTGCTTCCCATCTGCAGACATGCCGGTGGGGATTTGGCATTCCTTCCTCACTGGGTCGGCTACATTGTGTTCAGCCTTCACATTCGTCTCTTGCCATGTCTTGTCTTGAATGCAGATAGAAAAACTTGGGAAGGAAAACAAGTTTCACGGTTTCTTCCTTTGATTTGAGTCATCGGTCATAGATCAAAGTGACCGCAAAGTCATCTTTGCTTTGTAGAGTTCTATTGCAAAACATGCTGCTGTTTTGTTTTGTTGGGAAGGGCATGGGGAGGATTTGGCTTTTATTTACTCTGATTCTCTTTGCTTCTGGACTTCCTCATTGTGTTGCTCAACATTTGCAGCGAACTTGAAAGCACCAGGGGATGGCCACTATATCCCAGCAAGGCAAGGAAGGAGTGGAGACCCGGGCCACATTTTGTTTATCAAAGGCAATGGGTATGACACCGCATTTCCCCCTTATCTATTTCCTTCTTCTTTTCAGCACTTCCCAGTGAATTTCCTTGGTTGAAAATATTAACCAAGGTGCCCAGCTGTCTCCTAGCCAGAGGGGACCTGTGATCCAAACCTGGCCTGTTAGAGTCTCCCAGGAATTTAATTTGAGGAAAATGTCCCAGACACCTTTTTTTCTAGCATCTTCCTTACCACATTAATGAGCAATTCCTGCTTACTTGGAAATTCAGGGTGGCCCTAGTCCCTTATTTCTCAAGTCTTGGTTCTCCAGCCTTGTTGATTCTGTGAGGTCCCCTGTGTGTTTTCAAAACATTCCCTGTTAGTTTAAGTTGCCATAATCAGTGTCTTTTGCTTGCAACCAAAGAACCCTGGTGATGCAGTGGGCCTTTTCATAAAGTGGTCTTGTGATGTGGTGGGCCTTTTCATAAACTGCTCTATTTTTGGTTTCTTGTACTTTTCTCTCATTTTGCCCATGGATGGCTACCTCCTGATCTGATAAAGAAATCAAGGAGGCCACATAACATGCATTAGGGCCATATCATGTCAAACATCTCCTCTCTAGAGGCACACTCAGAGCTGCCAGCAGCATGTAGCTCTCACTTTTCTCAGTTTTAAGTTAATGGTTAGTCTGAATTTTGAGGCCCTCAGAGCTGTCTACTTCTGAATAACATGACTATAGGAGCTTATGAGTCCTTACTCAGAACTTGGCTCATCACTCAGTACTACTTTTAGGATTTCCTTATTAGAAAACCAAATTCCTTTTACTATTGCTTTAGAGATAAACATCCGCTTTCTTGGAGAAGACTCTGCCTTTGCAAGTGCAGCTAAAATTCTACACCCTCCATGAAGCCGTCTTCTCATTTCTACCCTCTCCCAACCCCCTTAAACAGAGTGAGCCTCTTCCTGCCATGAGGGAGTCTCAGTCTGATTTAAATGTACTGGAGAATGCAGACTCCAGAGCCCACCTGTAACAGGCAGGTAGCAGATGCATGTCAAGTCAACCAGGTGTCCAATGACAAATGGTAGTGATTATGAGCCTCGGCTCAGGGATATAGGCAGGGGATGGGGCTGGGACAACCCCCCTCTAAGGTGGGCCACCATGGCTCTGCTTCAGCCATTGGCACCCTGTGGAAAGCTAGGTCCACTGTTGCCACAGCTGGAAACCCAGATTTGGAAACGAACCATCTCATTTCTTTAAAAAATGTTGGCAATGAATTGAAAGTTAAAACGCTGATACTTCACTACTCAGGCCGAGCAAAACATGCCTGCAACATGAGTTCAGCCTGGAGTCTTGAGAATTCTTAACCTTGAATACTCTTAGGAAACCATTTCTGAGCTGTATTAATTCATAGATAAAAGCAACTTGTAAGAGAGCATTCATAGAAAGAATAAATAAATTTGTTTTTGTACATATATATGTTCATACACTTATTCTATGTATACTTTTTATTTCTATGTATACACACACACACACACACACACACACACACACACTCATGTGAAGAAGGAGAAAATGGAGCATTCATATCTTTATTGCCAGTGATTATATCTAGGAGGGGAGGAGGTAGGGAGTGTTGGAGACTTCCAATTTTTGCATCACATTTCTGTAATGTGTGAGTTTTTAGTTATAGACATACCTTATTTTGGTAGTCAGGAAAAACAGAAAGGATCCATCCAACAAAAACAGAAAGGAGGGGATGGGCCAGCAGTTCTGTGCTTATGCGGTTACTTCCAGCCACTCCCTTGTTCTAGGAGGGTAGATGTTTATAAGACCTCTCATGAACTTGTCTCAGAGCTCCCTGAAAGAGGAACTGCTTTGTTCCTGTGGTCTCTCCAGTGCCTGTCCTAAAAGATGCCCTAGCATATAGGTGACTGTTGGAGTGTGGACTGAGTGGCCTGAAAGAATGGATGAAGCAGGTGTACATAGCTTTGGCAATGAGGAATCCAGGAGTAGGTTGGACTGCCTGTGGGTTCCATCCACACATGTTCATAGAAGAAGAGAACATGTTTTCGGGGAGATGTCTTTTCGTGTTTTGCTGGAAGATGTCTTTCCTAACCTGTACTTTTACAAGAGGCTTCAATTTCAACAACCTTCATGTCTCCTAACGAATATGCTGTCTTTCTTTAACATCCATATGTGATAGAATCAGTGCCTTTATGTGTTCAGGTTCTCAGTTTTCAAATGTTGGCCAATTTGGTCAAGAACTTTCATGGGGGAAAATCCATAGAGCATAGAGAGGGAGGACCTCCCTCTGCACAGATGGGTCTACTGAAACCTCCCAAGGGATTTGCTTAGATAAGGACCCACAGGTGGTGAAGGGCAGAGGGAAGAAAAGAAGTAAGGTGTCTGGGCCCACAGATAAAGCTCCTTCCCACACTATGCTGCTGCCTTTTCTTTAAAAACTTTCAGAAAAGAACAATGGATAATATAACAAACATCAAGATTACCACCCAGAATTGATGGGTATTCACCTTTTATCATTTTTGCTTTTTTTGTGTCCTTTTTTTCCCTTAAGGAGTACTGCCTCTTTTTGATCAAATCATATTTGGGGTATAGTGCTAATGATGGGATTCCTAAATGACATTTAAGCAAGCCTCATGATGATGGTGTCTAATCCCTCTCAGAATCTAGCCTGAGGATGTCGTTTTCATCTCCTGACAGCGCTGGCAGTGCACGATATCTGACATATCTGCCCCAGCATGCCCTTCCCTGGCCTCCCCTCCCTCCCCACTGAATTCTCTGCACCTCTGACTCTCCTGGAATTTCTGAGGCAGTTGGTATATGGGGCACCAAGTGAGTGTCTCTGAACTCTCCAGCTCTCCGACAAGGCCTCTTCCAAATTGTGCATCCTTCAAGGTGGGATCCCGGAGGCGGGTATCCTAGAAGGAGCGTTTTTTAAGTGAGGCATTGACATCTTGTTAACTACATAATAGGCACTTTTTTCAGCCAACAAAACTGTCCATGTTTTCAAATGTTGTGGACCAGGCGTTATGAGCTCAGCTTCCTTTGATCAGTGTTACACAACTTTTCTGAGTGCTAATCTGTTTCAATTCAAAATAGATGAAAACCACCACATGCATGGCAGCTGCAGGTTTTTGCTTTTCTTAAAAATTATCTATTTTAAGGAAAGAAAATCTGAGAAATTATATTGTGATGGGTGAAAGTATTAACGATGAATTTGTTGCCAAGAAGATTAAAATTGAGAATGTATGAAAAGAAAAAAGAAGAAAAATCCTGGAAGAGCAAGTTGTCTGAGGCAAACATCAGGAGTTTCAAGGCTATTTCAGGACTGGTTCAAGCCTAAGAACCTCAAATGTCTGTGAGAGGAAGTTTCCAGAAACTAAACTCTTTCCAGTGTTTTGTTTTTGTGTCAGTCAAATGTTGTATACACAGGGCTTGGAGGCCAGACCACAGAAGTGGTCTCATGTGATGTGGCAGGGCCTTTGTGGCCTCAGAGCCAGGCAGAGCTTTTGTTTATTTAGATTCTTGTTGGCCTTGAATGATGGCAGGAGGACAGTCATCTGTTGCTCCTGCTGACATTCAGGCAGGGACTGCTTGGTTCTGTTAGGCCACAGTTACACGTCAAAGCAAATACAGGCCAGAGATCCTGACTTTCCTGTTCTTTTGAAAGTGATGCTTTGGCAGTGGGGGAAGAAAGCTGCAAGGATTAGTCTTGTCTTGACGTGTATTGCTGTGAGCCAACCTTTGGGCTCTTTTAGATGACATTTCTGGCCATTCCAGGATGGTAATTTTAATCTTGTCCTTTGTCTTGGTAATGGATTTATGTTCTTCAATAATACTTTGGGAGAGAGTTCCAGAAAGAACTAACAATAGAAAAACCCGTATTTAGTGATGATATCAGTGGGAAGTGACAGAAAACTCCACACAAAGTAGCACAACCACGAGGGAATTTACGAAAAGTTTCAAGGAGACATCTGGCTTCAGGTAAGGATGAATCCAGGGGCTCAGACGACACCAGAATCCTACTTTTCTGCATCCATAGTTCAGTCTCGTCTTCCTGGGCTGGTCCATTCTCAAGCAAGCTGAGGTGCTGCAGTGCCAGCCTCACATCCTTCCAGATCCAAGCCCAGTGGGAAAGAAGAATCTGCCTCCCTGGCAGCTCAACATAAAGGTCTCCAAACTGAGGCTCATTGCCTCTGAATGGCCTGAAAAATTAGCTAAGACCTATGCCCAGCTCAGAGCTAATGGGAGTAAGTAGGTGAGTACTGGCTGCTGAGGCCTGGATCAAGAGCAGCAGGAGGAGCCATCTCCTCTAGTTCTGTGTTTTAGACCCTGTTTGATCCAGGAATCCAAACAATGTCGTCAGGACCCAAGCACTCTCACTCTGTCTCTGTTTCTTCCTCCCCTGGGTTATATTCCCATCAGTTCCC
This sequence comes from Homo sapiens, assembly GCF_000001405.40. Taxonomy (NCBI): domain Eukaryota; kingdom Metazoa; phylum Chordata; class Mammalia; order Primates; family Hominidae; genus Homo; species Homo sapiens. The sequence goes on from NC_000003.12 coordinate 54,448,488, forward strand.
CCAAACGAAAGTAGGAGAGACCTGGTTTCACCCAAAACACTGGAGGATGAAACAGAGGTGGGGTGAGGGATGCCAGAAGGCCCAAATCTGTAAGTGTCCCTTACAAAAAAGTGTCAATGTGCTAACAAGTGGAAAAACGAGTCAGCAGCCTTCATGTTCTCATTAGTGTCCTATTGTCTCCACCTCTGTGGGCACCAATACCCCATGATTAAACCACTCTAGACCTCTATTGTGTTTGTGAACCCAGTGGACCCAGCTGTCTCTATTGTCCAGAACTCTGGTCTTTGTGACAGGTGCTTCACTTATGCATTATTATATCATTACAATGTCTTATTTTCACAACTGCAAGGCAAATTGCAGAAGAACATTTGGCAGGAGAGCCATAAATCGTTTGTGCAGAGATAGGTTCATCTTCTGTTATTTTGTGTCTCTTCATGTCTTGGATTGACTCAAGATGAATCAAAAAATGAGTACTCTGGAACAATATAAGACTTTGTCTTGAATTTATTTATTTTAGAATGGTTAATGTCATTCAATCAACCCTCAGTGAAAGACAAGAAGTAGCAAACTACTTTTTAATGTCATCATTGAACTGTAGTTTTGAATCTCCAGTTCTGTAGGTTAGGTTGCAATAATATGGAGTAAAGAAGCTGGATCCAAGAATCAATACGTGTTCTGCTACTAATCACACTCCATTAATACCTCTTATAGAGTGAATGGACAAACCACAAGAGAGAGAGCGCTCTGGCTTCATTTGATACAAACAACATAAAAGGAAGAGAATTGCTCTTGTTGACTAATATTGAAGAATTGGCTAAATACAGGAATTTATCTCTATGTGTAGCTGAATACTTAGGGCAAGACAAGTTTACTCCATTTAAGAACATAGTGTGTTCACTTCATGTTTACAATGAAAAATATTTGCTAATTTGGTGTTTTAAGTTTTGTTTCAAGTGTGGTTTTCTTTATATTAATTAAAATATAACCTCATTTGCCAATTTTAAGTCATTCTGTGATATGGTTTGGATCTGTGTTCCCACCCAAATCTCATGTTGAATTGTAATCCCCATTGTTGGAGGTGGGGCCTGGTGGGAGGTGATTGGATCATGGGGGAGGTTTCTCATGGTTTAACACCATCCCCCTTGGTGCTGTTGTTGAGATAGTTCTCATGGGATCTGGTTGTTTACAAGTGTGTGGCACCTCCACCTACCTTTTTGTCCCTGCTCTGCCATGTAAGATGCCTCACTCCCCTTTTGCCTTCCACCATGATTGTAAGTTTCCCAAGGCCTCTCCAGAAGCAGAAGCCACTGTGCTTCCTGTACAGCCTGTAGAGAAGCAAGGACCATTTAAACCTCTTTTCTTATAACTTACCCAGTGTCAGGTATTTATAGCAATGTGAGAATAGACTGATACCCTTTGTATCTAAATAAATATATGTCCACAATCTCTACTATTTGTCCCGTCTTTTGGATATTTTTTATATAAATGTAATAATTGGAAACACCAGTTGTTTTTGGAAGAAATAATTATAATATTTAAGCAATGTAATACTTTTCTCACCCGTTGTAAGCTAAGTCAATCTACAAATCAGGTTCATGGTTCACAGTTTGCCACTGATTGGCTCTGGGGAACTAGGTGAGTCTCTGCCTGTATTAATTTCCTAGGACCTTCATAACACAGTGCCACAGACTCAGTGGCTTAAAAACAACAGGAATTTATTATTTCATGGTTCTAAACGATAGAATTCACATTCACAGGTACCTAGGGTTAGGACTTCCACATATCTTTTTGAGGGGACACAATTTAGCCTACAACATATTGCCTTTTGGCCTCCAAAAATTCATATCCTTCCTATGTGCAAAACACATTCAATCCCAACATCTCTTCACATCTTAATCCATTCCAGCATCGACTCTTAAGTCCAAAATCTCTGCTCTAGTTTGAATGTTTGTCCCCTATGAATCTCATATTGAAATTTGATCCCCATTGTTGGAGGTGAGGCCTAATGGGAAGTGTTGGGGCCATAGGAGAGGATCCCTCATGAATAGATTAATGCCCTCCCTGGTTCAGGGGAGGGGATGAGTTCTCATTATTAGTTCTGGTGAGTGCTGGTTGTTAAAAAGCGCCTGGCACCTCCCCGGCCCTCTCTCTCTTGCTTCCTCTCTCAGCATGTGGTCACTGCACACGCTGGCTCCCCTTCACCTTCCACCATAGTGGAAGGAGCCTGAGGAACCTCTTCTTTATAAATTACCCAGCCTTGGGTATTCCTTTATAGCAACACTAAAGGAACTAAGACAATCTCATGTAATTATAATCAACTCAAAAGGTCCCACATCTCATCTTCTAACTCATTTATTCAGGTGTCAGGGAGACTCAGGGTGTGGTGCATCCTGGGACAAAATTCCTCTCCATTTGTGGATCTGAGAAACAAGTTATCTGCTTTTGAAATACAATGGTGGAACTGGCATAGGATAGACATTCCTACTCCAAATGGGAGGAATTGGAAGGAATAAAAGAGTCATGGATACCAAGTAGGTTCGCAACCCAGCAGAACAAACTCTACTAGGCTTTAAGGCCTGAGAATCATTCTCTGTGGTTCAAGGCTCCACCTTCTGGGTACCAGGTGGCAACCTCAACCTCTTGGCCCTGCCTTCTCTGGCTTATGAATCTGTGCCCCTGACGTCAGATTCATTCTTCCTTCATTTTATCCTATGTCTGTCCCTTTCTGCTGATATAATAATCTTTTTTTTTTTTTTTTTTTTTTTTTTTTTTTTGAGACAGCCTCTTGCTCTGTCACCAGGCTGGAGGCTGGAGTGCAGTGGCGCAATCTTGGCTCACTGCAAGCTCTGCCTACCGGGTTCAAGAGATTTTCCTGCCTCAGCCTCCCAAGTAGCTGGGACTACAGGCACACACCACCACGCTCAGCTAATTTTTGTATTTTTAAAACCTTGTTAGTCTTCTACAAATGTCAAGTGGATTCATGCCATTAGACAGAAAGATTCTTCACAGATTTTTCCTGGATAATCCCATCTCTATTCCGGGCTTCTCTTTAGGTGATTGATTGGGTTCACGAGTCACATGCCTAATCTCTCCATAGGAAGTGTGTACAGTTACGCTCTTGGTGTTCTCTCCAGAGTGTGCTATCGCATTTTTTGCTAACTGGATAGACTGAAAAATTTCAAAATCACGAAGTGTGGATTTCTTTTTGATTAACAATTCCATCCTCAGTTTATCACTTTCCTCTCACATATCACTATAAGCAGCAAGGAAAAACTAGGCCACACCTTCTGCACTTTGCTTTCAAATCATCTTCAAGGTCATCACTTATAAGTTCTGCTTTCTACCCAGTGGTAGAAGATAACTCAGCCAAGTTTTCTACCATTTGATACCAAGGCAAATTTTATACCACTCTGTATCTCAATAAATACATACACACAAGCTCTAGGATTACCTCCAGTGCCCTTTCCTCCTGCATCCTCCAGTGTCTAACAACTTTCCTCCAGTGTCCAATAACATGTTCATAATTTCCTTTTAATGCCTCACTAGAAGTACCTTTAAACTTCCTTTTACTAGCGACATTCTGTTCATGAAAATATATTGTATTAGTCTGTTCTCAGGCTGCTAATAAAGACATACCTGAGACTGGGTAACTTATCAAGGAAAGAGGTTTAATGGACCTCCAGTTCAGCATGGCTGGAGAGGCCTCACAATCATGGCAGAAGGCAAAGGAGAAACAAAGGAACATCTTACATGGTGGCAGGCAAGAGAGCTTGTGCAGGGGAACTCCCATTTATAAAACCATCAGATCTCATGAGACTTACTCACTGCCATGGGAACAGTATGGGGGAAATTGCCCCCCATGATTCAGTTATCTCCACCTGGCTCTGCCCTTGACACATGGAGATTATTACAATTTAAGGTGAGATTTAGGTGGGGACACAGCCAAACCATATCACATGTGTCTTCTGTAAGATGATAGTAGCTCTTTCTACAGTTTTCTTTCTGAACTCGCACTGGAATTGTCTTTAATGTCTGTATTTCTCCCAGCAGTCTCTTTAAAGCAACCTAGGCTTTTTCTGTCTTGAATCTCAAAATTATTCCATTACCCAATCCAAAGCCACTGCCACATGTTTAGGTACTTGTCACAGCAGCACTTCACTTCCTAGTACCAAAATCTGTATTAATTTCCCAGGGCTTCTGTAACAAAATACCACAAAGTTGTGGCTTAAAACAACAGGAATTTATTTCATGGTTCTGGAGGCTTGATGTCTGAAATTGAGATGTCAGCAGGGCGATGCTCCCTCTGAAGTTCTTGGGAAGAATTATCCCTTGCCTCTTCTGGCTTCTGGTGGTTGCTGGCTGTCCTTGGCATGCCTTGGCTTCCTGCTGCATCACTCTAATTTCTGCCTCCCTCTCCATGTGGTCATCTTCCCTCGGTGTTCGTCTGTGTTTCTATGTCTTCTTTTTTTCTTTCTTTCTTTCCCTCTCTTTTTCTTTCTCTCTCTCTTTCTCCTCTTTCTTTCTGACAGGGTCCCTCTCTGTCACCCAAGCTGGAGTGCAGTGGCATGATCACAGCTGTCTGTAGCCTCAGCCTCCTGGGCTTAAGCAGTCTCCCTACCTCAGCTTCCCAAGCTGCTGGGACCATAAGTATGCACCACCACACCCAGCTAATTTTTTGTATTTTTTGTACAGATGAGGTCTTTCTGTGTTGTCCATGCTAGCCTTGAATTTCTAGGCTCAAGTTATCTGCCCTCCTTAACCTCCTGAAGTGCTGGGATTACAGGCATGAGCCACTGTGCCCAGCCTCCTTTTCTTATAAGGACAGCGGTTATATTGGATTTAGGGCTCACCATAATCTACTATGACCTTTAATTGACTTTTTACATCTGCAGAGACCCAGTTTCCAAGTAAGGTCACAATCACAGGTACCTGTGGGTAGGACTTCAACATATCTTTTGGGGGGACTTAATTCGACCTGAAACACCATCCCTCTCAGGACTTTCTGCTTCCACATTTATACAAACGAGATCTTTTTGGTTGCCATTAACAGAAACACAGCTCAAACTAGCTTAGGCAAAACGAGCCTGTTTTGGCTCTCATAAGTGAAATATTCATGGGTAGTTCAGATTTCAGGCAGGGCCCAGTCCAAGGATTCAAACAATGTCTTGCTCTTGCTCTCTCTCTTGCTCTCTCAATTCCTTCTTCCTCTGTCTTGGTGTTACTGTTAGGTAAGTTGTGTCCATGTGGTTGTCCCCACCAGTTCCTCAACTGCTTATATGCCAGAGAAAAGGACCTGTGTTGTAATAATATTTGCACAAAAGTCCTGGGCCCTCCCATTATTAGTTCGAGCTGTGCAAAGTACCTGTCCCCACATGTTGGGGAGATCGATTTTATTGTGTGGTTTATGCATAAGTCACATATTCTCTACTGGATCCAGAGGTGCAATCAGTGACACCCAAACCACATGAGCTGAAATCATGGAAATTAGTGTATAGTTAGTAAAAGAAGGGGAGAGCCTTCTGGGCAGGCTAGCACTGATGTCCTTCTAATTTGTTAGGTGGAAAGGTTGAACTAGCATGTCTCTAATATCAGTACTAACAGTCCTATGAATCTGCACACACCCTCCACTGATTCTTGGCCAAGTAATTATATGTGGTAGCCCTAACTGATCAGTAAAACACTATTTCATAAGATGTTTCTTTTTAAATTTATTTTTTGAGGACTCAACTTTAGTAAAGTATAATTTGCATCAATAAAATTCATACACTTTAAGTGTACAATTTGATGAATTTTGACAGATGCATTCCTTTATGTAGCCAACATCAAAATCATTACAAACGACATTTCCCTCCCTCACCCCCAAAAGTTCTCTTGTACCCCGGTGTAGTCAGTCTCCTCACCCCATTGCCTCACTCCTGGCAACCACTGATTGGCTTTTATTATTATAACTTTGCATATGGTATTTCAAAAATTATCATTTATAATTGACACATAATAATTGTACATATTTAGGGGGTACCATGTGATGTTTCAATACATGTGCACAATGTACAGTGATTAAATCTCGGTAATCAGTACATCCATCACCTCAAACATGTATCATTTCTTCATATTGGAAATGTTCAAAATCCTCTCTTCCAGCTATTTAAAAATATACAATAAATTGTTAGTTATAGACACCCTACAGTGCTATGAAACATTAGAACTTATTCCTACTATATGGTTGTATGTTTGTATCCATTAACCAACCTTTGGCTATCCACCTCCCTCTTTCCCCACCTCTAATAACCATTATTCTACTCTCTGCTTATATGGGATCAACTTTTTTAGCTTCTACATATGGGTGAGAATACACAGCATTTGTCTTTCTGTGCCTGGCTTATTTCATTTAACATAATGTCCTTCAGGCTCATCCATGTTGCAGCAAGTGACGGAATTTCTTTCTTATTTAAGGCTGACTTGTATATAAATGTGTATACATTCCACATTTGCTCTGTTCATTCATCTGTTGATGAACATGAGTTGCTTCCCTATCTTGGCTATTGCGAATAGTGCTGTGATAAACATGGGGGCGCAGATATCTCTTCAACATACTGACTTCCTTTCCTTTGGATATATACCCAGTAGGGGGATTGCTGGATCATATGATAGCTCTATTTTGAGTTTTTTTTGAAGAACCTCCATACTGTTTTCCATAATGTCTGTACTAATTTACATTCCCACCAACACTGTATAAGAATTCCCCTTTCTCTGCCTCCTCACCAACATTTGCTTTTTTTGTCTTTTTGATGATAACCATCCTGAGGTGAGATGATATTGTGGTTTTGATTTGTATTTTCCTGTTGATTAGCGATGTTGAGCATTTTTTAACATATTTGGACATTTGTATGCCAGATTATTTTGAGAGATGTCCACTCAGATCATTTGCCCATTTTTAATCAGATTATTTGTTTTTCTAATGTTGTATGAGTTTTTTGTATAATAATCCATTTTAGACGAGTAGTTTGCAGATATTTTTTTTCCCATTTTGGAGGTTGTCTTTTCACTCTATTGATTGTTTTCCTTTGCTGTGCAGAAGTATTTTAGTTTGATATAATTCCATTTGTCTATTTTTGCTTCTGTTGTCTGTGCTTTTAAGGTCTTTGCCATAAAATCTTTGCCAGATCAATGTCCTGAAGCATTTCTCCTATGGTTTCTTCTACTCATTTCATAATTTCATTTTAAGATTTAAGTCTTTAATTCATTTTGAGTTGATTTTTTTCTATGTGGTGAGAGATATGGGTTTAGTTTCATTCTTCTACAAATGTATATCCAGTATTTCCAGCACCATTTATTAAAGAGGCTGTCCTTTCGCTAGTGAATGTTGTTGGCACCTTTGTGGGAAATCAGCTGGCTCCATATAACTGGATTTATTTCTGGGCTCTCTATTCTGTTCCATTGGTCTATGTGTCTGTTTTTATGCCAGTACTATGTTATATTTTGAAGTCAGATAGTATGAAGCCTCCAGCTTTGTTCTTTTTGCTCAGGATTGCTTTGGATATTCAGACTCTTATATGGTTCTATCCAAATTTTAGGATTTATTTTCTGTTTCTGTGAAGAATGTCATTAGTATTTTGATAGAGATTGCATTGAATCTGTAGATTGCTTTGGGTAGTATGGTCATTTTAACAAAGTAATTCTTCGGTATATTCATGAGGCTGGGATGTCTTTCCATTTTTGTGTGTGTGTGTCTTCCTGATTTCTTTCATCAGTGTTCATAGACTTCCTTGTAGAGATCTTTTGTCTTGTTGGTTAAATTTATTCTTAAGTATTTTATTTATTTTTGGTACCAATTGTAAATAGGATTGCTTTCTTGATTTCTTTTTTAGCTAGTTTGTTGTTGGTGTGTAGGAATACTACTGATTTTTATATTAATATATTGATTTTGTATCCTGCAACTTTACCGAAATTGTTTGTCCGTTCTAAGAGTTTTGGTGGAGTCTTTAGGTTGTTTTTCTATATATAAGATCATCTGCAAACAGATTCTTTTGAGAATTTTTGCCTCTGTATTCATTAGGGATATTGGCCTATAGTTTTCTTTTTTTGGTTGGTGTTGTGTCCTTGTCTGGTATTGTAACAGGGTAATGTTGGCCTCATAGAGTGAGTTTGGAAGTGCTACCTCCTCTTCATTTCTTGGAAATAATTTGAGAAGAATTGGCATTAGTTTTTCTTTAAAAGTTGAGCAGTGAAACCACTCGGTCCCGGGCTTTTCTTTATTGGGAGGTTTTTAACTACAACTTTAACCTCTTGGTTCATTATTGGTCTGTTTGAGTTTTCTATTTCTTCTTGGCAAAATCTTTATAAGTTGTATGTGTCCAGGAATTTATCCATTTCCTCTGGGTTTTCCAGTTTTTTGGCCTATAGTTGCTTATAGTGGTCTGTAATGATTGTTTGTATTTCTGTAGTATCAGCTGTAATTCTTTTTTTGTTTCTCATTTTGCTTACTTGGGTCTTTTTTTTTAATTAGTCTACCTAATGGTTTATTAATTTTGTTTATCTTTTCAAAAAGCCAACTTTTCATTTTGTTGATCTTTTTTTGTTCTGTTGGTCTCAATTTTATTTCTTTCTTTCCATGTACTAATTTGGGGTTTGGTTTGTTTTTCTAGTTCATTGAGGTGTATAATTAGGTTATTTGAAATCTTTCTAGTTTTTTTGATGTATGCATTTATTGTTATAAACTTCCCTCTTAATACTGCCTTTGCTGTATCCTATAGGTTTTGGTATGTTGTGTTTCTGTTTTAATTTGTTTCAATAAATTTTTCAATCTCTTTCTTAATTCCTTCATTGACCCATTTGTTGTTCAAGAGCATGTTGTTTAATTTACATGCATTTGTATAGTTCTGAAAGTTCTTGTTACTGATTTCTAGTTTTATTACATTGTCATTAGAAAATATAGTTGATATTATTTTGATTTTTAAAAACTTGTTGAGACTTGTTTTGCGATCTAACATATGGTCAGTCCTGGAGAATGTCACGTGTGCTGATGAAAAGAATGTGTCTTCTGCAGCTGTTGGATGAAATTTTCTGTAAATGTCCATAGGTGTGTTTGGTCTATAACACAGCTTATATTGGATTTTTTTTATTGATTTTCTGTATAGATGATCTGTCCAGTACTGAGAGTGGGGTTTGGAAGTCCCCAGATTTTATTGTATTGGAATCTATATATCTTTTGAGATCTAATAATATTTGCTTTACATGTAAATATATGTGCACACAACCATATATACATGTGCTCTGGTGTTGGGTACATATATATTTACAATTTTTATATCCTCTCACTGAATGATCCCTTTGTCATTACATAATGACTTTCTTTGTCTCTTCTTACAGCCTTTGACTTAAAGGTCTTTTTAAAATATGTAAGTATAGGTACTCCTGCTCACGTTTAGTTTCTATTTGTATGGATATCATTTTTCTATTCCTTTATTTTAAGTCTTTGGGTCTTTACATGCAAAGTAAATTTCCTGTAGGCAGCATATAGTTGGGTTGTATTTTTGTATCCATTCTGCCAGCCTATATCTTTTAACTGGGAAATTTAATTCATTTACATTTAAGGTTATTATTTGTAGGTGAGAACTTACTCCTGTCATTTTGTTAATTGGTTTTTGATAAGTTTTTGATATCCTTTGTTCCTTTCTTTCTCTCATTGCTTATCATTGCAGTTTGGTAGTTTTCTGTAGTGATAATGTTTGATTCTTTTCTCTTACTTCTATGTGTATTTGCTCCACCAGTGAATTTTGTAGTTTCATGTGTTTTCATTATGATAGTTATTGACATTTCACTTCAATGTGTAGCACTCCTGTAAGCATTGCTTTGTAAGATTGATCTAGTGATGATGAATTTCCTCAGTTTTTGGTTGTCTGAGAAAACTTTATTTCTCTTTCATTTCTGAAATACAGCTTTTGGGTATATTTTCTTTGCTGGCAGTTTTTTTTTTTTCCCTTTTACTACTTTGAATATATCATCGAATTATTTCCTGGCCTGTAAGGTTTCTGCTGAGAAATCTACTGATAGTCTAGTAAGGGTTCCTTTGTATGTGATTTGATGTTTTTCTCTTGCTGTGTTTAGCATTCTCTCTTTGTCTCAGACTTTTGACAATTTGACTACAGTGTGCCTCAGAGAGGACCTTTTTGGTTGAATCTGTTGGAGGTTTCTGAGCTTCCTGGATCTGGATGTTTATCTCTCTCCCAAGATTTAGGACGTTTTAAACTGTTATTTCCTTAAATACATTTTCTTTTTTTATTTTATTTTATTATTATTATACTCTTAAGTTTTAGGGTACATGTGCACAATGTGCAGGTTAGTTACATATGTATACATGTGCCATGCTGGTGTGCTGCACCCATTAACTCGTCATTTAGCATTAGGTATATCTCCTAATGCTATCCCTCCCAACTTCCCCCACCCCACAACAGGCCCCAGAGTGTGATGTTCCCCTTCCTGTGTCCATATGTTCTCATTGTTCAATTCCCACCTATGAGTGAGAACATGCGGTGTTTGGTTTTTCGTCCTTGCGATAGTTTACTGAGAATGATGATTTCCAATTTCATCCATGTCCCTACAAAGGACATGAACACATCATTTTTATGGCTGCATAGTATTCCATGGTGTATATGTGCCACATTTTCTTAATCCAGTCTATCATTGTTGGACATTTGGGTTGGTTCCAAGTCTTTGCTATTGTGGATAGTGCTGCAATAAACATATGTGTGCATGTGTCTTTATAGCAGCATGATTTATAGTCCTTTGGGTATATACCCAGTAATGGGATGGCTGGGTCAAATGGTATTTCTAGTTCTAGATCCCTGAGGAATTGCCACACTGACTTCCACAATGGTTGAACTAGTTTACAGTCCCACCAACAGTGTAAAAGTGTTCCTATTTCTCCACATCCTCTCCAGCACCTGTTGTTTCCTGACTTTTTAATGATCGCCATTCTAACTGGTGTGAGATGGTATCTCATTGTGGTTTTGATTTGCATTTCTCTGATGGCCAGTGATGATGAGCATTTTTTCATGTGTCTTTTGGCTACATAAATGTCTTCTTTTGAGAAGTGTCTGTTCATATCCTTCGCCCACTTTCTGATGGGGTTGTTTGTTTTTTTCTTGTAAATTTGTTTGAGTTCATTGTAGATTCTGGATATTAGCCCTTTGTCAGATGAGTAGGTTGCGAAAATTTTCTCCCATTTTGTAGGTTGCCTGTTCACTCTGATGGTAGTTTCTTTTGCTGTGCAGAAGCTGTTTAGTTTAATTGTATCCCATTTGTCAATTTTGGCTTTTGTTGCTATTGCTTTTGGTGTTTTAGACATGAAGTCCTTGCCCATGCCTATGTCCTGAATGGTAATGCCTAGGTTTTCTTGTAGGGTTTTTATGGTTTTAGGTCTAACATTTAAGTCTTTAATCCATCTTGAATTAATTTTTTGTATAAGGTGTAAGGAAGGGATCCAGTTTCAGCTTTCTCCATATGGCTAGCCAGTTTTCCCAGCACCATTTATTAAATAGGGAATCCTTTCCCCATTGCTTGTTTTTCTCAGGTTTGTCAAAGATCAGATAGTTGTAGATATGCGGCATTATTTCTGAGGGCTCTGTTCTGTTCCATTGATCTATATCTCTGTTTTGGTACCAGTACCATGCTGTTTTGGTTACTGTAGCCTTGTAGTATAGTTTGAAGTCAGGTAGCGTGATGCCTCCAGCTTTGTTCTTTTGGCTTAGGATTGACTTGGCGATGCAGGCTCTTTTTTGGTTCCATATGAACTTTAAAGTAGTTTTTTTCCAATTCTGTGAAGAAAGTTATTGGTAGCTTGAAGGGGATGGCATTGAATCTATAAGTTACCTTGGGCAGTATGGCCATTTTCACGATATTGATTCTTCCTACCCATGAGCATGGAATGTTCTTCCATTTGTTTGTATCCTCATTTATTTCATTGAGCAGTGGTTTGTAGTTCTCCTTGAAGAGGTCCTTCACATCCCTTCTAAGTTGGAATCCTAGGTATTTTATTCTCTTTGAAGCAATTGTGAATGGGAGTTCACTCATGATTTGGCTCTCTGTTTGTCCATTATTGGTGTATAAGAATGCTTGTGATTTTTGTACATTGATTTTGTATCCTGAGACTTTGCTGAAGTTGCTTATCAGCTTAAGGAGATTTTGGGCTGAGGCAATGGGGTTTTCTAGATATACAATCATGTCATCTGCAAACAGGGACAATTTGACTTCCTGTTTTCCTAATTGAATACCCTTTATTTCCTTGTTCTGCCTAATTGCCCTGGCCAGAACTTCCAACACTATGTTGAATAGGAGTGGTGAGAGAGGGCATCCCTGTCTTGTGCCAGTTTTCAAAGGGAATGCTTCCAGTTTTTGCCCATTCAGTGTGATATCGGCTGTGGGTTTGTCATAGATAGCTCTTATTATTTTGAGATACGTCCCATCAGTACCTAATTTCTTGAGAGTTTTTAGCATGAAGAGTTGTTGAATTTTGTCAAAGGCCTTTTCTGCATCTATTGAGATAATCATGTTGTTTTTGTCTTTGGTTCTGTTTATATGCTGGATTACATTTATTGATTTGCGTATATTGAACCAGCCTTGCATCCCAGGGATGAAGCCCACTTGATCATGGTGGATAAGCTTTTTGATGTGCTGCTGGATTTGGTTTGGCAGTATTTGATTGAGGATTTTTGCATCAATGTTCATCAAGGATATTGGTCTAAAATTCTCTTTTTTGGTTGTGTCTCTGCCCAGCTTTGGTATCAGGATGATGCTGGCCTCATAAAATGAGTTAGGGAGGATTCCCTCTTTTTCTATTGATTGGAATAGTTTCAGAAGGAATGGTACCAGTTCCTCCTTGTACCTCTGGTAGAATTCGGCTGTGAATCCATCTGGTCCTGGACTCTTTTTGATTGGTAAGCTATTGATTATTGCCACAATTTCAGCTCCTGTTATTGGTCTATTCAGAGATTCAACTTCTTCCTGGTTTAGTCTTGGGAGGGTGTACGTGTCGAGGAATTTATCCATTTCTTCTAGATTTTCTAGTTTATTTGCATAGAGGTGTTTGTAGTATTCTCTCATGATAGTTTGTATTTCTGTGGAATCGGTGGTGATATCCCCTTTATCGTTTTTTATTGCATCTATTTGATTCTTCTCTCTTTTTTTCTTTATTAGTCTTGGTAGTGATCTATCAGTTTTGTTGATCCTTTCAAAAAACCAGCTCCTGGATTGATTAATTTTTTGAAGGGTTTTTTGTGTCTCTGTTTCCTTCAGTTCTGCTCTGATTTTAGTTATTTCTTGCCTTCTGCTAGCTTTTGAATGTGTTTGCTTTTGCTTTTCTAGTTCTTTTAATTGTGATGTTAGGGTGTCAATTTTGGATCCTTCCTGCTTTCTGTTGTGGGCATTTAGTGCTATAAATTTCCCTCTACACACTGCTTTGAATGCGTCCCAGAGATTCTGGTATGTTGTGTCTTTGTTCTGGTTGGTTTCAAAGAACATCTTTATTTCTGCCTTCATTTCGTTATGTACCCTGTAGTCATTCAGGAGCAGGTTGTTCAGTTTCCATGTAGTTGAGTGGTTTTGAGTGAGTTTCTTAATCTTGAGTTCTAGTTTGATTGCACTGTGGTCTGAGAGACAGCTTGTTATAATTTCTGTTCTTTTACATTTGCTGAGGAGAGCTTTACTTCCCAGTATGTGGTCCATTTTGGAATAGGTGTGGTGTGGTGCTGAAAAAAATGTATATTCTGTTGATTTGTGGTGGAGTGTTCTGTAGATGTCTATTAGGTCCACTTGGTGCAGAGCTGAGTTCAATTCCTGTGTATCCTTGTTAACTTTGTCTCGCTGATCTGTCTAATGTTGACAGTGGGGTGTTAACATCTCCCATTACTATTGTGTGGGAGTCTAAGTCTCTTTGTATGTCACTCAGGACTTGCTTTATGAATCTGGGTGCTCCTGTATTGGGGGCATATATATTTAGGATAGTTAGCTCTTCTTGTTGAATTGATCCCTTTACCATTATGCAATGGCCTTCTTTGTCTCTTTTGATCTTTGTTGGTTTAAAGTCTGTTTTATCAGAGACTAGGATTGCAACCCCTGCCTTTTTTTGTTTTCCATTTGCTTGGTAGATCTTCCTCCATCCTTTTATTTTGAACCCATGTGTGTCTCTGCATGTGAGATGGGTTTCCTGAATACAGCACACTGATGGGTCTTGACTCTTTATCCAATTTGCCAGTCTGTGTCTTTTAATTGGAGCATTTAGTCCATTTGCATTTAAAGTTAATATTGTTGTGTTTGAATTTGATCCTGTCATTATGACGTTAGCTGGTGATTTTGCTCATTAGTTGATGCAGTTTCTTCCTAGTCTCGATGTTCTTTACATTTTGGCATGATTTTGCAGCGGCTGGTACCGGTTGTTCCTTTCCATGTTTAGTGCTTCCTTCAGGAGCTCTTTTAGGGCAGGCCTGGTGGTGACAAAATCTCTCAGCATTTGCTTGTCTTTAAAGTATTTTATTTCTCCTTCACTTCTGAAGCTTAGTTTGGCTGGATATGAAATTCTGGGTTGAAAATTCTTTTCTTTAAGAATGTTGAATATTGGCCCCCACTCTCTTCTGGCTTGTAGAGTTTCCGCCGAGAGATCCGCTGTTAGTCTGATGGGCTTCCCTTTGTGGGTAACCCGACCTTTCTCTCTGGCTGCCCTTAACATTTTTTCCTTCATTTCAACTTTGGTGAGTCTGACAATTACGTGTCTTGGAGTTGCTCTTCTCGAGGAGTATCTTTGTGGCATTCTCTGTATTTCCTGAATCTGAATGTTGGCTTGCCTTGCTAGATTGGGGAAGTTCTCCTGGATAATATCCTGCAGAGTGTTTTCCAACTTGGTTCCATTCTTCCCGTCACTTTCAGGTACAGCAATCACGTAGATTTGGTCTTTTCACATAGTGCCATATTTCTTGGAGGCTTTGTTCATTTCTTTTTATTCTTTTTTCTGTAAACTTCTCATCTTGCTTCATTTCATTCATTTCATCTTCCATCACTGATACCCTTTCTTCCAGTTGATCGCATCGGCTCCTGAGGCTTCTGCATTCTTCACAGTTCTCGAGCCTTGGCTTTCAGCTCCATCAGCTCCTTTAAGCACTTCTCTATTGGTTATTCTAGTTATACATTCGTCTAAGTTTTTAATCAAAGTTTTTAACTTTTTTGCCTTTGGTTTGAATTTCCTCCTGTAGCTCGGAGTAGTTTGATCGTCTGAAGCCTTCTTCTCTGAACTCTTCAAAGTCATTCTCCATCCAGCTTTGTTCCGTTGCTGGTGAGGAACTGCGTTCTTTTGGAGGAGGAGAGGCGCTCTGCTTTTTAGAGTTTCCAGTTTTTCTGCTCTGTTTTTTCCCCATCTTTGTGGTTTTATCTACTTTTGGTCTTTGATGATGGCGATGTACAGATGGGATTTTGGTGTGGATGTCCTTTCTGTTTGTTAGTTTTCCTTCTACCATACAGGACCCTCAGCTGCAGGTCTGTTGGAGTTTGCTAGAGGTGCACTCCAGACCCTGTTTGCCTTGGTACCAGCAGCGGTGGCTGCAGAACAGCAGTTTTTCATGAACCACGAATGCTGCTGTCTGATCGTTCCTCTGGAAGTTTTGTCTCAGAGGAGTACCCAGCCGTGTGAGGTGTCAGTCTGCCCCTACTGGGGGGTGCCTCCTAGTTAGGCTGCTTGGGGGTCAGGGGTCAGGGACCCACTTGAGGAGGCAGTCTGCCCCTTCTCATATCTCCAGCTGCGTGCTGGGAGAACCACTGCTCTCTTCAAAGCTGTCAGACAGGGACATTTAAGTCTGCAGAGGTTACTGCTGTCTTTTTGTTTGTCTGTGCCCTGCCCCCAGAGGTGGAGCCTACAGAGGCAGGCAGGCCTCCTTGAGCTGTGGTGGGCTCCACCCAGTTCGAGCTTCCCGGCTGCTTTGTTTCCCTAAGCAAGCCTGGGCAATGGCGAGCGCCCCTCCCCCAGCCTCGCTGCCACCTTGCAGTTTGATCTCAGAGTGCTGTGCTAGCAATCAGCAAGACTCCGTGGGCGTAGGACCCTCCGAGCCAAGTGCGGGATATAATCTCCTGGTGTGCCGTTTTTTAAGCCCGTCGGAAAAGGGCAGTATTAGGGTGGGAGTGACCCAATTTTCCAAGTGCCGTCTGTCACCCCTTTCTTTGACTAGGAAGGGGAACTCCCTGACCCCTCGCGCTTCCTGAGTGAGGCAATGCCTCGCCGTGCTTCGGCTAGCGCACGGTGCGCTGCACGCACTGTCCTGCGCCCACTGTCTGGCACTCCCTAGTGAGATGAACCCGGTACCTCAGATGGAAATGCAGAAATCACCCCTCTTCTGCGTCGCTTACGCTGGGAGCTGTAGACCGGAGCTGTTCCTATTTGGCCATCTTCTCCTTAAATACATTTTCTATGCCTTTTCCCATCTCTTCTCCTTTTTGAACTTCCATAATGTGAACATTTGTTCACTTTATGGTATCCCATAAGTCCTGTAGGCTTTCTTCTTTCTTTAATTTCTTTTCTTTTCTTCTCCTTTTTTTTTGGTCTGCCTGGGTTATTTCAAAAGATCTGTCTTCACATTCAGACATTGTTTTTCTGCTTCATCTAGTCTGTCGTTAACAAATTCAGTTGCATTTTTATTTCATTCATTGAATTCTTCATTTCCAAGATTTTTTTAATGAAATCTAAATCATTGTTGAATGTTTCCTTCAGATCATGTATTGTTTTCCTGATTTTATTGAATTTCCTGTTTGATTACTTTATATCTCACTGAGTTTCCTTAAGATCATTATTTTTGAATTTGAGGGACAGAGAGCTAGCAAACAAGCACATTCACATTACTTTATTACAGTAATTGCTATAATTGTTATTTTTATTAGTTATTGTTAATCTCTTACTGTGCCTAATTTATAAATTAAACTTTATTATATGTACGTAGGTGTAGGAAAAAACATAGTGTATACAGGGTTCAGTACCATTGCGGTTTCAGGCATCCACTGGGAGTCTTGGAACGTATCTCTGTGGATAAGAGTGGTCTACTGTACTCTTGGTTTATGTTCTGGGAGGTAAACTGCTCACTTATGACCACATCCAAGTGCATACACTCCATTTTGGAACCCTCTAGCACACAGCCATGCGTACAGGTTGGTGCAAAAGTAATTGGCATTGAAAGAAATGGCCAAAACCGCAATTACTTTTGCATCAACCTAGAGATGTACTACTTTTCTATTGTTGCATAACTCGTTAACATTAATAACTGATTCATTATTTCCCAATTCTATAAGTCAGAAGTCTGGGTGGGCTTGGCTGATTTTTCTGCCCTGGATCTCACAAGGCTGAAGGTAAGGTGCTGGCTGGGCTCTTAATCTGGAGATCTGGAAAGATTGACTTCCTAGTTCATTGAGGCTGTTGGAAGAATTCAGTTTCATATGGTTATGAGACTGAGGTCCCCCCTGCCTTGCTGGTTGTCCTTGTCCCTTGCATGTGGTCCCCTCCACCTTCAAAACCACCAACCGTGTGTTGAGTCCTTCTTGTGTTTTGAATCTCTCTGACTTTCTCTTCTGCCACCAGCCAGGGAAAACTCTGCTTTTGAATCGGGTTCACATCTCCGTATTTTAAGGTCAACTGACTCAAGACTTTAATTTCATCTGCAAAATACCCCTAGATTAGTGTTTGAATAATCAAGGGATAGGAATCTTGGATGGGACCATTTTCAGAATTCTGACTACCACAGTGAGTGTTGTATAAATTTTTTTTTGATGTTTAATCAAGGAGAGAATTGGAAAAAAGTACTAAAAGAAGTCTCAAATTAATTTTTACACTGTTAAATTCAGGATTCTTTCTATATGATATCACTGTTAATGCTGGTTATACCACCCATTGTTGTAAAGAAACCCACAAGCTAACAGAGAAAAGGAAAACAAAACAGTAATTATGCTGATGTTGTTGCCTTTTTTATTTTTGGAAGGAAGGAAAATTTGCTGATCCGAGCCAAGTTTTTCCCCTCAATGGCTGGCGCTGCTCAGTAACATTGCAAGTGTTATTCATATATTGTGTTTATTTTTTTCAGGGGCCTGGGCAACAAAGTTACTTACTTTTTTAAAAAAGAAAAATGGACTTAAACATGTGGAAAAGTTCAAAAGAAGAAGCTTAGTATGACTGATATAAAATAGTTGTAAAAAGTGACCAATCTCATTATAATGTTGTGATTTCTAGGCTGCGTTGAGTTTTGTTAGTTGCCTAACACTGTATAATTATAAGTATAGCTAGAAAAGTGGGTGTCCTTCAAAACTTTGGGACAGTTGGTTGGGATTTTGTAGGCAATCCAGTGTTGAAAGGTTTGCTTCATCATTTTGTGGTGTTATCTTTGGGTTGAGAAACAAAGATCATTTAAAAAGAAAAGTTCAGATGGTCCTGCTGGGTTCTGCTGTGCTGTGGCTTATAGCCTACTTGCTGGAAGTACCATTCAGTTCTCAATACTAAGAATCAACTTTAAGTAACTTTTAAACTTAAAAGTTAAATATTTTTTGGTATGTCGTCTTTGAGTGAGAAGACCAGGGTGGGATTTTTTCCATATCAGACAAACAACAATAGGGGTCCTGGCTGGCAAAAGGATACACATCATTGCGTCAGATGATTTGTCTCCAGGAAAATAAGTTCAAAGCAAAGCATCAAATGCTGTCTGAATGTGAGTCTAACCAACTGGGACTGGTAAGAGGCACCAACTCTGTGTGCTGCCCTTGACAGCCCACATGGGCTCCCTTCTGTGCTGTGAACTGTAAAGTGTGACCAGGGAACTGGGAAGAGTCTTGGAAATACATCAATGCTGCCTGAACCCACTTAGGCTCATGGAAGTGGAAAGGACACAGTAAAAGAGAAAGAGAAGCTCAGGGATTGCCAAGTAACAGATATTGAGTCAGCAATGATGGGTCTCAAGTCTTAGCTTGATTGAGACTTGGGCAAGCCATTGTGAGACTTAGGGCAAGTTGCCTCGCCTCATCTCTGTGAGTCTGGTGTCCTCATCTGCAAAATGGAGATAATATCTGTCATTTAGAGCAACATGGGTGAATCTGGAGACATTATATTGAGTGAAATAAGCCAGGCACATAAGGAAAAATACTGCATGATTTCAGTCATATATGGAATGTAAAAAGTTGTTCTCATAGAAGTAGAGGGAGAATAGTGGTTACCAGAGGATGGGAGGGTACAGGGGAAGGAGGAGTGGGGAGAGATTGGTTGATAGGTACGAACTACAGTTAGGAAGAATAAATGCTTGTGTTCCATTGCATAGTAGGATGATTAGAATTAAGAATGACATATTCTATATTTCAAAGTAGCTGGAAGAGAGGTTTTGAAAGTTCTTATCACAAAGAAATGATGAATGTTTGAGGTGATGGATATGGTAATTATGCTGATTTTGTCATTACACAGTGTATGCATGTGTCAAAACATCACATCATATTGTGTAAATATGTACAATTATGATGTGTCAATTGTACATTTAAAAAATTGAAACAAAAAATGGAGATGATAATAATAGAAGTACTGCCTAGGTCTTTGGATGTTTCTATGAAGTGATACATAAAAAGCATGTAGCAGGTTCTCTTGGAGGTGGCTGGCAAGATGGCCAAATACAAACAACTCCAGTCTGCAGCCCCCAGCGAGATCAACGTAGAAGGCGGGTGATTTCTGCATTTCCAACTGAGGTACCAAGTCATCTCATTGGGACTGGTTGGACAGTGGGTGCAGCCCGTGGAGGGTGAGCTGAAGCAGAGTAGGGCTTTGCCTCACCTGGGAAGTGCAAGGGGTTGGGGAGCTCCCTCCCCTAGCCAAGGGAAGCCATGAGGGACTGTGCCGTGAGGAATGGTGCATTCCAGCCAGATACTATGCTTTTCCCACAGTCTTTGCGACCTGCAGACCAGGAGATTCCCTCGGGTGCCTAGGCCACCAGGGCCCTGGGTTTCAAGCACAAAATGGGGCAGCCGTTTGGTCAGACACTGAGCTAGCTGCAGTTTTTTTCATGTCCCCGTGGCGCCTGGAATGCCAGCAAGACAGAACCGTTTCCCCCCTCTGGAAAGTGGGCTGAAGTCAGGGAGCCAAGTGGTCTAGCTCAGCAGATCCCACCCCCACGGAGTCCAGCAAGCTAAGGTCCACTGGATTGAAATTCTTGCTGCTAGCACAGCAGTCTGAAGTCTACCTGGGATGCTCAAGCTTGGTGGGGGGAGGTGCGTCTGCCATTACTGAGGCTTGAGTAGGTGGTTTACCCCTCACAGTGTAAACAAAGCTGCTGGGAAGTTCGAACTGGGTGGAGCCCACTGCAGCTCAGCAAAGCCACTGTAGCCGGACTGCCTCTCTTGCCTCCTTTCTGGGTACGACATCTCTGAAAGAAAGGCAGCAGCCCCGGTTAGGGGCTTATAGATCAAACTCCCATCTCCCTGGTAAAGAGCACCTGGGGGATGGGGTGGCTGTGGGTACAGCTTCAGCAGACTTAAATGTTCCCGCCTGCCGGCTCTTAAGAGAACAGCCCATCTCCCAGCACAGTGCTTGAGCTCTGCTAAGGGACAGACTGCCTCCTGAAGTGGGTCCCTGAACCCTATTCCCCCTGATTGGGAGACACCTCCCAGCAAGGGTCAATAGACACCTCATACAGGAGAGCTCTGACTGGCATCTGGTGGGTGCCCCTCTGGGACGAAGCTTGCAGAGGAAGGAACAGGCAGCAGTCTTTGCTGTTGTGCAGCCTCTGCTGGTGATACCCAGGCAAACAGGGTCTGGAGTGCACCTCCAGCAAACTCCAGCAGACCTTTTGCAGAGGGACCTGACTGTTAGAAGGAAAACCAACAGAAAGGAATAGCATCAATATCAACAAAAAGGATGTTCACACAAAAACCTCATCCGAATGTCTGTCACCAGCATCAAAGACCAAAGGTTGATAAATCCATGAAGATGAGGAAAAACCAGTGCAAAAAGGCTGAAAATTCCAAAAACCAGAATGCCTCTTCTCCTCCAAAGGATCACAACGCCTTGACAGCAAGGGAACAAAACTGGATGGAGAATGAGTTTGATGAACTGACAGAAGTAGGCTTCAGAAGGTGGGTAATGACAAACTCCTCTGAGCTAAAGGAGCATGTTCTAACCCGATACAAGGAAGCTAAGACCCTTGAAAAAAGGTTAGAGGAATTGCTAACTAGACTAACCAGTTTAGAGAATAACATAAATGACCTGATGGAGCTGAAAAACACAGCACGAGAACTTCATGAAGCATACACAAGTATCAATAGCCAAGCCGATCAAGCGGAAGAAAGGATATCAGAGATTGAAGATCAACTTAATGAGATAAAGTGTGAAGACAAGATTAGAGAAAAAAGAATGAAAAAGAAGGCAAAAAGCCTCCAAGAAATATGGGACTATGTGAAAAGACCAAACTTACTTTTGACTGATGTACCTGAAAGTGATGGGGAGAATGGAACCAAGTTGGAAAACACTCTTCAGGATATTATGCCGGAGAATTTCCCCAATCTAGCAAGACAGGCTAACATTCAAATTTAGGAAATACAGAGAACATCACAAAGATACTCCTCAAGAAGAGCAACCCCAAGACACACAAATGTCAAATTCACCAAGGTTGAAATGAAGGAAAAAATGTTAAGGGCAGCCAGAGAGAAAGGTTGGGTTACCCACAAAAGGAAGCCCATCAGAATAACAGCAGATCTCTCTGCAGAAACCCTATAAGCCAGAAGAGAGTGGGGGCCAATATTCAACATTCTTAAAGAAAAGAATTTTCAACCCAGAATTTCATATCCAGCCAAACTAAGCTTCATAAGTGAAGGAGAAATAAAATCCTTTACAGAGAAGCAAATGGTGAGAGATTTTGTCATCACCAGGCTTCCCTTCCACGAGCTCCTGAAGGAAGCACTAAATATGGAAAGGAGGAAAAACTGGTACCAGCCACTGGAAAAACATACCCAGTTGTAAAGACTATCAAGTCTATGAAGAAACTGCATCAATTAATGGGTAAAATAACCAGCTAGAATCATAATGAAAGGATCAAATTCCTACATAACAATAATAACCTTAAATGTAAATGGGCTAAATGCCCCAATTAAAAGACACAGACTGGCAAATTGGGTAGAGTCAAGACCCTTCAGTGTGCTGTATTCAAAGGCACCCATAGGCTCAAAATAAAGGGATGGAGGAATATTTACCAAGCAAATGGAAAGCATGAAAAAAGCAGAGGTTGCAATCCTAGTCTCTGATAAAACAGACTTTAAACCAACAAAGATCAAAAAAGACAAATAAGGGCATTACATAATGGTAAAGGGATCAATGCAACAAGAAGAGCTAAGTATCCTAAATATATATGCACCCAATACAGGAGCATTTAGATTCATAAAGCGAGTTCTTAGAGACCTACAAAGAGACTTAGACTCCCACACAATAATAATGAGAGACTTTAACATACCACTGTCAATATTAGATCAATGAGACAGAAAATTAACAAGGATATTCAGGACTTGAACTCAGTTCTGGAACAAGCAGACCTAATAGACATCTACAGAACTCTCCACCCCAAATAAACAGAATGTACATCCTTCTCAGCACCACATCACACTTATTCTAAAATTGACTATGTAATTGGAAGTAAAACACTCCTCAGCAAATGCAAAAGAACAGAAATCAGTTTCTCAGACCACAGTGCAATCAAATTAGAATTCAGGATTAAGAAACTCACTCAAAACCACACAACTACATGGAAACTGAATAACCTGCTCCTGAATGACTACTGGGTAAATAACGAAATCAAGGCAGAAATATATAAGTTCTTTGAAACCAATAAGAACAAAGACACATCGTACCAGAATCTCTGGGACACATTTAAAGCAGTGTGTAGAGGGAAATTTATAGCACTAAATGCCCACAGGAGAAAGCAGGAAAGACCTAAAATCAACACCCTAACATCACAATAAAAAGAACTAGAGAAACAAGAGCAAACAAATTCAAAAGCTAGCAGAAGACAAGAAATAACTAAGATCAGAGCAGAACTGAAGGAGATAGAGATACGAAAACTCTTCAAAATAATCAGTGAATCCAGGAGCTGTTTTTTTAAAAGATTAACAAAATAGCTAGACCACTAGCCAGACTAATAAATAAGAAAAGAGAGAAGAATCGAGTAGACATAATAAAAAATAATAAAGGGGATATCACCGCTGATCCCACAGAAATATAAACTACCATCAGAGAATATTATAAACACCTCTACACAAATAAACTAGAAAATCTAGAAGAAATGCATAAACTCCTGGACACATACACCCTCACAAGACTAAACCAGGAAGAAGTCGAATCCCTAAACAGAGTAGTAACAAGTTCTGAAATTGAGGCAGTAATAGACTACCAACGAAAAAAAGTCCTGGACCAGATGAATTCACAGCTGAATTCTACCAGAGGTACAAAGAGGAGTTGGTACCATTCCTTCTGAAATAACTCCAAATGATAGAAAAAAAGGGACTCCTCCCTAACATATTTTGTGAGGCCAGCATCATCCTGATACCAAAACCTGGCAGAGACACAAGAAAAAAAGAAAATTTCAGGCCAGTATCCCTGATGAACATCGATGCAAAAATCCTCAATAAAATACTGGCAAACCAAATCCAGCAGTACATCAAAAAGCTTGTCCAACACGATCAAGTTGGCTTCATCCCTGGGATGCAAGGCTGGTTCAACATACACAAATCAATAAATGTAATCCATCACATAAACAGAACCAATGACAAAAACCACATGATTATCTCATAGATGCAGAAAAGGCCTTCGATAAAATTCAACACCCCTTCATGCTAAAAACTTTCAATAAACTAGGTGTTGATGGAATGTATCTCAAAGTAATAAGAGCTATTTATGACAAACCACAGCCAATATCATACTGAATGGGCAAAAACTGGAAGCATTCCCTTTGAAAACCAACACAACCCTCTCTCACCACTCCTATTCAACATAGTATTGGAAGTTCTGGCTAGGGCAGTCAGGCAAGAGAAAGAAATAAAGGGTATTCAAATAGGAAGAGAAGAAGTCAAATTGTGTCTGTTTGCAGATGACATGATTGTATATTTAGAAAACCCCATCATCTCAGCCCAAAATCTCCTTAAGCTGATAAGCAACTTCAGCAAAGTCTCAGGATACAAAATCAATGTGCAAAAATCATAAACATTTCTGTACACCAATAATAGATAAACAGAGAGCCAAATCATGAGTGAACTCCCATTCACAATTGCTACAAAGAGAATAAAACACCTAGGTATACGACTTATAAGGGATATGAAAGACCTCTTCAAGGAGAACTACAAACCACTGCTCAAGGAAATAAAAGAGGACACAAATAGAAAAACATTCCTTGCTCATGGATAGGAAGAATCAGTATCGTGAAAACGGCCATAATGCCCAAAGTAATTTATAGATTCAGCGCTGTCCCCATCAAGCTACCGTTGACTTTTTTCCTAGAATTAGAAAAAACTACTTTAAATTTTGTGTGGAACCAAAAAAGAGCCCGTATAGCCAAGTCAATCCTAAGCAAAAAGAATAAAGCTGGAGGCATCATGCTACCTTACTTCAAACTATACTACAAGACTACAGTAACCAAAACAGCATGGTACTGGTACCAAAACAGATATATAGACCAATGAAACAGAACAGAGGCCTCCGAAATAATGCCGCACATCTAGAACCATCTGATCTTTGACAAACCTGACAAAAATAAGCAATGGGGAAAGGATTCCCTATTTAATAAATGGTGTTGGGAAAACTTGCCAGCCATATGCAGAAAACTGAAACTGGATCCCTTCCTTACACCTTATAAAAAAATTAACTCAGGATGGATTAAAGACTTAAACAGAAAACCTAAAACCATAAAAACCCTAGAAGAAAACCTAGGCAATACCATTCAGGACATAGGCATGGGCAAAGACGTCATGACTAAAACACCAGAAGCAATGGCAACAAAAGCCAAAATTGAGAAATGAGATCTAATTAAACTAAACAGCTTCTGCACAGCAAAAGAAACTACCATCAGAGTGAACAGGCAACCTACAGAATGGGAGAAAAGTTTTGTAATGTATCCATCTGACAAAGGACTAATATCCAGAATCTACAAGGAACATAAACAAATTTACAAGGAAGAAACAAACAACCCCATTAAAAAGTGGATGAAGGAAATCAACAGACACTTCTCAAAAGAAGACATTTATGCGGCCAACAAACATATGAAAAAAAGCTCATCATCACTGATCATTAGAGAAATGCAAATCAGAACCACAATGAGATACCATCTCACCCCATGACGATGGTGCCATTTAGAATGGCGATTATTAAAAAGTCGGGAAACAACAGATGCTGGAGAGGATATGGAGAAATAGGAATGCTTTTACACTATTGGTAGGAGTGTAAATTAGTTCAACCATTGTGGAAGACAGTGTGGTTATTCCTCAGGGATCTAGAACCAGAAATACCATTTGACCCAGCCATCCCATTACTGGGTATATACCCAAAGGATTATGAATCATTCTACTATACAGACATATGCACGCATATGTTTATTGCAGCACTATTCACAATAGCAAAGACTTGGAACCAACCCAAATGCCCATCAGTGATGGACAGGATAAAGAAAATGTAGCACATATACACCATGGAATACTATGCAGCCATTAAAAAGGATGAGTTCATGTCCTTTGCGGGGACATGGTTGAAGCTGGAAACCATCATTCTCAGCAAACTAACACGGGAACTGAAAACCAAACACTGCATGTTCTCACTCATCAGTGGGAGCTGAACAATGAGAACACATGGACACAGGGAGGGGAACATCACATACCGGGGCCTGTCAGGGGGTGGGGGCCTAGGGGAGGGATTTCATTAGGAGAAATACCTAATGTAGATGATGGGTTGATGGGTGCAGCAAACCACTATGGCACGTGTGTACCTGTGTAACAAACCTTCATGTTCTGCACATGTATCCCAGAACTTAAAGTATAATAATAACTTTAAAAAGCATATAGTAGACCACCTGGCATGCAAGTACTTAGCAAATTTTGGCTATAATTGAAGAAGGAGCTTCATTAAAAAAGGAAGAAGGAAAGATTAAGAGAGAGAGAAATAAGAGAAAGAAGGGGAAGAGGGAAAATGAGACCATCAGGAACAAACAGAAGAAGGAGGCTGGTCTAGGTCCCAGGATTCCATGCACTTAGAAAAATAAGGCAAGTTTGAATTGAACTTTTTCATTTTTCAAGTGAAGTTGAGTTCTCGGATATACACTCTGCTGCATACTTCCCTCCACAATGCTGAGTTTTAATATCATTTGGTTGAAGCTTTGAGATACTGGGCCGAAATAGCTTCCAGAATGCCTCTGTAATCCAGTGGTGATATTAGTGAGGCCTAGGAAATCATTTTATAGCCACTAGTCTTTTTATTTGTAAATTTATTCTACACTGAAGGTGTTAGCATCAAACTTTTCACCCTGACTGAGCACAGACTCTTGGGAGAACTGAAATCTAAGTAAGAGATTACCTTGCACATTGCGTCAAGTCAGGGATGAATGAAGCAACTTAGGCGACAGAAATTATCCTGGTGGAGCCTGAGACCTGAGACTAAAGGCTGAGGGTGTGCTTTGGTCTCACCACCAAGCTTTGCTGGTGAATTCTCTACCACCATAGCTGTCCCTTTTGTGAGTTGCAAAGGAAAGAATGTTCTCTGTGTGCAACAAATAGTCCTGATTTAATCTGGGGCAGAAAATCCCCTAGCTTTGCCAGTGATCTGCTTGTTGGAGAATAAAATAATTGAATTATCTCCCTGGGCAAAAGCAAATGGCATGGAAAGTCTCAATTGCAGCAAGAGGAAAAATAAGAATAAGGGACTGTTTTGCTTTGTTTTATTTTGAGCTTTTGGTACTGAATTCCATTTATTTAGAACAAATGAAGAAATCTTCTTTTAAGAAAGTTAGTCAACATACTTGGGAGGTCTCATCAGTTTCTTTGGGTTCTTCTTGGGATGATGGGAGAGCTGCTGAAGTTCCCTTCCCCCAAGATCAACTATTAGTCTCTGCCTATAATGCTGTCTACAATCAGCCTTGCCCTAAGAGTCAAACTGCTTGCCAAGTTATGCGTCCCTCTCCCAGCTTTATTGAGACATAATTGACAAATAAACAAATAAACATTGTATATATTTAAGGTATACAAAGTGATGTTTTGATATACATATACATTACAAATAACATATCCATCTTCTCACATGGTTACCATTTGTGTGTGTGTGTGTGTGTGTGTGTGTGACAGAGAGAGAGGAAAACACTGAAGATCTACTCTCAACAAATTTCAGGTATTCAGTGCATTAGTATTAACTATTATTGCCATGCTGTAAATTAGGTCTGCAGAACTCACTCATCATATAACTGTAAGTGTGTATCCTTTGACCAACATCTCCCCCTTTTCTCCACTCTCAGCCCCTGGCAACCATCATTCTGTGTTACTGTAAGTTTGATTTTTTTTTTTTTTTTTAGATTTCACATATAAGTGAGATCATGCAGTATTTGTCTTTCTGTGCCTGGCTTGTGAAACTTAGCATAATGTCCTCCTGGTTCGTCCGTGTTATCTCAAATGGTAGCATTTCCTTCTTTTTAAAGGCTGAATAATATTCATATATATGAATATTATATTAATTATATTAATATATAATATTCCTGCGTGTGTGTGTGTATATATATATATCACATATATCACATTTTTTTTATCCATTCACCTGCCAATGCACATTTAGGTTGTTTTCATATCTTGGCCACTGTGAATAATGCTGCAATGATTGTGGGTGTGCAGCTGTCTCTTTGAGATAGTGATTTACTCCCTTTTGATATACACCCAGAAATGAGATTGCTGGATCATATGGTAGTTCTAGTTCTGTTTTTTTGAGGAACCACCACACTGTTTTCCATAGTGGCTGTACTAACTTACATTCCCACCAACAGTATACAAGGGTCCCTTTTCTCCCCCTCCATGCCAACACTTGTTACCTTTTGACTTTTTGATAATAGCCATTCTAACGGGTATGAGATGTTACTTCTTTGTGGTTTTGATTTGCATTTCCCTGGTGATTAGTGATGTTGATCACCTTTCCATATACCTGATGACCATTTGTATGTGTTCTTTGTTCAAACGTCTGTTCAGGTCATTTGCCCATTTTTAAACTAGGTTGTTTGTTTTCTTGCTATTGAGTTGATATGAGTTTCTTATCTATCTTGGGTATTAACCCCTTATTGAATATATGGTTTACAAATAATTTTGTATGGATTTGAAGGCAGTTTCACAAATTTCTAAGACATCAATAACTTTATTTTATGTTAAAGATCCAAGTGGTTAGTGTGATAGACCATGGACACCTGTTCCATATCTGGTTGTAAAGAAACAGTAGATACCATGGTAGTTTCATGGCTGGATACCCTCATCAGTGGGTGGAGAGAGGAGGCTTGGGCTTTGTAGGGAAGGTCAGCAGAGACCAGCCTAAGGCATGACTCATACTAGTCACTGTGGAGATATTTGTTGACCAGTAAATACTATCAAGATAACTTGGGCTTGTGGGAATGATACCAACAGATAATTCTCATGGGGTATTAGCTCATATGTAAAGTGATGAGATGGGTATCTGGCATAGAGTACCTATAACCTAAGAGGAAAGAACTATCCTTTTTTTTTTTCAGATGGGGTAAATGAGGCCCATAATGAATTAGCAGCTTGGCCAAGGTCGTTGCGGGAAAACTTAGTAAGTCGCCAAGCAGTGATTGGAAGCCATGCATTGCGAATCTAGGACATGGATATTTATCCTCCGGAGCAGACTGCCTCCCGTTACAGTGTATTTAAAACTTAACAGTCATCACTTCCTCCACCCCAGCCTGCTTCTCTTCTTGTGTTTCCCCAAGAACAGCCCCAGCACCCACTCATTGACACAAACCAGAAATTTGGGGAGCATCTTTGACTTGCCATCTCCCTGGGCCCCCACATTAATCATTCCCAGAGTTTTCTCCATTGTCAAATCCCCATTCTCTCCTCACCTGTCCATTTCTCTCCACCTCCAAGTCTGCTATCTTGATTTAAGTCATCATGATCTCCTCCCTGAATCTCTGCCTCCCTCTCCTGGCTTGTCCTCTGGCTCCAGGTGTCTGTCTTCCAACCACATCTTCACACGGAGATCAGATTTCTCCTAGAGAAATTTTTGGACTTCACATTTGACCCTCTCTGAGGTTAAAACTCCTTGGTGGATCCTCAGTCCATGGCTGGAGCAGTTTTTCCCGTGGTGTACCCTCTTGTACTTGATCATTTATGGGTGGTAGAGAGGAGTTAGGGCAGGATATTCACTTGGGATATTGAACTAACAGTTGCTTTCTTTCAATTAACCCCTCTGACAACCTCAGGAGGAAAGTCTTAATTCACTATTAATATGTCTTCAACATTTTCCTCATTTTTGCTTATCTCCATTTTTAACCAAGACAGAGCAGGCAACTATAGTTAGCTAGAATGCCACTACTTATTTTTATTCTATTTTTATGATTTCTTTTTACTTTATGGCTCATGATACAAGTTTTCCATTTTCTGGGAATGCTACAAAGTTATCTTTTAGAAGGAGTATATTTAAATTTAAAAATAACAGCATAATAAAAAATTTAATTAATGACTAGAGCAAGTGATATAATACAGTAGCCCTCTTTGTATCTGCAGTTTCAGTTATCTGAGGTGAACCATGGTCTGAAAATATTACATGGCAAATTCCAGAAATAATTCATAAGTTTAAAACTGCAGCCAGGCGCAGTGGCTCACACCTGTAATTCCAGCAGTTTGAGAGGCCAAGGCGGGAAGATCATGAGGTCAGGAGATTGAGACCATCCTCGCTAACACGGTGAAACCCTGTCTCTACTAAAAATACAAAAAATTAGCCAGGTGTGGTGGCAGGCGCCTGTAGTCCCAGCTATTAGGGAGGCTGAGGCAGGAGAATGGTGTGAACCTGGGAGGCGGAGCTTGCAGTGAGCCAAGATTGCACCACTGCACTCCAGCCTGGGCAACAGAGCGAGACTCTGTCTCAAAAAAATATATATATAAATATGTGTGTGTATATATATATATATATATTGCTTGTCATTCTGAGCAGTGTGATGAATCTCGCATCTTCAATGTGCATCTTCCCTTTGTCAGGTGTATCCACGCTGTCTACACTACTCACCCATTAGTCAGGCGGCTCAATTATCAGATCTGCTGTTGTGGTATGGCAGTGCTTATGTTCAGATAACCCTTATTTTACTTAATAATGCTTTTCTAATAATTACTTATTACTTATTGTTAATCTCTTACATTGCCTAATTTATAAATTAAACTTTATCATTGATATGTATATATATAAAAAACCCATCTCATATATAGGTGATATGATTTGGCTATATCCCCACCCAGATCTCACCTTGAATTGTAGTTACTGTAACTACATGTGTTACCATAACACATGTGTTGTGGGAGGGACCCAGTGGGAGGCAACTGAATCATGGAGCGGTTACCTCCATGCTGTTCTCTTGATAGTGAGTTTTCATGAGATCTGATGGTTTTATAAGAAGCTTTTCCCCCTTTGCTCGGCACTTCTCCTTCCTGCAGCCATGTGAAGAAGGACATGTTTGCTTCCCCTTCCACTGTGATTGTAAGTTTCCTGAGGCCTCTCCAGCCAAGCTGAACTGTGAGTCAATTAAACCTCTTTCCTTTATAAATTACCCAGTCTCAGGTATGTCTTTATTAGCAGCGTGAGAATGAACTAATACAATAGGGTTCAGTACTGTTCATGATTTCAGACATTGACTGGGAGTCTTGGGACATATCCCCTGAGAATGATGGAAGACTACTTCACAGCGAAAATTGATCATAGCAGAAGAAATATGGAAGTTTTGGAAACCGTAATTATAGGCCTTTCTGGAACCTGCTTCCTGCTTGTGTTGCCAGCCTTAACTCTTCCATATTTTCCTTATTTTAAATTGCTACTGAAAATGATGAAGTCCTGAGCTTGGCAGTGGCTCCCACCTTTTTCTCCCTCCCTTCTTGGAGACATCAGAAACCGATAGGAGAGAAGGCTACACATTAGTCTGTGTGTCCTGCAGCCATAGAAATGTCATGACAGACACAATTTTACTATACAGTTTCATGGAAAGAAGTTATTTAAGCACTTATCAAATATGTGGCCAAACACTTGAAAGCAAATGATTAAATGATGTATTTAAATATTTTATAGTAAAGCATGCTCAGTGGGCAGCTATTAGTCAAATTTTTACAGGTATTCATTTAAGCAAAATCATACCATCTTTTGAATCTGGGAAATCCAGCTCTACTTAGTAGCCTGTTTTACCCTTTTGGAGTTGATTCTGTAAAAATCCAGGAGAATTTCTTCTCCTCTCAATCTTTAGCCAAAATATGAGAATTGTAGGAAATTGCTCATCCCCAAACTCCATGTGCCTGCACATGCTCACACAAGTCGAATCTGTAATAGGACTTAAAACTCTCCTGTCCCAGCACTTTGGGAGTCTGAGGCAGGAGGCTCAATTGAGCCCAGGAGTTTGAGACCAGCCTGGGCAACATAGTGAGACCCTGTCTCTACAAAAAAAAAGAAGGAAAGAAAACTTCCTCCTGAATGCTAAAGGTGTGCTACAGGTGTTCCTCCTCAAATAATTGCACTGAAATCACTGACCCTCAGGATGTATTTCTTTGATTTTTCATCATGCCTTTTCCTGGGGGTCTGCAGGGAACATACCATTGTTGAGATGGTTGCTTGGTACAGAGCCATGTGGATCTGCAGCCCCTCACCCTACACCCCACAGTCGCAAGTTCTTTACTTCTTAGATCACTTCGTTGTGTTTTCTCCCCATATTTTACTGTCTTGGGTCATCACCAACGTGATTTTTAGTTCCCCTGTAGTAGTAAATACATGTTTCAGTTACTGAAATGAGGGTTTTATGATAAGAAAAATCATAAAAGCAGGGGTCACAAACAAGTTAAAGAATATAAAATATGTATGAAATTTTTAATTGAAAAATGGGCCTTTCTGTAATATAATGATAGTGGCTGGCCAACTTGGGCTGCCTTCCTCCTTCTAGAGATATTTCTATTTTATCTCCATTTGGGGGTTCTTTTGGTGGAAAACATGGGCTTGTATTTCCATTTACCACTCTGCTGGATGGTGTTAAATGCCTGGAAAGCCTGGGAAGACTCCAGAATCTGAAATGTATGAAAGCTGGGAGGGAACTCTTAGGGTCATCTGGTGGAAATTCCTTTGTGACAGATGGGGAAACAGAGGTCTAGAAAGTTGAAGATTCATCCAGAAAAAGAAAACAATCCATAGAAGAATGTCCAAGCCTTCTCACTCATAGGCCTGAGGTTATTCCTCTCTATAATGACCACAGGAGTCCCTGGGTCCTGGGACACTCTCTGATTCTGTATGTCTTTGTCTCTGTTGGGGAGAACCAGCAAGGTTTGGAGATGCCTGCTTCCTGAGGGCCCTGAAATCCATGGAGATGGACTGACTGCCCTTCTGCTAGTGCTTCTAGGAAGGGGAATGTAGAGGTCAAACATGAAAGAGTGGCCTCTGGCTAGGCTGCCTCTAGATAATGAAACAGTAAGGACATTTGTTGAGAAGCCACACATGTATTTTGTCTTCCAAAGCTTTGGGACATTCATCAGCTTTCCTCAAACCTTCACTCCCCTCTGATGTTTCATTTGCACAGCCAAAGTGGAGTTGTGTTTCCAGTGTGTTCCTGGGATGCCTTCAGGATTTCTTGGAAACCTTAAGCAGATGGTTAAGTTGTGTGATCTCCATTTCCAGCCTCTGGAAAACCTGTGGCTAATATTCCACAATGGCCCTGGAATTTGGGGTGGCTTCTCAGTGACCTGGCTTCCGTGGCTTCTCTGGCAAAGATCAAAGACTTCAAAACAGTTGGAGCGTGTGAAATGATTGGTAACTGTGCTCGGTTCTTCCACAGCTATTTGTTCTTGCAAGCCCAGGCTTTACATCTTTTTCCAAAAAGTGTACACGGCCTTCATTCTCCAGAGCGGTTGAAAAGCTAATAGACATTCTCATTTTATTCCACCCCTGACTACAGGCAACTCTATCACTAGATGAGTTTGTCTGAATTCCATTTGCTTAGGCTTTATGAAGTGAATAAATTTGAATTAATGTGGAGCTTTCTGAGGAGGGGGAAGATATGCTTTGAGAGGTTAAGCAATGTCTGTGTTAGTTTATATAAATGAATCTTTATGGGTGCAAATGTGCTCACACCACGTTACCATATTGGCTCTATTAGTTTATACAGAAATTTCATTAAGTGATGTGAAAATATACATATGGGGATTTCTACAATGACTTCTTCCTTTTGAACAGCCAGATATTTACGTTCCTTTGGGTTTCATTGGCACACAAATGTATTTTCCCTCTTAAAGGTAACACTTGGAAGAAATATGCATCAAGAAATATGTCTATAACAACTCAAATTCCCAACAAATTACATTTGCTATATTTGGTAACTCTCTAACAGTGTTTCTTTCCATAATAATTGAAGCAGAATTGAGATGTCATAACCGAAACTGATACTGCAGACGCAGTTGTTACTTGGGAGCAGAGGAGGGGCAGTGAGAAGCATTTGGCTTTTCTGTAAGTTGAAATTTTTGTTGTTGTATTTTTATCTGTAAATGATTAGGAATGGAACTGTGGTGCGTAAACTCATGAATGTTAATATGGCTATAGCTTCTGCTTCCGTAACACTTAGTTATTCTATCCCTTATTACACTCTTACAGACGTTGATAGTTCAACAATTGGAGCTTTTAAACTAATGGAAGGCTTTCAACCAAGTAGAATGCCTTCATTACTAGCAAGCAGGGAGATCTGAATGTGAATTGAGGTGGTTTAAACCAATTTAAGGAAACATTTTTATAAAAGACTAATGCCCATAATTTATGTTTATTTTCTGTTTTCTGTGATTTGAATAAATTAGGGCAGGGATTTATATTATTTGTCTTCTTTTCACATGCCTCACCCAGTGCCCACCTGCATTAGTCCATGATAGCTCTGATAACAAACAAACCAGAAACCTCAGGGGATTCACACATTGAAGTTTATTTCTTGCTCATGTAAATGCCACTGGGTCTCGGAGCTCTCCAGGCAGTTCCTTTCCAACGAGTGACTCAGGGACCTAGGCACCTTTCATCCTGTAGCCATGTCATTTGGAAAATGTAGCTTCTGGAATTACTACAAGGGGAAGAGAGAATGTGGGAGACTCATAGCCCCCTCTCCTGTACTTTAGATAGGAAGTGACACACATCACTTCTGCTCACAACCCATTGGCCAAACCAGTCACATGCCCAACACCAATTACAAGGGATGCTGGGAAATGTAGCAGAGTGCATGGAACACTCTGTGAGCATTACTGTTCCCACCACCTTAACATGTCGCAGGGGCCTAGCAAATGCTAATTGAGAGAATGAATGAATGAATGAATGAGTGATGAATCCTTTTAAATGGCTTGGCATTGAGAGCATGCGATTGCTATTTTAAATTAATTGAAAAAGGATAGAAAATTGCTGGAGGAATATTAACCTTGAGGGCTTTTTGCATAAATTTGCACTTTTTGTATGCATTTGCTGTAAGAGCTTGTTGCGTAAGTCTAAATGCCACACAATGATTTTTTTTTGAGGTCTTGATGCACAGAGCCTAAAAAAATTTTGTTTTTGACCCTAAAGGCTTCTAAAGCAAACAGCATCTTGCAGTTGATTAGGTGGAAGTGTTTCTTAGCCTTTACGGGGTGCATGGTGGGAACAGACCTTGTTAAGGTTACATAGAAGGTTAACCTCCATTGACAAGACAAAATTGAAGTTGTTTTCTCTTGCCACAGAGCAGTTCCCCGATCTGTATTGTCAGCACAGAAGAGTTTATCCGTTTTCTCCAGAGCATTATCTCAAATGAAGTGTCAAGGCACTAAATGGATTTACCTTCTTGTATTATTTTTTATTTTGATGTTTAATTTTTTATCCTATTTATTTATTGTCATATGAAGTTAAAACAACAACCACAAAAATAAATAGGGAAGTCTGAGAGAGAAAAATATCACAGTCTCACCATCTTTCACCTTGTTTCTTAGTAGTTGTTGCAAAACCCATAAGGAATGTCATTGTGTTGTAATTTCTAATTTTTGTTTCCTTGACTTATGACTTCTCATTTCTGTAACTTATTGTAATTCAGATAATAGGTCAACTCATTCAAACATATTCAGAACACCTACTAAATACAAGACAATGTATGATATAGGTATATTGTAAATAAATGACTGCTTTTCTATAAGATATTGTTAAATTGAAGTTCTGGAAAGTTGCCCGGAGCAACTCACCTGGAGTAAGCACTGAAATTGTTCACATCAGGTTTCAAGCATAGATTCTGTCACCTCCTAGCTGTAGGACCTTCAGATGGTTATGTAATCATGTTGTGCTGCAGTTTCCTTATGGGGTGAGATGGGTAGGAGGGTTTGAGTAAGACCTCAAGAAACCCTAAGCAATGAAACACTACGGTACTCCCAGCATATCACCCTTAATGTAACTTTAAATAACATGGCCATTTTTTAAAAAGGACACAGGAACTACATAACATTTTTTTTCAGATTTTGGAAAATTCTAAATATGTCTAGAAAAACTTTTCTTTCTGTTCCATTCTCCTTCCTATTCTCCATGACCCCCTCCCCGCGGACTGTATCAGGTACAGCCTGTTGGAAATCCAGCACCGCACATTAGGCACACCAGTGGTAAGTTTACTTGTTGAGTTATCACCTTTTTTTTCCTTTTAATCAGAGAGGCAGCTCTGTGTTGAAGATGCTAGGTAGTGATGGAAAAGACATTAGGAAAATTTGTTACCGTGGTAACCGGGGATGGACATCATGACCTTTTGTGATATGCATGCTGTGGCCTTGGTAGTCTCTTCCCCTAATTAACATCCTGTGAGAAACGTGAGAGTAAATCACCGGGGCAACTGGACCACTGCGATATTAAGTGTGAGAACATTCTAAATGGCAATAATAATCATGATAATGAGGCCACATATTCTGTGTCTATCTTTTAATTGCTTCTTAACTCTTGTAACTGGAAATGGTGAAGTTATTATGATGTGGAAACTAGGAAGTGATTTATTTCTTACTTAAATTGGACTTTGTGCAGAAACCCTTTTTAGTCTGTTGTGAATTATGAGAGTATGAGAGTTCCTTTGAAGAAGAACCACCTAGGTAGATAATTTTTTTTTTTTTTTTGGGGGATGGAGTCTTACTCTGTTGCCTGGGCTGGAGTGCAGTGGTACAATATCAGCTCACTGCAATCTCTGCCTTCCAGGTTCAAGCAATTCTCCTGCCTCAGCCTCCCGAGTAGCTGGGATTGCAGGCACCTGCCACTACGCCTAGCTAATTTTTGTAATTTTAGTAGAGACGGGGTTTCATCGTGTTGGCCAGGCTGGTCTCGATCTCCTGACCTCGTGATTTGCCCGCCTCGGCCTCCCAAAGTGCTGGGATTACAGGCATGAGCCACCGTGCCCAGCTCACCTAGGTAGATAATTTTAAATACAGTTTACTACTACTAATAGGCAACACCAAAAATATGGATTTGCCGTAGAATCAGGGGTTATCATCATGCTTGAAGTATTATGCTCTAGAACCCAAGTACCCTGGTTGAGCCCTGTTCTTTCACATTTTGCCACTCAGTTTTGGATTCAAATTCATAGGAGAATTTTTTAACTTGAACCAAGGAAGTCTAGTTATTGGACACTAAAGGAACTATAGGATGGTTGGTCTTGTAAGCTGGCTTTCTGGTTTGTACCTGCAAGCCACATGTTCAGATTCAACTTATGGTTCTTGAGTGTGAGCCGTCTAGCAATCAGTGTCATTTACACTGATGATTTTATATATGATATGTTAGCTCAGAAAGTCCTTATGAAAACCCTCCATAGCATAGTATAATAGACACTTTTTTTTTTTTTTTGAGACAGAGTTGCCCTGTCATCCAGGCTGGAGTGCAGTTGTGTGATCTTGGCTCATTGCAACCTCCATCTCCTGGGTTCAAGCAATTCTTCTGCCTCAGCCTCCTGAGTAGCTGGGACTACAGACGTGCAACAGCACGCTTAGCCAATTTTTATATTTTTAGTAGAGATGGGGTTTCACCAGGTTGGCCAGGCTGGTCTTGAACTCCTGACCTCAATTGATCCACCTGCCTTGGCCTCCCAAAGTTCTGGGATTATAGGTCTGAGTGCCCGGCCAATATGCAGCTTTTAAAGTCTCTGACAGACTAACAGTGACCCCCCAACAGCCCCTTCATTCATGAGGGTGGGCCCAATAACTATGCACAACTTGACTCCTTTGCTTCCTGTCCTGTCCCTGCCCCCTGCATTCCTTTCCTAAGATTTGGGAATTGCACGAAAAATTTCAGCCTATTCCGGGCTAGTCTCTGAACAGAAAGACATAGACAGGGAGAAGCTGTGAGTGAGTAGTTCTCTTTTGTTCTATAAATGAATGGGCTAAGAAAGCCAGACTGTAAAGAGGAGACTAGTGCAAACACCTGGAGAGAAGTAGAAAGGAGAGGTGAGAGAACTTTGCCCAGGAGTTGGAAGGCTTTTTTGATTCTGGTTCCAGGCCCTTCCTGACAGCTGGTTGCATTTAGTCCTTTGAATTCCATCAAGCACTTCCATATCTTAAGATAAATTCCATCACTTCCAAAGAAATGTCTTAACTAAAATGAGTAGATGTTGTTGATGCTTTTTCTCCTGGGAGAAAAACTGAGATTCAGGGAAGCCAACCTAACTGCAAGTGTTCACTGCAGTGTTGCTGAACACTTTCTCAGGACTCCAGCAACCCAAGTCAAATTAGAATAAAAAACAAAAAGGGAATGTATTGACTCACTAATCTAGGCGTTCCAAGATGTGACTGCCTTTCAGTATGATTTGTCAAGGATTTCACCAGAATCATTTGATCAAACTTTACTCTTCCTTGCCAGCTCATGACTCTGTTTCTGTTAGGCTTTGTTCTCAGAAGAATGATCTCTGTGTGGGGCAAGATGACCACTGGCAGCCCAAAGCAGCAGCACCACATCTTGTGACCCTTGACCCAGGGTGCAGGGACCTCAGTCTCCCAGCATACCCAGCATTCCCTGGAAAAGGACTGTAATGGGCCAGCCTGGGTCATGTGCTCTTGAGTGGAGTGTGGCTGACAGGGCCCTCTTGATTGATAGCCCCTCTTGTAGTGGAGAATGGGGTTTCTAGTTCTGAAACAAGGGAGGAGAGATGCTGAGCAGGCCAAAGCAACCTTATTCACAGCATTTGCCTGTTTCTCTACCTGACAACATGGTAGAGAGAGAAATGCTGCTTAGATGAGTGACGCACTTCCATATGCTGATTTTCTCCTTAGGTATTAGTCACCTCCTTTTCCTCCTACTCTAGAAAATAAGTCTTGATGCAGATGATTGGGGATGAACTTATTATTCACATAACCTTATACCCACTATGATTCAAAAAGGCAGTCCTGCACTTTGAGAGGCCAAGGTGGGAGGATCCCTTGAGCCCAGGAGTTTGAGACCAGCCTGGGCAACATAGTGAGACCCCATCTTTACAAAAAATGAATAAAATTAGCTGGGAATGGTGGCATGCACCTGTAGTCCCAGCTACTTTGGAGGCTGAGTTGGGAGCATCGCTTGAGCCCAGGAGGTTGAGGCTGTGGTGGACTGAGATTGTGCCACTGCACTCCTGCTTGGGTGACAGAGCAAGACCCTGTATCAAAGGGGGAAAAAAACCAGACAGTCCTTTGCAAATGTAGTACTTCTGTCATTAGTAGCAACAAGCATGGCACATCTTACTGTCGCTTGGGGACAAGTCCTGGAGTGGAGACTTCTGCTCTTGGATCCATATTATGAGGATAAGTGTGTCAACACAGTTTTTGACACAAGCCTACTTATTCAAATCATATTCG
This sequence comes from Homo sapiens, assembly GCF_000001405.40. Lineage (NCBI taxonomy): Eukaryota > Metazoa > Chordata > Mammalia > Primates > Hominidae > Homo > Homo sapiens. The sequence continues at coordinate 54,487,560 of NC_000003.12, forward strand.
AGGGTCTCCCAACAACCAGGCCCTGGAGTTCCAACCATGAACAAGATTAAAAATATTTCTCTTCTTAGGGAGCTCAAGTTTCTAATGGAGGAGATAGACAGAAAGCTTAGGAACAATTTTAAACGCTTTAGATATTGAATGCAATAAAGAAAAAAAATAGGGGCATGGGCCTGTTGTTCAGTATGGTAGCCACAAGCCATGGGTGGCTATTTAAAGTTAAAGTAAAATTAATTAAAATGAAATAAGAGTAAAAAATCAGTTCTTCAGTCACACTGGTGACCTTCACATGCTCAATGACCACATGTGGCTAGTGGCTGTTGTATCAGACAGTACAGGTACAGAACATGCCCATCATCATACAAAGTGCTGTTGGATGGGGCTGGGCTTGGCAGTGACTGGAAAGGTACAGGAGGGTGTTTTCAGGAAAGGTCTTCCTGTGGAGCCAGCATTTGTGCTAAGACCTGAAGCCACCCATACAAAGGTCTTAGGGGAATAGGCTTCGAGGCAGGATGAACAGTAAATGCAAACATTCTGAAATGGTAATGAGCTTTGTCTATTTGAAGATCCAAAGACGGCCTGTGCATCTGGTTGAGTTAGAGAGGGAGGAAAGAGCTAGATCAAGCATGACCTTGGGTTATTCCATACCAATGGGATGGGTTGCTTAAGCAAGGTAGTTTTATTTCATTTTAAAAGGATCATTCTGGCTGCTACGGGGCAGAGGGAAGCAAGGGTAGAAGGAGCACATAGGAGGACTTCCGAAACCAACTGATGAATGAAAGAACTGATGAAAGGCCCTGCCAGGCTGGGGTGTCCATTAGTCTGATATCTTCTTATGAGGGCTTTTTGGGTCATGATGGAGCCCTCAGGGGAGTTCCTAGCTACCTTATGAAACCCTCCATCATGGCATTAGACTGAACAGTGGCCCGACTAGCCTCACAATAGCCCAGGCCCTTGGACTCTACACAGTTCCCCTAACAGTCCATCCTGACTCTCTAGGTCATAGCTTGGCCCACTATTGGCTGCCCTTAGCCCCTCTGAGCTCCTGCCGTGTCCTCAGGCCACGGTAGGACATTGCTGAGGTGGGACACTCCCTTCTCTCTTTCTTCGCATTCCTTCAACAGTCTCTACTGAGTACCTGTTCTGTACTCTGTATTGTATTAGATACCGAGATTACAGTGGCACAGGAAGAAACAGCTATGCTTCCTCCAAACATGTATCTCACACTGTAGAGCAGAGGCCCTATCAACTGAGTAATCACTCAGATAAGTGTGCGATGACCCCTGGGATAAGTACTATATGGGACAGGCTCGTGAGGCTCCAAGATCCCCAGTCAAGGAGTTCAGAGGCAGCTGTCCTAGGCACATGATAACTGAGCTGAATCCAAGGAGGAACCAGGATTGTGTGAGCAGAAGGTGGAGCAGGTATCCTGGGCAAGGGGACCAGCATGGACAGAGACCACATGCATAGAGAATCATGGAGCAATGGAGCTACCAGCAGAGACCAGGGAGGCTGAATGGAGGGAGCAGTGGGGAGGTGGTGCTGGTGTGGCTGGCCAGGAGGGCAGAGGCCAGAGTGAGCAGGGCCTCATCAGCCGTGCTAAGGATCTTGTCTTGTGTCCTAAGAGCAGGAAAAAGTCCCTGAAGGATTGCATGCTGGGAGATGGCCCACTCAGGTTGGTATTTCTGGAAGCTCGCTATGCCATAAGGAGATGATATTGAGGGGCCCAAAGTGGGTGCTGAGGGATCAGATGTGGGAGACGACTGTGTCTTCACCCTGGCTTTCAGCGTTTCCCTCTGTCCTCTGCCTGTCAGTCAGCTCCACTGCAATAGTGACTGCTGCCATTTGTTGGAACCCTGGTAGGTAGAACCACATGAACTTGCTGGTGTTCGGCACTTTTTAGCCCACAAAAGGGTAGTTTTATACAGTTCAATCTAATATTGTGTGCCAGGCACTGAACTGAGTGCTTTTGACTTTCTCCATTTATTTCTCTAGGAAACTTGACTATAATCTGGGTGGTTATAAACTCATTTTATAGATGCGGAGCTGAGAGGCTGTAGATAAGGAGCAGAGCTGGGGTTGGAACTCAGTGTGCTGGAGTTAAACACTTCACTCCATGGCTTTTAGAGTGAAATGCCCAGTGGCCAGCGAGGCCTGCAGAAAGCTGCAGTGGAAAGCCTTCATAAGTGGCTTGTTAAGTAGGCCATTAATACTTGTATTTGAATTTTCTCAGGCTGGAGATTCCAGATGGCTGGAAGAGGGCTATTCATTACCTATTTTTTTTAAAGGAACTGTGACACTTGGGGGATTATAAATGAGTTAATACTTAGAAATATTCTGGAACAGATCATTAAAAAAATCATTTTTCACATATGAGGAGAAAATGAGATGATTGAGTAGTAACCAGACGGCACTAAACCTTTGGAGAGGGGCATGGCTGAGTAGCAATGATGTTACTTCCCCATAGGACACACATGCACCGGGAGCTGGGTGTTTGTTTGGCTCATGTAGAACTAGTATTCCTACTAATTTTTATTTTTTAATCTAAGTTGTAAAAAGCTGGCCATCATCCCAGAGCTGGGAAGAAGAAAACAATAAGGAAAAAAGGAGAAAATGAAAACACATTAGGAACCTGCTGCAGGCACTGTGTGGTGACTTGTGTACATTGTATCCCATTCGATCACAGAAAGACCTGAGGAGGTGGGCGGCACCAATCCCACTTCACAGGAAGAGAAACAGTCCGAGACTCAGCAGTAAGCACCGTTCCATCCCTGCGCAGCAGCAGGCTCCCACGCCCTGGCTCTCCGGGCCATACCAGGCCGGTTCCCGCTTCATGAATGGAATGCAGGGTTGAATCCAGGCAGAGGAAGGTGTCAACAGAATCAGGAGGTCCATCTAATTCTTCCTCTGGCTTGATCTAAATTGCCAGGGAGAGAGTGGGAAGGCTCTTCCTAGCTGGAGGTAAAACACAAAAATGTTTCCCTAAGTGGTACAGACAAGGACAGCCATGTCTGTTCAGTCATCTTCACACCTTTGACTGAGGACCTCTGGGCACTGTGCCTGGTGCCAGGACTGTGGAGGTGAGAAAGGCACCTCCACAGATGCTGGGAAGGACAGATGCTCCAGGAATCCAGGGATGCATAGGTGGCTACCTGTCCTTTGAGGGCTCACCAGTGGAGTGAATACCATGAGGGAAAGGTTCAAAGAACCCGCCAGTTTCCCCCATGGGGAGAAGAGTTCAGAGGAAGCGGGGTTGCTGGGAAGGGGAAAGGCTTCAGGGAGAGTGGGAGACCCTTGAGCCCTGCAGGTGTGATGGAGCCCATCACCATGGATTCCTGGTACTGAGTTCTTACTTCTCTTCCCTGTGCTGGATGCCGTGATAGGAGCTGGGCATACAACTGTGAAGGAGTTCACAGTTACTCCACGTTACAGATGAGGAGACTGAGGCACATATAAGGAATATATACGTATCTCATTATCCTATCCATATTCTATATTCTCTCTCTCTCTCCTGTTGGTTCTGTTTCTTTGGAGAACCTTGACTAATAGTCACTTACTGAGTGGGCACTGGCTTTGCTGCTGACCATGTGTTCTAGATCTTTCCGCCAGGCTGGATTTTTGGAGTAGGACTTGTTCTTAGGGTCAGTGGTGCATTGATGTGAGAGAAGCTCAGGTGCGCCTCTTAGGGAGTTTGCAGCCAGTTGGCTCTACAGCATGCACACAGGAAACAATGCGAGAAGCTACAGGAGGAATTTAATTTCCACGCCACAATGTGTGGAGCCTAGGAAACAAGCCCTTTGCGGTGGCACCTTGTATTTTTGTTACACAACTTACCCTGCAGGACAGGGAAGCAGAAGCCACCCTTGAAAACATGGTGTCTCAGCCTGGGCTGCACATTGGACTCACCTGGAGAGACTGAAAGAATCCTGCTGCTTGGACCTCTGTCCAGGGATTCAGAGTTCATTGTTCTGAGGTTTGGCCAGAGTTGAGAAGCACTGTCTTAGGACACCTTGATTTCTGAGATTATGTGCTCTCACCTGAAAAGAGGGAACCAGAGCAGAGTTCAGGAAATGAGGGCTTGCGGGCCATGTCCTGCCAGCTGCCTGTTTTTATAAATAAAGTTGTATTGGAACACAGCCACACCCATTTTTAAAATGTATTGCATTTGGCTGTTTTTACTAAAACAGCAAAATTGAATGTTGCCACAGAGACTGTCTGGCCTGCAAAACCTAAAATATTTACTATCTGGATAGTTCTTTGCAGAAAAAGTTTGCCAACCTCTAAACTGGGGAGTAATGAGTTTTGAAGGACGTAGGTGGTGGAGGAGAGGCTGGGCCACCAGTGAGAAGGTAGCACCCTTTCCTCTGGTTGAGATATAGACCTGGAAACTTTCTCAACACGCACAGGCAGTCACTGCCAGCCCACCAGGGAGGGCACGCAAACATAGCCTTTTTGCTGTCTAGGAGTTCTTCCTATAGAATCTGAAGCTTTGCTCTACATGGTTACAGGAGCCTAGATAAACTGGTGATTAGGCCAGAGCTGCTGGATTCTACAGGGGCAGAGGGCTGGGCTGGAGCAATGGATTCCTTTCCCTGGTGGCACCTCTATCAGAATTGAAAATTGCCACTTTCTGTGACAGTGGCATTAAAGGAGAGGAACTCTGAAGGCAAGAGGGATGCCCAGGTGGTCCTTAGGGAAGCTGCAGAACTGTCAAGGTATAACAAAGCCAGGACCCTTGTTCTTTTCTTCTTATGGTGATGGCACAGACCAGCAATTCTGGACACTTCTGGAGTCATCTTTACCATACTACTCTGGACCAGCTCCTCTGTCCAAATCTGTGACAGAAGCTGTGCAACGATAGGACCATGGCCTCCTACAGCTTTCCCTTATCCCAGGCCATAGGAGCCATTACTTATAGCGTGATCTTCCTCACCCTCTGAGCAGCTTTCCCTGGCCTCACCCGGCCTGAAGAGTTGATTGTGAAGGCAATTTTGTGGAGTGCAGGTCTTGTGAGAGGCCTGTGGATCAAATGGATTTTGACACTTTCATTTGGTCAACCAACAACTGATTACCAGTTGTCACCGCACGAGGACGTGCTCCATGTGACCCCAAACCCCAGTATTCAAACACTTTAACTTAGAAAGGGTTAAAGGCTCTGATAAGTCCTTCAATGAATAAACCTCTTTGCCTTTCCTTAAACTCAGCTCTCCCTGTATTTCCCAAACTTTGTTCATTGAAAAAGAAAAAACCTGTTTCCCTGTGAGTATGCTGTAGAATGACTTTCTGTTCTACAGCTCGTTCTCTGGACATGCTGCATCTGGGGCTGCACGGAGTGAGCCCAGAGAGAATGGAATGCCCAGAGAGAATATGCTACTTTAATTTCCATTTACATTTAATGTCATTTTTGTAGTTTGTTTTATAATGTACAAATGTTAAGACAATGGCAGGTAGTACATATGAGTTATAAATAAATAAATATGTATGTGGGAGGTATTGCTCAAAACTTTTTTTTTTTTTTTTTTTTTTTTTTTTTTTTTTGGAGACGGAGTCAGGCTCTGTCACCCAGGCTGGAGTACAGTGGCACAATCTCGGCTCGCTGCAACCTCCGCCTCCTGGGTTCAAGCAATTCTCCTGCCTCAGCCTCCCGCATAGCTGGGACTACAGGCGCACACTACCACACCCGGCTAATTTTTGTATTTTAATAGAGACAGGGTTTCACTGTGTTGTCCAGGCTGGTCTCGAACTCTTGAGCTCAGGCAGTCCACCCGTCTTGACCTCCCAAAATGTTAGGATTTCAGGCGTGAGCAACCGCGCATGGCCTCAAGAACTTTTTAGTGAAAGGAATGCTTGATCAAAAATGTTTGGAATCCTTGGTCCAGAAAATAATGTCCAGTGCTTATTCCAGTATTCAGGACCTTCTCTGCCCTGGCCCCCACCTGTTTTTGTCTCTGAACTCCCCATTACTACCCTCTCATTCAGCCAATCTGAGATATGTCCTATTCCCTTCCCTAGTTACCAGCTCCTATGCCTTTACTTCTCCTGTCTCCCTCCTTATCTTGGCACGTCCTAATCCTCCAATTTTCAAGGCCCAGCCTCGTGCATCTTTGCTGAAAATCTCTTCCAGTCAGAGAAGTTTTTAATAATTTCTGTCCCTTGAATATCCGACAGCATCCTGCTGCCTGGGTTGACCAACTACAGCCTGAAGGCCAAATCTTTTTTGCAACTTTGTAATTTTCTGGTAAATGGCTGGAGCACAGCCAGGCCCGTTTGTATTATCTATGGCAGCTGTCATGCCACAACAGTACAGGTGAAGAGCTGCAACAAAGACTCTGAAGCCCAAAATATTTACTGTCTGACCCTTGACAGAAAAAGTTTGCTGGCCCCTGCCCTATTGAATAACTTTTAAATACTTACTCATTGAACCACTTCCTGAGCCTGGGCCTGGGCCAGTATCTGGTGAACAACACACCCAGTACTTTGTCTCTGGTATTTTATATGCCACATTTTGTCCCCTAGATTAGTTCTGTTGTGCTCCCATCACACTTAGTAGGTCATCAGACACACCCACAAAAGAATTAAATTTACTCGGATGACATGGGGAACAAGGATTCAGAAATACTGAGGTGACTTGGACTAAACATGTCTTTTCCTGCATTGATCATATGGACAAAACCACTGAGCCTCATAATTAGAGCAATGCATTCCAAAGACTGAGAAATGATTCTTCTTGTTTGTACTGAATCAGCCTTTTCAAAATCAATACAGAAGAGACAAATGGGTTTGGGGAGGAGAAGCAGAACACACAATCGTCCCTGGTAAATGATGAGCGCCATTGAGCAAAATCATGCTTAGGCTTTCATCCCTATTTCATCTGCATTCTGGGCAGCGCAGATTATTCAATTAAATGGCAGTTTTGAAGCTGCTTTCAGAGAGCCTGTGCATGAACCATTATTCATTGTCCTTTGTCAAGCAGGCTGAGGCTTCATTTTGCTATTTTAACTTCCAGTTCTATGAAACGATGGAGTGAAGGCTTGAGTTTGGAAAAGGTAGATAATATGTGAAGCGCTTTGGTCTATGGAAGATTAAGACTTCCTTCAACAGGGTGCTGTATTAGTCTGTTTTCACACTGCTATAAAGAATACCTGAGGCTGGGTAATTTATAAAGGAAAGAGGTTTAATTGACTCACAGTTCCACATGGCTGGGGAGGCCTCAGGAAACTTACAATCATGGCAGAAGGGGAAGCAGGCCTGTCTTACATGGCGGCAGGTGAGAGAGAGGGAGAGAGAGAGAGCAAGCATGAAGGGGCATACTTATCAAACATCCACATCTCATGAGAATTCACTGACTGTCATGAGGACAGCAGGGGAAACTGCTCCCATGATCCCAGTCACCTCCCATCAGGTCCCTCCCTCGACACCTGGGAATTATAATTTGGATTACAATTCAAGATGAGATTGGGTGGGGACATAGAGCCAAACCATATCAGGTGCTGTGGGAAGAAGTGCTGCTGACATGTGTCCTAGAAAGCAGACTGCTTAAGAGAAGGGGTCCTTCCAATTGGCATTGAGCGGTTCATGGGCTGGTCAAGGTATTTCCGCACAGTGAGGAGTGCCATTGATTGGTCTTTCAGCAGAAAAGTATGATGTTTTTATTTCTGGGTGACATCTTACAGTGAATTTTGCTTTAAAAAATGGTTAGGGATGGAATTTTTTAACTTGAGTTCTGTTTCTATAAACTTCTTGAATTAATAATTCAAAAAGAATTGAAAGGTCTTTAGTGACTTTAATTTTTTTTATTGAGGCATGAATTTCTATATGGAAAAATGCGCAGTTCTTTAGCATACAATTCAATGAGTACTGACAAATGAATCCACCTGAGTAACCCATGTATCATCAAGATAGGGCAATTTGGCCAGGTGCAGTGGCTCATACCTGTAATCCCAGCACTTTGGGAGGCTGAAGAGGGCAGATCACTTGAGGCCAAGAGTTCAAAACCAGCCTAGCCAATATGGTGAAACCCCATCTCTACTAAAAATACAAAAATTAGCAGGGTGTGGTGGTGCACACTTGTTATCCCAGCCACTTGGGAGGCTGAAGCAGGAGGATCACTTGAACCCAGGAGGCAGAGGCTGCAGTGAGCCAAGATCAGGCCACTGCATTCCAGCCTGGGTGGACAGAGTGAGACTCTGTCTCAAAACAAACAACCAACCAGAGAGGGAAATTTCCAGGACTCCAGGAAGCTCTGTTGTGTACCTCTCTAGTTGACTCTCACTCTCCCTCTGAGAAGCAACTCCTGAGTGCCATCACTATTGAATAATAATTTTGCCTGTATTAGAACTTCGTATGTATGAAATCATGCATATGTACTCTTTTGTCTCTGGTTTCTTTTACTCAGAATGTTTGTGAGATTCATTGATACTTTGAATGTATCAGTAAGTTGTTGTTAAGTAGTAATCCATTACATGAATATATCACAGATTTGTTAATCCTTTAACTGTTAATGGATATTTAGGTTATTTCTAGTTTGGGGCTATTATGAATGGGGTTTCCGTGAATATTCACACAAATATTTTTGTGGGCATATATTCTCATTTCCCTTAGGTAAATAGCTAGAAGTGGAATTGCTGGGTCATATGGTAGATATATGTTTAACATTATAAGAAGCTGCAAAATGTTTTTCCAAAGTGTTTGTACCATTTTATATTTCCACAAGCAATATATGAGATATTTGATTGCTCCATATCCTTGGCAATGTTTAATATTACCGGAATTTTTAATGTCAGCACTTCTAGTGGGTATAAAATGGCATCTGATTGGAGTTTTATTTTTGTACTTTCCTGATGACTAATGACATTGAACACATGTTGGTCTGCGGATTGACCATTCACATACCTTCTTTTGTAAAGTGTCTGTTCAAATCTTTTGCCCATATTTTGATTAATATTTTCAGTTGAGCTACAGGAGTTGTTTACATATTTAGGGCACAGGTCATTTTTCAGATGTGTGTATTACGAATACTTTTTCCTGAACCGTGGCTTTCATTTTTGTTTTATTACTGGTGAATTTGATGACCAGAAGTTTTGAATTTTCATAAATTCCAAATTATCCATTTTTAAAATGTAAGTGCCTTCTGTAGCCTAAGAAATCAACGCCTACCTGGAGGCCATAAAGTATCCTTTACTTTTTTCCTAGAAATATTACAGATTTAGTTTTTACATTTAAGTCTGTCATCCATCTCAAATTCATATGTGTATGATGTGAGTTAGGGGTTGAGAATGTAGTTTTTAGTCATTTGCTTCAGCACAGTTTGTTGAAAATACTGTCCTCACTGAATTACCTAAGCACCTTTATTTGATGTCAATTGACCATATATGTGCAGCTTTATTTCTGCACTCTCCGTTTCATGATCTGTTTGTCTATTCTAATGCTTATACCATACTGCTTTGATTAATTTGATTTAGAGGAAGGCCCAAAATCAGAAAATGTGAGTCCTTGGGCTTTTTTCTTCTTTTTAAAAATTGTTTTGAAAATTGAGGTCTCTTTTACTTATATGTAAAATTTTAAATCAGCTTTTCAATTTATATTAAAAATGCTTATATATTTTGATTGGGAGTTCATTGAATTTGTAGATCACTTTGGGAAGAACTTGCGTCATAAAATAGAATTCTCCAATTTTTGAGCAAGCTATCTCTCTCCATTTATATAAGTCTTCTTTAAGTTCAAACAAATATTTGTGGTTTTTAGTACTTTGTAGTATACAGGCATTGCACATAGTTTAATATACACCTATTATAGTTTAATTGATACCTGTTTTATTCTATGCTATCATAAATGCTATTATTTTCCAGTTCAATTTCCAACTGTTTTGTGTTAGTATATTGAAATAAAATGGATTTTGTGTATTTATTTTGTATTCTGTGATCTTGTTAACTCTCTTTAAGTTATATTATGTGAATTCCTTAGGATTTTCTATATAGACAAAATCTATGTAGAAAAGTAAAGGTAGATTTTTTCCCTTTTCAATACCTATGGCTTTTGTTTATTTATTTGTCTTACAGTATTTGCCAGGACCACCTTTACAGTATTGAACAGAAGTGGTAAGACAACCTTGCCTTATTCCTGATCTTAGGGGGAAAACATTCAGTGCTTCTTCATCAATATAATGTCAGATACATGTTTTTTTGTAAATCCTTTTCATTAGGTTGAAGATATTTTTCCTTATTTCAAATTTCCTGAGGGTTTTTATGATGAACAAAAATTGAATTCTATCACATGCTTTTTCTTTATCTATTTGATGTTATGATTTTCCTTCTTTGTTCTGTTGATGTGGTGAATTATGTTGATTAATCAAATATTAAACCAACCTTGAATTCCTGGGATTAATACAGTTTGGTCGTGATGTATTATCCCTTTATTTATAGGTGGATTTGATTTAAAATTTTGTTAAGATTTTTGTATCTAGGCTTATGAGGGATATTGGCATATAGTTTTTTTTTTTTTTAAAGTTCTTGTTTGGTGTCAAGGTTAGGCTACCCTCATTAAATTAGATAGGAAGTATTTTCTCCTCTAATTTTCCTAAAGAGTCTATATAAGATTGTTTGTATTTTTTTCTCATATATTTGATAGAATCCATCAGTTAAGGCATATGAACCTAGAGTTGTTTGTTTGTTTTATCATGGCTATTAACAGTGAAATCAATATCTTTTGTATTTCTAGGGCCAGTTATATTTTGTATTTCTTCTTGTGTCCATTTTGATAATTTCTGTTTCCCAAGGAGTTTGACATTTAACCTAAGTTATTGAACTTATTGGCATAAAGTTGTTTGTAATATTCCCTTATCCTTTCATTATCTGTAGGATCTGGAGTAATGTTTCCTCTTTCATCCCAGATACTGGTATTTTCTGCTTTCTTACTTTTTTTCTTAATCAGTCTAACTAGAATTTCATAATTTTGTTAATTATATTAACCAAATTTTGGTATTATTGATTTTTTCCTGTTACTTGTTTTGTTTTAAATTTCTGTACTTATCTCTATTACTTTATTCCTTCTTTTAACATTGAGTTTCATTTATTCATCTTTTTAATACCTTGTTAAGGTAGAATCTTAAGGTAGACTATTTATCTTGAAATTTTTTTCTTCTATATTATAAGCTTTTAAATGTGTAACTTCTTCTCTAAGCTCTGCTTTCGTTGCATCTCACAAATATTGATATGTTGTTTTCATTATGATTAATTTCAAAATATTTTCCAATTTCCCATGTCATTTTTTTCCTTGACATATGTATTATTAATAAGTATTTTGTTTAATATCCAAATCTTTAGTCTATTTGCAGGTATCATCTTTTATTAAAATCTAGATATCAATGATATTTTTCATATCAATATCATACATTGATTTCTAAATTTAGCTCATTATTATCAGAGAACATAGTATGTGGATTTCAGTCATTTTAAATGTATTGAGACTTGTTTGATGGCCCAGTATATGATCTAGAAAAGAATGTGTGCTCTTCAGTTGTTAGGTATGGAGTTCTATAAATGTTAACTAGGTTAAGTTTGAAAGTAGTATTGCTACAGGACCAACCCCCAATAAAAATCCTGAATGCTGAGTCTCTGTTAGACACCACTTCCAATGTATTATTACAACTCATTAATAGAAGAATTAAGTATAATCTCTGTGATTGCACTGGGGCAGAACTCTTGGAAGGTTGCACCTGGATTCCTTGGGACTTTGCCTCATGTACCCCTTCCCTTTGTTAATTTTTATTTGGATCTTTGTACTATAATTTTAAAAAGAACAAATTTTTGGTTTCATTGATACTACTGATTTTCTGTTTTTAATTTCATTGATTTCTGCTTTGCAGAATAAAAAATATACATTTTTTCTGCTTACTTTAGATTTAATATGCTCTTCTTTTTCTAGTTTTCTAAAGTAGAAGCTTAGATGATTGCTTCTAGATCTTCTTTTCTCTTCTGATACATGTGTTCAGTGCTATAAATTTCCTTGTAAGCTTTGCTTTTGCTACATCCCACACCTTTTGATAGGCTGTGTTTTCATTTTAATTTTTAAAAAAATTATCTTGAGAATTCTTTTAAAAGTATGTTGTCTAATCTCCAAATATTTTGGGATTTTTTTCAGCTATCTTTTTTGTTATTGATTTCCAGTTTAATTTCATTGTGGTCTGAGAGCAGACACCGTATGATTTCCATTCTTTTAAGTTTGTGAAGATGTGTTTTAGGGCCCCTGATGTGGTCTATCTTGAATGTTCCAAGCAAGCATCTTTACATGCTTAAGAAGAATGTGTATTCTTCTCTTTATGGATGAAGTATTCTATAAATGTAAATTAGATCCAATTGATGGTATTGTTCATTTCAACTGTATTCTTACCAGTACTTTGCCTCCTGAGTCTGTCAGTTACTGATACAGGGGCATTTAAGTCTTTAACTATAATAGCTAGTTCATCTGTTTCTCCTTGCAGTTCTATCAGTCTTTGTTTCATGTATTTTAACGCTGTGCTGTTAGATGCATACTACATTAAGGATTGCTTTGTCTTCTTAGAGAATTAACCTCTTTATCATTAAGTAATGCCTGCCTATCTTATTCCTTGATAATTTTCCCTGCTCTGAAGTCTGTTTTGCCTGAAATTAAACCAACTACCCTCACTTTCTTTTGATTAATGTTAGCATGGTATATCTTCTTCATCCCTTTACTTTTAATATATCTGTGTCTTTATGTTTAAAGTGGGCTTCTTATGGACAAAATATAGTTAGGTCTTGTATTTTAATCTACTCTGCCAGCCTCTGTCTTTTGATTGATGTATTTATTCCATGCTCATTCAAGGTGATTATTGATATAGTTGGATTTATATGTACCATATTTGTAACAGTTTTCTATTCACTACCCCAGGTCCGTCCATCTTCCTTCCTTCCTATCTTCCTTCCTTCCTATCTTCCTTCCTTCCTTCCTTCCTTCCTTCCTTCCTTCCTTCCTTCCTTCCTTTCTCTCTCTTTCTTTTCTTTTCATTCCTTTCTTTCTTTCTCTTTTTCTTTCCTTATTTCTTTCTTTTTTTCTTCTACTCTTTTTCTGCCTTCTCTAGTTTTAATTGAACATGTTATGTGACTTAATTTTCTCTCCTCTCTTAGCATATAAATTATGCTTCCTTTTACAGTTATTTTAGTAGTTGCCTTAAAGTTTGCTGTATGCATTTACAACTAATTTAAGTCCACTTCAAATAACCTTACACTACTTCATCTGTAGTGCAGGTATCTTATAACTGAGTGTCTTGGCCATTTGTGCTGCTACAACAGAATACCTGAGACTTTATAAATTCTTCTTAATTTATAAAGAAAAGAAATTTATTTTCTCACAGTTCTGGAGGCTGGAAAGCCCAAGATCAAGGTGCTGGCATGTTTAGTGTGTGGTGTAGGCTGCTCTGCTTCCAATATGATGCACTGATACTGTATCCTCTTGAAGGGAAGAGTGTTGTTTCCTCACCTGGTAGAAGATAGAATGGAAAAAGGGACAGACTTTCTCTGTCAATCCCTGTTATAAGGACATCTAATCCCATTCATGAGGGAGGAGCCCTCATGGCCTATTCATCTCTTAATGACCACACCACTTATTACTGTCACATTGGAACACCTAAAATTTGGAGGGAACACATTCAAATCATAGCACAGAGTATTCCACATTCCTCCCTCCGGTTTCTTATAACACTGCTATTATTCATTTCACTTATCCATAGACAGTAATTTATTACTATTATTATTTTGAACAAGCTGTTATATGTTAGATTAGTTAAGAATAACAAAATATTTTATGTACCTTCATTTATTCTTGCTCTAACACTATTTTTTTTTTTTTTTGGTAAGACAGGGTCTCACTCTGTCACCCAGGCTAGAGTACATTGGCACAATCATGACTCACTGCAGCCTCAACCTCCCAGGCTCTGGTGATCCTCCTCGTTCAGCCTCCTAAGTAGCTGGGACTACAGGCGGGTGCTGCTGCAACCGACTAATTTGCCTGACTAATTTTTTTTTTTTTTGTAGAGACAGAGTTTCACCATGTTGCCTAGGGTGGTCTTGAACTCCTGGGCTCAAGCAATCCTCCTGCCTTGGTTTCCCAAAGTTCTGGGATTACAAGTGTGAGCCACTGTGCCTGGCCAAACATTCTTCCTGTCTTAATGCAGATGAGAATTTCTAAACTATATCATTTTGCTTCTCTCTTAAGAACTTTTAACAATTCTTGCAAGGCAAGTCTACTGGCAACAGATTCCTTCATTTTTGTTTGCCTGAGAAGGTCTTTATTTCTCCTTTACTTGTGAAGGGTAATTTCATGGGATACAGAATTCTAGGTTGATGGTTCTTTCTTTGAACACTTTTTAAGTGGTTCACTCCATTCTCTTCTTGCCTGGATGGCTTCTGAAGAGAAGTCTGATGTAATCCTTATCCCTGTTCCCCTACAGGTAAGATTCTCCCACCCTCTTTCTGGTTTCTTTCAAGATTTTCTCTTTTTCTTTGATTTTATACAGTTTGAATATGATATGTGTAGATGTAAATCTTCGTAATATTCATTGTGTTCAGTGTTCTCTCAACTTCCTTGATCTGTAGCTTGATTTTTGTCATTAATTTTGGAAAATACTCAGCCATTATTATTTCAAATATTTCAGTTTCCATTCTTCTCAGTCTGGTGTCCCATTACACATATGTTACACGTTTTGTGATTATCTCACAATTCTTGGATATTCTGTTCCCTTTCTATTTTCTCTTCTTTTTGCATTTCTTTTTGGGGAGTTTCTTTTGACACATCTTCATCCTCTGCAATTATTTCCTTGGCTGTGTTCAGTCTACTAATGAACCAGCAAAGGTATTCTTCATTTCTGTTACAATGTTTTTGATTTCTAGCATTTCACATTGATTCTTTCATAGAATATCCACCTCTCTGCTTATATTACCCATCTGTTCTTACATGTCCGCTTTTTCCATTAGCCTCTAGAGCATATTAATTGTAGTTATTTTAAGGTTCTGCTCTGTTAATTCCACCCACACCTGCCATTGGCCATCTGATACAGTAGATTTAAGGACAGACTCAAGATAGATGGCCTGTATTTGAATTCTGGCTTTCCTTATCAGCTGTGTAATTTTTTGCAGGATGCATACATTCTCTATTCCTAAGTGTCCTCATTTGTGAAGTAGGAATACTCATAAAATCCACCTCATAACATTGTTAGGAGAATCAGATGAGTTAACACATGAAAAGCACTTAGAGTGATTTCTGACACAAAGTAAGCCTTCTGTATATGTGAGATGATGATATAGCCATTTGTAAATCATGCCAGCACACTCCCATCTGAGGGCTTTTCCCTTGCTGTTCTTTCTCGGATGTTTCCCTGATGCCCACACCACTGGATTTCTCCCCTCATTTAATCTCTATTTGAGTGTTGCCATCGCAGTGAGACCTTCTCAAACACCATGTATAAACACACAGTCCTTCTGAAGCTGCTAATCCCTTTACCCTGCTGTATTATTTTTCCATAGCAAGCATGATGATCTGACGTATATTTGCCTGTTATTTTTTGCTGATTTTCAGCCTCCTTCAACTTAATATAGGCTACATAAAGTCAGGGTCTCTCTTCAAAATTTAAAGAATTAAAATGTTTCTAGGGCAGTTTTCTCTATATGCACATAAGAAAGTACTGCGTTGCCCCTTAACATTTATGTTTTCTGGGAGTATTTAGTGACATTGGAAACTATTTATATAATGCTATCTCACCCATGCAAAAGCAGCCATGGACAGTACATAAGACATAAAAAGATTATGTGAGCAGATCAGGGTCCACAGTGTAAGGGATGGCACATGGCCTGTGCCCAGGTCTAAGTGAGTTCACAGCCCTCTTCCCTAAGCCACATGTAATGTTTTTTGACTTTGTCTTTCAGTATGAATACTTCAATGCTGTGCTGATAAATGAAAGGGACAAAGACGGGAATTTTTTGGAGCTGGGAAAGGAATTCATCTTAGCCCCAAATGACCATTTTAATAATTTGCCTGTGAACATCAGTCTAAGTGACGTCCAAGTACCAACGAACATGTACAACAAAGGTAAGACTCCCAGCCACTGCTCCTTTTAGAAGGTGAAGAATCAGGGGGTTGAGAAGCAGGGGCTGGCTGGTTTGGGATATAGTTTTGGTTTGTTTCATTTTTTTTGAAAAGCACAGTTATAAGCTGAGTGTGTCAGGTATCAACTGGATAGGTGAAGCATGTACCTGTTCTGCCTGGAGCTTCTGGGCTTGCTGTTTCTCTGGCTGGTTGTTTACATCAGGCTCTCTAACATGTAGAATAGGGGTTGGCAGTTTCTATAAAGGACCAGATAGTAAATATCTTAGGCTTTGCCAGCCATAGAGTCTCTGTTGCAACTACTCACTTCTGCTGTTCAGGCACAAAAGCAGCCAAATGGCTGTGTTCCAGTGAAATTTATCTACAAAAAGAGATGGCTGGATGTAACCTGCAGGCTGTAGTCTTCTGACCCCTGATGTGGTACCTTTGTTTTCTTCTTCCAGTTTGTGGAATGGCATTTAAGGGCTGGAGAGCTCCTAGGGGTGCAATGGAAACAGCTGGGGTCTTTTCTTAGAGTATAAAGCAGCATGGACCTTAACAGAATTCCTTATTTCCAGGCTTGTGTGCCTCAAATCCAGTCTTCACATAAACTCTAGAGTTTATTTTTCCCTAAGTTCCCATCTGCCAATTCCAGTTGGAATTATAGTGGCCAAGGACTGGGCTCTGACATCGGATGGATTCTGGTCAGACCGTGTTCTACTTCTTTCTGGCTGTGACCTTGGGCACGTCACCTCATCTTTTTAGGTCTGAATTTTCTCATCTTATGATGTGAATAATAATCATATCTACCTCCTGGGGGTGGTTTTGAGGGCTAAATGGAATGATGTTTATAAAGGGTTTAAGTTGTTTTCAGCATCTTTATCCTATTGCTATCGAGTAGTAGTTTGCTCTGCTTGGTCATACCTAAAAAACTTCTAAACAAAGAACTATCCTCCTAGAAAAATAAGCCAGAAAGTCATGGAATCTTCAAAGTAAAAAATGTGCCACATTGTCTCCCATCAAGGTTTCAAAGATATCAGGGGCCAGTTTCCAAATCATATACAAGAGCTCAGTAGTCAAGAGCAAGGGCTATGGGTTTAAGTCCTGATCTTCCTCTTGTAGGCTGTGTGATCTTAAGCAAGCAACTTTGCCTTTCTGAGGCTCAGTTTCCCTATTTGTGAAATAGGGATAATGATGCTGCCTCCGTCAGAGGGTTAGTGAGAGGATATGAAATGATGTGTGTGTAGCCCTTAATACAACAGTACCATACAGAAAGTGCGCAGTGCATTTTAGCTGCCGTTGTTTTTATTGGAAAATAACGTGAATACAAATTGCACTTCTGAAATGTTCTAAGTCACTATTTAAGGGGCTTGGTCAGTGATTAAAGATATTCCAACTAACTGTCTCTGAAACATTTTTCTTACGCGTGTTGGATATTAGGTATAGTTGGATACCTAATGTCTCTTTTTCCTGGTTTACCTGTTATCCATCCTTAAGAGTCAGTGGAGGCAGTACCCCATTCATTAACTGTTCTGATAGTTACTGGGGATTCCGAGGTGAATCAGATGCAGCCCCTCCCTCAAGAGGTTCACAGTTCATATAGGGAACAGATAATGAGATAATTAGAACACCATGTATCACATATTGGCCACAGTGTGGACAGCCAGGGGACAGTGGGAGTGCCAAGGATGGGACCTGTCTACTTCTTCACATGGGCAGGGCCACAGTTCATCTTTTTTTCTTTTTTCCTCTTAGAGAAAGTGATGTGAATCTAAACAAATCCTAGAGGGCTCTGGACTGGGCCATATCCTCTACCCTACTCTTTACTTTGGGCTCTTCCTTAGAAACAAATGGAACCAAGACATAGAGGGCTGAGCTCAGCTTCATTTAGTGGAGTTTAGTTCTCTAGAATGATCCTGTCAGCAGATGAAATCCTAAATGAAACTGCCCCTTTTTGTGCGATGTGGCCAAAAGAAAGCCATCTTCTTGGCATTCAATATATTCCCAACTGAAGATGAAAAATTAACATGATTTTACAGAGCAATTTCAGACATAAAACAATTCAGAATGATCTTTTAAAATATGACAGCTGCTTCAAGGTTTCTTGAGCCATTAACACCATTATAGAGATTTAATTGCACCTCTAGCTTTAAAGGCATAATTGTGCCTTTTAATGGTAGTAACACGTAAGGGACCCACACCACCACTGATCACCCAGGCTATAGAATCATGCTTGTAATGATTCCTAGACAGAATCTTCAGAGATAGTCAGATTTTTTGAGCCGTTGGATGTAGCTAATGATATTCAAAGTCATCCTCAGCAGCCCTCCTGGGATCTGCCCATCACCTCTGCCCAGTCCATTGTCACCCAGCCAGGCTGTGGGGCATGGACCAGGGTCAGCCAGGTGTTCTGTCTTGTCTCAGCCAGGCAGTGAATCACTGCCCAAGGGCAGAGGAGAGGCAGGGACTTCAGGCAAATTCCTGTCTCCACTCTACCTAATTCAAAACAGCCCCTAACAGCCTTTTTTTTTTGTTTTCCTTTTCAAGCTGCAGGAATATATTTTATGTTTAGAAGGCCCTCCAGCTCAGATCTAGTTATTGATGACGTACTCAAAACAAATGCTCAGAGATTGGTCACTGGCTGTGCTGTTTTTGGGTTGGAAATCTTACCCCCAGCGAAGAAAACCAATACAAGGTCATTCTCTCCTAGCTGCTTGGACTTCTGTGGGCATATACCAAAGTGGTTTGATACTTGCCTAGGAGCTTCTGTGATCTATGTTCTGGGGTATAATTTTTAGTTCTAGATGAAACTAGCTGGTAAACTCTACCTGCTTTCTACAATCTGCTTTCTGCCTCCGTGGGCGGGCCTGGCAACTGGGCTGCTCAGCCGGGTTTGTGCTTTCCTCTCTGGCTGAGGTGCCTTTCTCTTGAGCACTGAAAGAGACTGCAGCTTCAAAGTTGGTGATGTGGGCAAGCTGTGCCCATGGGAACTCAAAGAGGCATATTCATTGAGTGTTTAGAAATGCATCTCAGGGCCCTCAGGTTGCCTGATGCAGCAGCTTTTTTCATGAAACTCCTTCAGCAGATGTTTGCTGAGTGGCTGCTCTGGCATCCCCAGCTTGTGAGTCTTACTATTTCGGAGACTTTGAAGATGAATGGCTGATACCTTTAGAGCCGTAAATGACTCCATATCCTCTATGAGTAAAGCAAGAGGCAGGATGCTTTTGCAAGAACTGCTGATGATCTGGCAGAGAATTCAGATAAAGCTGAACTCTTTTAAGGACTTTCTCAACTGAAGTGCTGTAAAGTTTATACGTATATATACACATTATATATACACACATATATATATACATACACACACATATACAGTACATATACACATACACCTTATATGTATGTGCATGTTTCTGTCTATGGGCAGGTCTGTTCATGTGTGTTTGTAAATATGTGAATGTGTGTGAAAGAAAATGCTGTGCTCTCAACCTATTCCTTCATTTCCATTTTCCACCTCTGTCCACCCGGGTGAGACCCTGCTTTTGTTCACTGAACACACCTTCCTTTTTCTTCCATTGTAGTGTATTTCACTGTTTTTATTCCTATTATCCCTGTCCCTCCTTTCCTGCTTGTCCTAATGCCTATTCTTAGAAACCAGCTCAAATATAACCTCCTTGATTCTTTTTGTCTTGTGTGATGGAAGTGACTTTTGTTTATTCCTCTGCTCTAGCATTGCTCTGTTCTGTGAATGCAGAGCATGCAGTCTTTCCTTCTCTACTTTAGGTTCTCTGAGGGCAGAGGACCCTGCAGATGCAGCCTTGTGCCCCCTTTACCCCTGCCCATGCTCTTTACAGATGAGTTTTTCCCAGATGTTGGTTGGTGTGGAAGACACTGACACCTGTGCCTCCTGGGCTATGAGATGTCATCCAGGGCTGTGGTGTTTTCATGGTTCTTATAAGCAACAGAAACAGAACCTGGCTGATAGCAAAGAAACTTTTTGAGAGGAGACTGGGTGGCCCACAGACTCTTCAGGAAAGCTAAAGAATAAGGCCTGGAAATGTCTGGGAATGGAGGGAGGCTGGGGCCAGAGTCACACCCAGAGTCACACCCAGATCCAACCTGACAAGGACCCACTGACCCCAGGGTTGCCCTACTCTCACATCTGTAACTGCATACAATACCTGTGCCTCGTTTTCCTCATCCCTAAGCTGGAGATGACAATCATAGTGAGTTGCCTCGGGGGATGTGCTGAGGATTGAACACTTAGAGGGGTGGATGGCACATGGTGTCCATCCAGGACTCAAGTGCTGTGGTCTGAATGTTTGTGTCCTTCCAAAATTTGTATGTTGAAACCTAATCACCCAGGTGATGGCATTAAAAGGGGAGCCTTTAGCAGGTGAGTAGGTACTGTAACTCCAAGACTGAGGGAGCTTGTTGTCCAAGGGGGCTGTGGAGTGGGGCAAGTTGGGCAGATCCCAGCCAAAGTGGCAGCAGCAGTGGGAACAACTGCTCCTTTGTGGAAGTCAGAAAGGCAGTTATGGAGCCTGGAAGGGCTGGCCAGGTGGTGAGAGGCTGTGGGAGCCATCAGGAGGTCATGAACATGATGGTGACAGGTGAAATATGGCTGACAGCTTTGCCAGGAAGAGAGCCACTGAAGAATACTAGTTCCCACTCACACTGAAGAAGAGGGAGAGGGAGGAGGTGTTCAGGGCCTGGTTTGGAGAAAATCCAGAGAAGAACAGCACATGGGCCAAGACTGGATGGATAAGGTGAGAGCCCTTGGGCCTGGGGCCCTAGAGAGCAAGCTCCAGTGAGCATATCAGCCCCATGAAGGCGGGAACCCCAGCAGGATACCCAGCACATGGTAGATGCTCAATAAATACTTATTGCAAGGTAAGGGAATGAATATAGATTACAATCAAAACACTGTTTTCACTTTGTTCTTGCACAGAGGAAGAAAAAACATAGGAAGTAACCCAATCTCAATTCCTCTTCTTCCCCCAGTAACGGAGGACATCCGGGAGAGGTAGGCTGAAGTGGCAGAGGTGAAGGGGAGGTGTGAATTGCAGGACACAGGCTAGACCACGCTTTCATCCTCTAGACTTCCCCAGCAGGGCACCCAGTCGGGCTGGGAAAACTGGGCTGCAAAGCTACATTGTGCTCAGGGTCCAGCCCCTGAAAATGAAAAGAGCTCCAGGAAAGGGAAGACCTGTAACCACCACTGCAGAGCATGAGAAATCAGTCTGTCTGTTACAGTCCAATAGGTTCTTCTAAAAAGCCCAAGAAAAGGGCAGAAGTCTGATGAGATGGCATTGGGTCCCCTGCTTAGGAGCAGAGTATGCAGGCTGCTGGAGGGATGGGCAGGGTTGCTGAATTTGGATTTGTCAGATGTCTCAACCTATTTTTCAAATGTTGAGCTTGATAAAACACAAAATGCATTTTGCCAGGCACTTTTCCCCTTAATTACATGTGTATATTTTAAGGAAAATTTAATCCATATGTTTCTGATTCGTTTACACGGAAATCATTAAAATATTGTTTTCCAAGAGCTATTTGATGTGCAAGAAGGCTCACAAACCTTATAAAAAGCTGTTTAAAATTTTTTCCTTTCCCTTTGTTTCTTTTCCCTTCACGTGTGTGTGTGTTTGTGTGTGTGTGTGTGTGTGTTTGAGAGAGAGGGAGAGAGAGCACACGCACATAAGTGAACAAGAGTGACTGACCCCAGGATGTCAGAAACAAATTCCAACTTGAAATGGATTTTCTTCTCAGGATTCTGAACTAAAGCATTTGGATTAGGCTCCAATCTTGCTTCCTTGTTGTCTCCCAGCCCTAATGGAATGTGATGATGATATGGCCATAACTTGGTATTGGGAGTCAAGATCAGAGGAATTACACCAGAGCACATTGCTCTGGACCTAGAGAAATAACACTCGAGAACCTCCTCGCACATGGTCTGTTGGTACCTACAGTCCTCAGCAAGGCCCAGGAAACTTTCCCAAGATGTAGTTTGGATTCCAGGAACCCCTATTCCAGCAATATGAGCATAATAGGACTAAGGCATTTGGTAAGAAACATACAAGATAGTGCCACTGAAGTAACTCCACAGCTGTCATCCCAAATTTACTCATAGTTTTTCTCTTCTAGTTTGGAAATTATATTTTATATGGCAAAATAACTATCCCTGACTTAAAATTCACAAGTTGAGTGGCTGAGTTCAAGTCTATTGGCAATGCCTCCATACTTCTGCATGTGTATGTGGCACAATAGGTCTGCAGAGATGTATATGTGTGTATGCATAGGTTTGTGTCTGTATTTTCTCAGAAGTTGTATTAGTAGAAGGAAGGTGTGATTTGGCCCTTTGTGGCTCCTCAGTCCTATGCTTAGGCTTATGTTTAGCCTGGAAGTTGCATTTCATGAATGAGTAGGTGGATGGATGGATAAATGGATGGATGGATGAATAGATGGATGGACACATGCATAGGTAGATGGATGGATGAATGGATGGATGAATGGATGAAGGGTGGGTGAGTGAGTGGAGGGATGGATGGATGGATGGGTAGGTGGGGGAATGGATGGATGGATGGATGGATGAATGGATGAATGGATGAAGGGTGGGTCGGTGAGTGGATGGATGGATGGATGAGTGGATTACTTACCAACAGCCATGCTCTGTAGTGAGGACTTTCAGTGCATTATCTCATTGACAATGACCCCATGTGTTATAGAAGCAGTGGGGACCACCATTCTCCAAGGCAATTCTTCCACAGCCTCTGTTCTAGAGTCAGGTCCAGGGAAGTTACCTGGGGCAAAACTCAAAGGCATCACTTTAGGTACAGGTGATTCTTTCCCAAAATCCAAGTGAGAAAAGAGTTTATGCTTCCTGCCTAAGGCTCTCTGAAGCACTGTTCCTGTCCCCTGGTTCCCTTTTCACCTGGGTCACTGTCCCTTGCCATCCCCATCATCTCTGTTCTTGTCTACCATGGAGCTCTTCCCAGAGCTATCAAGGAGTCTTTGGAGATTGGCAGGCCTGGGCTTGTATCCAGTGCTATGAGTATCAGCATGGTGGACTAGAAAGGGCATTTCACTCTTGGGCCCTCTGTTTCTTCATCTGTAAGATGTAAATTGTCATTTTGAGCATTAAAGAAAGTGAAGGTGCAGCATCCAGCAGAACACCTGGCACACGGAGGAATTTGATACACATTGATTCCTCACACTGACTCAGCTCCCAGCAAACCAGATGGGTTACCGTCACTGTCCTGCCAAAAATATGTAGGGGATGCTCTTCCCCAAGCCCAGACCCCTTCCATTCAGCCCTGTTTGTAGAATGAAGTGCAAACACGCTCACAAACCAGCTCTGGTTTACTGTCCTCTTTTCCTGGCTACCCCATTCCCCCTCTTCCTGGTCATGCTAGATCCCAGGATTCCAGACTCTCTGAAGACCTTTGCTTAGGCTCTGACCTCCTGCTGAGGGTACTGTCCTTTCTCCATTCTGGAAAGACCTGTCCTTTCCTGAGAGCCTGGCTCCATGGCTGCCATGTCTTTCCCTCTGGCCCTAGCCCTCCTCTCCAGAAACATCCTCTGCCCCCTCATTTATGCCCCCGTGTGGGGGTTTTGTCTCTCCTTCTGTTAGATTATTCATCACATTTTTCAGCAGTTTCTTTTTCACTGCACTCTCCTCCCTTGAACTTGGAGGCAGGGGCTGTGTTTTTTTTTTCATTCCCTTGGGACCATAGCAGAGGACCTGGAATAGAAATGCGCTTCTAAGGATGTTGTTGAATTGAACTGAATCCTCTTATTACAGGCCATCACAAATGGTTGTTGTTTTATCTGCTTGTTGGTTCTGTCAACTCTTCTTCTATTTAAATTTTGATTCTTGTTTGTTTCTGAAGACAGTAATTTTAGATGTATACCTAATGAAGTAATTACTTTCAGGATCTAATTTGTTTGTATTTTTAATCTCTTTTTTCAAAGGAATGGGAGTCCAGATGGAGTCTCGCAGTTGGATAGGAGCTGCACCTAGGCTAGAGAAATTCTGAAAGGTGGTACCAGGAGCAGTAAAGGACAATGGGAGAGCAGGAATGGTTACTAATAGTGTTTTATTTCACCCTGGTGCCCCGACATTTGTGAAAGGTTACAGTAATAGTAGGGAGCTGGAGTTTGTAGATGATTTATTTTTAAAAAATGGCTTAGAGAAGTTTCAAGGTTACTTCTATGATAACTTCAGGATCAAGCACTTGCTTTCTGTGTTTTGCCTGGGAAGGAGAAGGGTGGAGCCACCTTCAGCACCGTGAAAATTGCAGCAGCAACTGTTGCAGCCTGTGGTGGCAGTCAAGTATGTTCCAGTGGGGGAAAGAGATTAAGAGCTACTGTCCCTGGGCTGACTCAGTTAGTTATATATGCCACAGGTCCCCCTGTTTGAGAAAGGGATTGCCTTGCTGAGGGAAATGCAGACTAGACTTCCAGGATTTAAGAAGCACGGTAGAGACCAGTAGATGGTCTGCAGGTGGCTCCCAGGCCTCCTCAGGAATGCTAGCCAGGTGCCCTGGCCAGCCATCGGGCTCGCACAGGGTGTGTGGTATGAATGTGAATATAATATATCCTTGCTGCCTCCATGTTGACCCTACTCCCACAAAAGGCTCAGACCATGCTTCTTGCTTATCTGTGCAAAGACAATGATAGCACCTATCTCATGGGGGCTTTGTGAAGATAAAATGAAACAACGGATATTAAGCATTTCAGACTACTGTGTAACAAAAGTTTACTGAGAGCTCAATTGTTAGTATTGTTATAAGAATGATGATAGTGACACCGGGTCCCCCACAGTGGCATGGCTTATGCCTGGGAATATCTCTGATCCTGAGCCAGGTAGCCTTCCTTTTTCTCCTGCACCTTGGAAACCCTTTTTTCACTGCAGTTGTACATCAAGAAATTCAGTGAAGGGAGGACAATGTGGAGGTAGAGTTGCTGGGTCAGAGGCTGACAAGCACCCTGGCAGGTGGCTCAGTCTTTGATACCTGCACCTGCTCTCCACCCACCTGCTCATGATGCATGGATGTGGTGAACCTCTGTGTGTCCATGTCCTACTTCTTAGGCCACTTTGCTCCCAGGAAGCTTGGTGTCTATGTCAGTGAAAGGCTGTAGGGCTTCGTATTAGTCTGTTTTCATACTGCTGATAAAGACATACCTGAGACTGGGAAGAAAAAGAGGTTTAATGGACTTACAGTTCCACATGGCTGGGGAGGCCTCACAGTCATGGCGGAAGGCAAGGAGGAGCAAGTCACATCTTACATGGACGGCAGCAGGCAAAGAGAGAGCTTGTGCCGGGAAACTCCTCCTTATAAAACCATCAGATCTCGTGAGAGTTATTCACTATCATGAGAACAGCATGGGAAAAACCTGCCCCATGATTCAATTTCCTCCCCCCAGGTCCCTCCCACAACACATGGGAATTCAAGATGAGATTTGGGCGGGGACACAGCCAAACCATATCAGGCTTTAAGTAATGCTCTGCTTTCCTTTTGCTGGTAACTCTTAGAAGGACCTGGGGGCCCTCAGATGTTTGGAAGCAATAGCTTCCAGGGACATAAAGAAAATCTTTTCATTTTTTACACTCTTTTACTCTTCCCAAATCCAAGCTGATGGAAACTTCTGTCCAGAACACACTATCTACTCATTGACCTTAGAGACACTCACCTGTGCCTTAGTCAACTGATGCCTCCATCAGTTTCTTTTCCTTCAGGTAACATTTTTGTGGTGCTTACTATGTTTCAGGCATAATATGATCTCATACAATGCAATCCTACCCCAACTCACTGAAGCAGGAACCATTACTAATTCCCACTTTAGAGGTGAGAAAACTGAGGCTTAGAGACTTGCTCAGAATTACTCAGCTAGCAAAGTGGGCAATCAGCATGCAAGCCTAATACTTTGGCTTTAGAACCACCCGGGCTCCACACTGCCTCCCTATACTGTGCATCTCCACCACCCTGATGGCTGAGTTTTCAGCTAGCTATGTCATGCCTGTTTTTGTTTGTTTGTTTGTTTGTTTGTTTTGAGATGGAGTATCACTCTGTCACCCAGGCTGGAGTGCAGTGGTGCGATCTCAGCTCATTGCAACCTCTGCCTCCTGGGTTCAAGTGATTCTACTGCCTCAGCCCCCCAAGTAGCTGGGTTTACAGGTGCACATCACCATGCCCAGATAATTTTTGTATTTTTATCAGAGACACCATGTTGGCCAGGCTGGCCTCGAACTCCTGACCTCAAGTGATCCACCTGCCTTGGCCTCCCAAAGTGCTGGGATTACAGGCATGAGCCACCGCACCCAGCCGTCATGCCTGTTTATATGCACACTTTATATGTGCGGCAAATGGAAGGCCCTGTTTTTGTCAAATTGTGCTATTTTCATCTCAGCATATGAAAATCCATCATAAATGAAAACTAGTCTTATTTTACATAAACACTTCCAATTTCTTCCCTTTATGAAAATAATGTTGCAGCAAAGAGTCGTTTTAAAAATGGGAGGCAAATTCTGCATCAGAATGCCAATGGGTACCAACTGCTCACACATAGGGGATATTTCTGTTGGGAATGAGACAGTTCCACATTTAATCCTGCAAACTTGCCATACCAAAATATGTCTAAGAGAAGTGAGTAAGGAGGTGATGATGATCAGAATGCAAAAAGGCTCTTCTCCTTGCCAGAAAGTTCACTGCAGTGTGTTTAGGAGAAGTGAATTCCTCCACTATAGCAACTGGAATGGCATTTGCAGAACTGGGTTCTGTGGGACACTGCCACCATCTATTGATTTAATAAATATTCGTGGAGCACCTCTAGCATGCCAGACGCTGCATGGGTGTGAGGAGGTGTGGTGAGAGATGAGCAGACTCTGCCCATGCTCTCTTGGAGCTTACAGGTCAGTGGGAAGGCAGGCGGGAAGTCAGCACACAGCTGGGCATATGATGCACCCGGAGGAAATGCTGTGGAGGAAAGGGTTGTGGTACAGTAAGAGTGTATCCCACAGCAGCTCAGCCTGGGTGAACTGGGAAGGTGGGGGTGGCCACGGGCAGAGGACACTTAGGCCCGCTGCCATCTGAAGGATGGGTAGGAAATAATTTAGCCAGGGGCTGGGGTGGGGTGGGAGGTGGAGAATATTGCAGTGGGAGAGAACACACCACACAAGCTATTGGTAAGTAGTCCTTCACAGAATGTTTTGGGTTGAAATAAGGGAGGGTGATGCCTTGGAGAATCTACCGCTTGTGCCATTGCACTATCTACCTGAGATGTTCAAGGAATACGAATTTCTACTGTAGAAAAAGAAAGCCGTTCAATCTGATGCATCAGCTTTTCCCTAAGTTACTTGATTATGGCATCCTTTTATCATGGAACGTCTCAGAAGGTATGGACGTTTCCTGGGACCAAGAGATTCTGCTGAGCTGGAACTCCCTGTGCTCAAGAGAAAGGTCCCAAAGGTGCCCAGCAAGTGACAAAGATGCAGAAGAAAATGCATAGTAAAATCCGTGTGTGTGTGTCTGTGTGTGTGTGTGTGTGTGTGTGTGAGAGAGAGAGAGAGAGAGAGAAAGAGAGAGAGGATATAAGTGGTTGTATATGCAGAAGATTTCTGGAGAGATGTTCAGGAAATTAATAGCGCTGACTTTCCACTTTCTACCCTTCTGTTCAGTTTGAATATTTTATGAGGAACATGTGCTGCTTTTTTAGTAATTAAAAATGAAAGAACTAAAGAAGTTGAGTTACAAAGCTGCGCCCATCTACAAGTTAGTTGTTCAGAGAACACAGCTATCTGATAAAAGGAAATACGCCTGCATGTAAATTGTTAATGGCTTCCCAGGTGCTAGCTTTCTCTGCTTTGTGGTGAAAATGGCCAACAGTAGTTTTGTTAGAGGTAGCAGAACGCCCAAGTAAGTTGTTTCTGGCAGTCAGTGCAGATGCTACCTTTGCAGGAGATTGTGTTAAGTTTCATACTGTGTCCTTATGGTGGCAGTAGTTATTTTAAGATGAATGATGTTGGCCTGGGAAAAGAGAAATGGTTTCCCTCTAAAATGATTCTGTGATACTCTAGTCATCTGCCGATGGGTGTCACAGACATGGAAATGCCCTGCCTCAAATATGAAGAACATTCTGCACTTGGGAAAAAAATATGTCAGTGCTTCCAAGGGTCACACTGGAAACTGGGATTAGAAGTGAGGTTTTCTTGTCTCAAGAAGTGACTGTGCAGTCCCATTTGTTCTCTCACTGACAGAGAACTTTCAAGAGGACTTTGTGAAGCACCTGTTCCTGGGCCTCAGTGGACCCTCGAGATGGGAGGCCCAGGGCTAAGTGGCCAAGAGTGCAGCAGCCAGTCTCCTCTGCTTAGATCCATTGTCAAAGGCCACATCCTGGAGCCTGACATGCATCAGGGACATGTGTCATTGGGGGTTTGGGCCAGGGGTTCCTTGTAGGCCATCTTCACTACCTGATGAATGCCTGACAACAGCACAGGTGGGCTTTGGGGATAAGGTGCCCTCTCTCAGGGATGTTCTCTGCTCAGGGCCACCAGTTCCTTAAGATGACATTTGAAAGTTCACACCTCAGATAGGTGAGTTTCTAGTACAAATGACTTGATGACCTTTCTTATTTCTGAAGACATCACAGGCTGCCCCGTGTGGCAGTGCCATTTCATCATCTCCAAAGTGCCACCGTCTGAACTCTTCCTTCATTCTTAAGTGACAGAGGTATTTCTGTACATTTCTGATGTTTTTCTTTTTTCCACCCTCACTTCACGGTGGTAGAACAATTCTGGAGTGGTTTCTACTTCAACAACTGCTGCTGTGCTGTTTCATGCCCACACATGTAGATATTTGCATGTCTCCATAGGCATAGAGATGCAACACACTGGTACTTTATCATCTGGCAGGTGGACTGATCCACATCTTAGAGATCAATAAAATGGCCTACAGAGATTGAGGGTGCATAACTTTCAGACTGGAGTGAAAAGTCTCTGGGTTCCAAGTCTGGTTGCCCACTAGTGCTTTGAAGCAGAGCCCCAGCGGTTGAGTCCACGCGACCACATCTTCACCCGTGTCTACTTTATTCAAGTCCCAGGCTGGATGTGGGGAAATTGGATCAGAACTGACTTTCAGAGACTTTTCTGGGGTAGATTTTCATGTTCTCTACTCACTGCTATCAAAGGCAGGGTGGGAGGAGGGGAATTAGCAAGACAAAGTGCCCCCAAAATCCAGATGAAGAGGTGATGAAGGGCTGTCTGTTGGGTCTGCAGGCTCAGGACCAGTCGGGGTACCTGTGATAGACCAGCACTAGTGAGATAGTGGAAGTTTCCCCCTGCAGGAGTGGGAGCCCCAGAAAAGGCTGAGTTGGGTGGTGGTGATTTGCTTTTTCACAAACCACTTTATAGTAGTCCCTTCTAAGGATCACACGGATTTGGGTGGTGGTGATTTGCTTTTCCACAAACCACCTTACAGATGAGAAGACGCAGGCTCAAGAAGGTTAGTTATTTCTTCAAGTGTGAATTTGGATCCAGGTCTGCCTGTTGTCCTAGCTGCGTTGCTTAAGTGGGCAAAAAGAGACTCCCCTCGAGCAGTGGCTTGGGAGAAGCCCAACCCCCAGGCTGCTCCTCATTGATGAAGAGGAAAGGTTTTCTTGGATCCGCCTGGTCAAAGCCAGATTAGAGTGTAGCCATGGCTAGTTCTTAATGACAGTTTCTGCAGCACAGGCTGACCTCAGCTAGGAAGCATTGGTGTGGGTATGCTAGTGGTTCAGATAGTGAAACGATGTGTGTGATTGGTAAATGACATAGCTCCAAGACCCTCGCCCCAGGGCCTCTTGTCCACCCCAGCCCCTCCCCACAACTGAGGAGTCAGCATCGCAGACCACAGGCTGTGCCCACCTGCTGCACAGGCTGTAAACACTGAGTATCACCCAGGTGTAGAGCTGTTGCGTTCCTTCAACTACAATATAACGTGGTTTACTGACAGTGACGTCAGCAGTAGGTAAATGTGCGTCTTCTCTTCATGCCCAACAGAGGTTCTGCCTCTTCTCTGAGGGGACTCCTGAGCCTCACAGGGCATCCAGGTGTCAGCTCACGTCTCCTGATGCCCCCAAGGCTGCCTTGCCTTGGGCTCACCTTCCTGTTGCTCCAACCCTGCCTCCCTCCTTGCTCTGCATGCCCTTGGAAGCTGGCTGACAAGGCTTCCAGGGCTGTCTCATAGCCAGTGGACCAGGACCCCACTGGGCTGAGGTACGAGCCTAAAGTTGCCCCGGGCATCCTACCATAAGAGGTCAGCCATCTACCTCAGCTTTGCAGCCCTCAGGACCCCTGGTGCTTGGGGAAGTCGTTCTGGGGCTGGGCTTTCCTGGTGTCTTTCCAACAAAGCACAGTGGGCTCCCATAAGTATCGTGAATGGAATATTTTCAGGGACTGACCACATCTGCAGAGGCTTCTTTACATTAAAACAGGGCTGGGGATGGGGGTGGAATTTTCCCCTGCTAAATGCAGAGCTGAGACTAACACTGTGTGTCAGCGTGGTTACGAGTGGTGGTTGGGGTCCCATCCCCGCTCCTCCCTTTGCTAGCTGTCAGACTGGACAAGTTAGCCAACTCCTGTGAGAGTTCCGTAAGGCCTGATACCCCTACAGCATGATGGGGAGAAGCTACCTGTGAGAAAGAATGGCAAGGAATGGTAGAGAGAGGGTAGGGGAAGTGAGGGGTGAGGAAGTGGGAGAGAGAGAGAGGGAAAGCAAGAGCAAGCACCTGGGGTTCCCCCCAGTGTCTGAGAAGTGCCCCTCTGAGAAGCACCGAGATGGGGTCACACAGAGTCCTGGCGTCTTCTTCATGCACCCAGCACCTGTGTGACCTGGGCCAGTCATCTGGGACCAGCTGTAGGCTCCTCTTGGCCTCAGCCACCCGACTCATTGTTTTTGTGCCTGGTATTCTTGATAACCTGATTCCAGAAATGCTCTCTGCTTATCCTGACACATTTTATTCTAGAGTTTTGGGTTTCTTTTCCTCTGTAGCTCATTCTAAGGAGTTCGATGAAGGAGATACTATGAGAAGTTGTTTCAACTGTCAAGATATGAAATATCTTTTGACATTTTTCAACCATTTTTCCCCTCCCAGATGTCACTTGAGTTAATAAAACAGGAAAGAAGACTTGGGGTTTGGTGGTTATTTTTTTTACTTATACAGGAAAAGCCATCTTCAGCCTATAAATATGGATTCTGTATAGAATATTTGAAAATGACATTTAGTAGCTAATGTGAGGAATTAACAAGTATATGTCCCTTGAGAAATTGAGGGGGGAGAAAAGGGACTCAGGGGATGAGGGTGGAAACCTAAGAACCTCACAGGGTGTGGGGGTCCGAGTGCCACCTGCACACGGAAGTCATGGTGACGAACATGCTCTGTGCATGTCTGCCTGCAGGGAGGGGCCTCTAGGTGCCAACTGTCCTCAGTTGACAGATGGGTGCCCTTTGGGGAGACATGAAATGCCTACACCTGTGAAATCTGCCATGTGTTGTGAAGGCCAGCCATTTCACACTCGTGGAGTCATCACTGAGAAAGAGGCTCCCCAGGGACTGGTTTCTAAGATGAGAGGTCAGTGTCCTGGTGTTAACAGTAATGACTTCTTAGCAAGGCAGGGGCTGTAAGAAAGCGGGGTTCACAGAGATGTGAGTAGGCCCGAACTGCCTTCCAGCCCAAATGCAATCTGGGGGACGCTCTGATCCCATTCACCCTCCACCATCTCACAGTGCTCTGGGTGACACCAGCGTTTGAGAGGCAGGGATGCCTCTTTTCCTATAATCAAAACCTATAGACTAACAGCCCCACCCCAGAGTGAATTGGAGATGAAGAAGTCAGACTGTTCAACAGTGCAGTAGGGAGTATTTTCTGAGCCTTGCCTCCTTTTCAGGCAACACAGCGGCAATGATAATATCTTTTCCTATTCTAAGCAGTGCCTTTCCCTAATAAATAGCTTAGTCGTAGGAGATATGTAATATACTTTCAGCTTGTGCCAGAAAGAGTCTTATCTCCCATTCCAGGCCTGTGGCATATATTTCTGTATAATGGATGGCCAACTTAGCAGGAATTGTTTCATACTCTGTGTCTGAAGGGATTTGGTTTATATTAGCTCAGCTGACAGAAATCTAAGTCAGATGTCCTGTTGACAAAGGATGGAGACCAAGATCTGATTTTAAATGGGCAGTGAGTATTAACTTGGTTGGTTGAAAAGCACAACATTACGCTGGCCCTGAATGGCTACGTTAAGGCCACTGGGGCCAGAACAGTGCCAGCCAAGAAGTGAAGCAAAGAGTTTGAACACACCTATTATATAAAGCTGTGTCTGCATTAAGAATAAAACCTCTTAAGATGGCAGATTGCAATATTGTGGAAACTAAAGTGGCCAGTGGAGACAAAGCTTGTTTTACAAAAGTGCAAGTTAACTTCCTAGTGGTTCCAGTATCCTTCTGCATAGATACTTCGGACTGAAGTTCATTACATGTGCAAAGGCTGATATTTAGTGAGTGCCCTAGTGCAGTTCTTCCTGGCCTTTCTCACATTATAACACTCTGGGGAAGCAAGATGAGGCAACTCTGTCAGAAGTACTGGACCAGCACCATCTCCCTTCCTGAGAGCCAAGGGAAGAGTGTCTTGGCCCAGCAGTGGGAGGCTGGCTTTAGTGTTTAATCTGAGAAGCAGATGAAGCTGGGTCATCACACAGCTAATTTCTGGATGATGCTCAGTGTATTTGTCCCAAACAAAAGAGCAGTTCTCAAAACCTAGAACTGACTCAGTCCGTGGACAGCATCAGGAAGGAGTAACCTTTTAGCTGTAGAGAGACAACCTGGGGAGCCTCTGGACACCAGAGGTTGGAGCAGAGGCTCTCATCTCAGTCACTTACTGATCAAAATCGCTCAGAGAGCTGCTGTAATTTTTCCTAACCCCTTTATTGAGATACAATTCACATAACATACAATTTGCCTGTTTAAAGTGTACAATTCAGTGGTTTTAGTGTATTCACAGATATTTGCAGCCATCAGTCACCATTACATTTTAGAGCATTTTCATCACCGCACAAAGAAACCCTGTACTCTTTGGCTATCGTTCCCTTGTCCCAACATTCACCCCACCCCTAAGCAACGAATGATCTTTCTGTCCCTATAGATTTACCTTTTCTGGATATTTTAGATAAATGTAATCATATTATATGTGAGCTTTTGTGACTGGCTTATTTCACTTAGCACAATGCTTTCAAGATTTTTCCATTTGTACCATATATCAGTATTCATTTCTTTTTATGGCAGAATAATATTCCATTGTACATAAATACTACATTTTGTTTATCCATTCATCTGTTGATGGGCACTTGGGTTGCTACTAACTTTTTGTCTATTATGAATAATGCTGCTAAGAACACTCACATTTTTCTGTGGATACATGTTTTCATTTCTCTTGGGTATATACCTAGAAATGGAATTGCTGGATCAAATTGTAACTCTGTGTTTTACTGTTTGAAAAACTATCAAAGCGGCTGCATCATTTTTGATTCTCACCAGTAATGTATGTAGGTTCAGATTTCTTATCTGACTTTTTGTCAGAAGGGTGAGAAGTGGTTTTGATTTGTATTTCTGTGATGACTAATGATTTCAAGGCTTCTTTTTATGTGCTTATTGACCATTTGAATATGCTCTTTGGAGAAATGTCTCTTTAGATCCTTTGTTCATCTTTAATCGGGTAGTCTTTTTATTATGGTGTTGTAAGAATTTTTTATGTATTCCAGATACAAGTCCCTTATCAAGAGATATGATTTGCAAATATTTTCTCTGATTCTGTGAGTTGTCTTTTTTGCTTTCTGGATGATGCTCTTTGAAGAACAAAAGGTTTTAATTTTGATGAAGTCCAATTTACCTATTTTTAAATTTTGTTACTCATACTATTGGTGTCATATCTAAGAATCTGTTGCCAAAGCTAAGGTCATGAAAATTTATTCCTGTGTTTTCTTGTAAGAGTTGTATAGTTTTAGCTCTTACATTTAGGCTTGTGCTCTATTTGAGTTTTTTGTATGAGTTCTATTTGAGTTTTTGTGTGAGGTAAGAGTCCAACCTCATTCTTTTGCATGTGGCTCTCCAGTTGTCTCAGCATGGTTTGTTGAAAAGACTGTTCTTTCCCCCATTGAAGCGAGTCATGATTCCCTTGTAGAAAATCAGTTTACCATGGACACACAGCTTTATTTCTGGACTCTCATGTCTATTGATCTATTTTTATGCTAGTCCTGATTCTTATTATTTTGTAGTAAAATTTGAAATCAGCAAGTATGAGTCCTCTGATTTTGTTCATATTTTTCAAGAGTGTTTTGGCTATTCCAGGTCCCTTGCAATTCTACATGTATTTTAGAATCAGTTTGTCAATTTCTACAAAGAGGTCACCTGGGATTCTGACAGAGATTGAACTGGATCTGTAGCTTTTTTTTGGAGAGTTTTGCCATTTTAACAATGTTAAGATTTTAAATCCATGAATATGAGATATATTTTTTTTCATTTTACTTGGATCTTTAATTTTTCTCAACAGTTTTGTAGTTTTCAAACCCTTTGTTAAATTTATTAAATTATTTCAAAATGTTTATTCTTTTTAATGATATTATAAATGAAATTGTTTTCTTAATTTCATTGTTGGGTTGTTATGGCAAGTGCATAGAAATACAATTGATTTTTATGTATTTGTATTCTGCAATCTTGCTGACTTGTTTATTAGTTGTAATAGTTTTTTATTGGGTTTCTTAGGAATTTCTATGTACAAGCTTATGTAATTTGTGAATAGAGATAATTTTACTTCTTTCTTTCAAATCCAAATGCCATTTCCTGAGTCTATTTTATGTTGCTATAACAGAATACCATCAAGTGAGTAATTTATATTGAACAGAAATTTATTTTGCTCATAGTTCCAGAGACTGGGAAGTCCAAGATCATGTCATTGGCATGCAACAAGGGACTTTGGGCTGCATCATCTCATGGCAGGAGGCTGAAGGGCAAGAGAGGGTGAAAGTGAGAAAGGGAGAAAGCCAAGCTTATTTCTGTTTTCAGGAACTCACTCCTGCAGCAAACCACTATTTTGATAATGGCCTTAATCCATTCATGAGGGCAGAGACCTCATGACCTAGTCAACTCTTACAGGTCTCATCTCTCAACACTGTTGTATTGGGTACTAAGTTTCTAACACATGAACTTTGGGGGACACATTCAAACCAAAGCACCATTTATTTATTTATTTATTTATTTATTTACTTACTTACTTACTTACTTACTTACTTACTTACTTACTGACCAACCTACCTATTGTTCTGGCTAGAACTTCCAGTATAGTGACAGTTTTGTTCTTTGACACTTGGAGTATGTTATTTCATTGTTTTGATGGCCTTTATTGTTTCTAGTAAAAGTGTTAAGAGCAGGTAATTCTTTTCTTGTTCCTGATCTTAAAGAAAGCATTTAATATTTCACCATTAAGTGGGATGTTATTATTACTATTTTGGAGATATCCTCTATAAAGTTGAAGAAGTCACCTTCTATTCCTAGTTTGTTGAGGGTTGTTTTTAATCATGAAAGGGTTTGGATTTTGTCAAATGCTTTTGCTGCATCTACTTAAATGATCATGTGGCTTTTGTTTTTTGTTCTATTGATTTGGTGTATTAGATTAATTGATTTCCAGATGTTAAAACAACCTTGCATTCTAGGGATAAATCTCATTTGGTTATGGTATATAATTCTTCTTAAGTGTTGCTGGATTTGGTTTGTTAGTATGACGTTTTTGCAGTCATATTTATAAAAGATAGCTCTATAGTTTTCTTGTGATGTCTTTGACGTTTTGGTATCAGAGTATGATTGGGCTCATAGAACGTATTGGGAATTGTTCTCCTTTTTTATAATTTTGGAAGAGTTCGTGAAGAATTGGTATTCTTTAAATGTTTGATAGAATTTACCAGTGGCCCTGGCTTTTCTTTTTGGATAGCTTTTTAAAGTTAATAATTCAATCCCTTTACTCGTTGTTTTCAGATTATCTATTTCTTTTTGGGTCACTTTTCGTGGTTTGTGTCTTTGTAGGAATTTGTCCATTTCATCTAAGTTATTTATTTTATTGGCATACAGTTGTTTATAGTGTTCCTTTATAATCCTTTTATTTCTGTAAAGTTGTTAGTAATATGCCCTCTTTCAGATTCTGGTAATTTGAGTTTTTCTTTCTTTTTCGTGTTTAATCTAGCTAAAGTTTTGTCAATTTTTTTATCTTCTTAATGAATCATCTTTTGGTTTCGTTGATTTTCTCAAATATTTTTTTCTATTCTCAATTTTATTAATTTTCATTCTAGTCTTTATTATTTCTTTCCTTCTTCTTGCTTTAGCTTTACTTTGTTGTTCTTTTTCCAGTGTGTTAGGGTGGAAGTTTAGCCTATTGCTTTGAGCTTTTTATTCTTTCTTAATAGAGGCATTTGCAGCTATAAATTTTTCTCTAAACACTGCTGTAACTGCACTACATAAGTTTTGGTCTCTTGTGTGTTTGTTTTCATTTATCTCAAAATATTTTGTTATTTGTCATTTGATTTCTTCTTTGATGCACTGGTTATTTAGGAGTGTGTTGCTTAGTTTCACATAGTTGTGAATTCCCCAAATTTCTTCCTATTATTGAGTTCTAATTTTATTGCATTGTGGTCAGAACATACACTTTTGATTATTTCCACCCTTTAAAATTTATTGAAGTTTGTTTTATGGCTTATCCTATGGTCTGTCCTAGAGAATGTCCCACGTGCACGTGAGAAGAATGTGTAATGTATTGTTGGGTGGTGTCTGTTGCGTCTAGGTGGTTTATAGTGTTTTGGAATCCTTTATTTCCATATTAATCTTCTGCCTAGTTGTTTTACTCTGTATTCAAAGTGAGATATTGAAGTCCTCACCAGTCATTGTTTAATTGTCTATTTCTTTTTTCATCTCTGTCAGTTTTTACTTCATGAAATTTGATGCTCTGTGTGTAGGTGTGTATATGTGTATAATTGTTATATCTTCCCGACAGATTTACTCTTTTATCATTATAAAATATTTCTCTTTATCTTCAGTAACTTTTTTTGTTTTAAAATCTATTTGTCTCATATTATTCTAACCATTCCAGCTTTCTTGTTAATAGAACAAGAAGGGTTGCTGTTTCCATAATACACTTTTCATTTTGCTTTTAGCCTGTTTGTATCTTTGAATCTAAAGTGTTTCTCTTATAGATAACATGTACTTGGTGCATTTTATAAAAATCTAGTCTGAAAAATCTCTGCCTCTTGGATTATTTAATTAATTCACATTTATTATTAAGTCTGATGTTAGCATAGCATATATTCATATAGCACATGTGTGGTATAGTATATAGTATACTAAAGAAAGATGTAGTACGTCATATGTATATACATATAATGGCATATATGTTTTAGTTCATAAGGTATATATTTATAGCTTCATTATATTAACCTTATTTAAAATGTATTTCTGGATATTTTTATTTATTCCTGTGGATTTCAGTTACCGTCTGGATTTCTTAGCCGCATATATCTCTGCACTCAACCACTTCCTTCATGCCGTTTTTGGCAAATATATTACCTCTCTATATGTTATAGACCCAACCATACATTGCATAATATTGCCGTATACAATTGTTATTTAGTCAATTAAGAAAGGTGAAGACATGGGCATTCATTTTGTCTTTCATAGTTACATATTCACCTTTTTGGTGATCTTGATTTTTGTCTTGTGACTTTGAATTACCATCTTGGGTTATTTGCTCTAAGCATGCAGAACTTCTTTTAGCATTTCCTGTAAGCCAGGTCTGCTAGCACTAAATTCTCTCAGTTTTTCTTTATCTGTTAATATCTTTATTCTATATTCATTTTTAAAAAATAGCTATGCTGGATATAGGATTTTTGGTTGACAGTTTTGTTCTTTGACACTTTGAATATATTATTTCATTGTTTTGATGGCCTTTATTGTTTCTACTAAGAAGTCAGCTTTTAATGTTATGCAGTTTCACTTGTAATATTCTTGTAATGAGTCATTTTTTTCTTGTCTGCTTTCAATATTTTTTCCTTGTCTTTGGCCTTCAGCTTTTTTTTTTCTATGATGTGTCTTTTTGCATATCTGTTTGCGTTTATATGAATTGGAGTTCATTGAGCTTCCTGGATGTGCAGGTTATTATTTTTCAATAATTTTAGAAAGTTTATATTCATTCAATATCCTTCAATATCTTTTTCTGTTTCTTCTCTTTGTTCTCTCCTTCTTATATTCCCATCACCCATATGTTGGTGAATGTAATGGTGTCTCACATCTGAGCTCTGTTCATTTTTTCTGTTTTTTTTAATTGCATAATCTCTATTAATCTATCTTCAAGTTTGTTAATTCTTCTTCCTCCAGTTCAAATATGCTTTTGAGTCTCTCTAAAGAATTTTTTATTTCTGTTATTGTGTTTTTAAGCCCAGAATTTCCATTTGGTTCTTTTTATAATTTCTATCTTTTTATTTAATTCTCTATTTGATGTGATGTCGTAATATCCATCTTTACCTCTTTAATTATGGTTTTCTTTAATTCTTTGGACATATGTATAATAGCTACTTTGAAGTCTTTGTCTATTAAACAAAGAACAATTTCTGGTCACTCTCACAGGCAGTTTCTGTTGCCTGCTTGTTTTTTTCTTTGTGTATGTGTCATATTTTCCTATTTTTTGCATGTCTTGTAATTTTTATTAGAAACTGGACATTTTAGATAATATATTTTAGCAACCCTGGGTACTGGTTTCAGCCTCTGGGGTTCGTTATTGTTATTTGATTTTAGTGACTGGCTGGATTATCTTAGTGAAGTCTATTTCTTCCCTTCTCTGCCCCTCTTCCCAATATGAAGCCCCTGATGCTGCTTTTGCTTTTCAGAGGGTAATGCCTTGGGTAGAGCACAGTCAACAAGAGCTTGGTCTTTTTCCCTGGCTACACCAACCCTTAAGTACCCATAAGTATTTGTTTTTGTTTTCATTGTTGTTTTTTCGAGATGGAGTCTTGCTCTGTTGCCCTGGCTGGAGTTCAGTGGCATGATCTCAGCTCACTGCAACCTCCACCTCCTGGGTTCAAGTGATTCTCCTGCATCAGCCTCCCAAGTAGCTGGAATTACAAGTACCCGTCACCACGCCCAGCTGATTTTTGTATTTTTAGTAGAGACAGGGTTTCACCATGTTGGTTAGGCTGGTCTTCAACTGCTGATCTCAGGTGATCTGCCCACCTCAGCCTCCCGAAGTGCTGGGATTACAGGTGTGAGCCACCACGTGGGGCCAGGCACCCCCAATTGTTGACTGACTATTCTCTCTTTTTTTAAACCATGCCGTGGGGCATGAATTGCTCCACAGTCTGCTTTGATCAAATCCTTGCTCTTCTGAAGGGATATTTCCCAAGGCCAGTATTTGAGATATGTCCTCCTCCCAGCTGTCTCTTCCTGTAGAGATCTGTCCAGCAAACTTACCAGCCTACAGTTTAGATTATATCTCCAATGAATCTATCAGTCCCTTCCCAATTGTTTTCCACTACAACCTCCACTATTTTCCAGAGTGTCCTTAGGCTTGAACTTATCTACACTCAATTGCAACTGAAGTCAGTTCATTTGGGAAGAAATTTCAAACTATTTGTTTTATGGCCTGCTTTCTCCCAGCCTCCCCTGGGCACAATCGCTGAGCCATAGTTTTGGAGCTGGGGGTGGGGACTATGGCATGATTCTCTCTTAGTGACATGTATGTTTAGAAGTTGAGTACTTAGCTCGGTGGAAGGGGAGTAGTAGCCTCAAGTCTTCTCAGCTTGCCTCTCCCAGTGTGGAGCGTTCGCCTTTCAAGTTTGGGCAAGAGCAATCAGGGTCCCAGTCTTCTCAGAAAGTCATGCCCAAAATAAAGACTTCGAGTGCAGATGTTATGGACGAAGGGAGCCCTCATTTCTCAGCTGTACTCGCCCAGAACTTAGCTTCAGCAACAGGCAGCTGGTAGCAGGATGAGAAATGCTGATGACCTGCCCCTCCTGGGATGAATGCCCTCCAACTGTGAACTTTGGGGAGAGAGAACCCTGTGTTCTTGGCCATATAAGCCTAGAGTGAGTTTGTGTCTTGCCAAACTTGGATGAGAGAGGGAGGGAGCAGGTCTTTGTTCAAACACCATAGTGCCTTGCTGTTCTTACTGAGTTTTAGTGGGGTTTCTTGAATAAATGTTTCTTCATTTGCTATATGCCCTTAGGACCAATTCCAGATACTTTAAATTTTTGTGTTTTTTCTTCTTTTTTTAATAACTTTCACCAGTTTCACTATGGAACAGTTCTGTGGAGCTCTTCATGTTGTTGTGCCAGAAATGTTTAAGTTCTCAAGAAGCTTCTTAAACATGCACATGCCCCTCCACGCTGTGGGAAATCAGAAAATTTAAGATGTGGATAAGGCTTGGAAAAACCCAGGAGATGTTGGTGTGCAGCCAGGGTTACGGTCACTACTGCAACATGAGTGAAAGCAGAGGCTTTGTATATGAGTCACAGCCCTGATACTTAACAGTTTGCAATATTGGGCACAGAATCACTTAACAGATAAAAAAAAAATGGGCATGAGAATAGTTTCTACCCCAGAAGGTTGTTGTGAGGATTAAGTGAGTTAACAACACTTAAAAAGAAAATATCAAATATAGCAATATGTAACAGTATGTCATATAATGCTAATAAAATGATGATGATGATGTAGATGTAGTCTTTATATATTGGGTTATTCTTCAATTCTAACCACAACTTGGATGTCCTGGTTTCCTTTAGTATCACATAAAAGCCCAATGGAAATGCCCCTCTTGTACCTGTGTTTATCCTGACCCATATTTTCCTTTATGATTGAAACACGAAACCTTGCTTATTTCTTTTGATTTGTCCCAGAATGAACCTTACTTATTTCTTTTTTGGAAGGGTCAGTGTGGCTGGGCAAACACACGTTTTTTTATGCCAGATACGTGTGAACCTTTCCTCTAATTATTCCTGTCCAGGAATTTGTGAGATTATCAAGCAGCTATCAGCTTGTGGGCTGACATTTCTGTCCTTGTGTAATTGCCCCTTAAACATGCAAATTCAGATGGAGCAGCCCGTAGCTCAGAGCCCTAATAAAGAAAAATGTGACTTACTAAAAGGCTTTTCCTCCATTGTAGCTCAAAGTCATATTAATGGATATTAGTGTGGGGACTTAAGTGGCACGATCCCATGTGGCCATGCTGGTGGGAGGGAGTCTTGCCTGTGTCAGGGAGAGCAGGCCTAGAATCACCAACCTGATTAGAAAAGGAAAAACACCTTTAACCCCCTACTGACCTTTTGTGGTTTCATGATACCAAGGCAGCAAAAGTTCCAGAAGGAAAGTTCAGTGAGCCAGCACAGTGATGGAACTCAGTCCTCTGAAATGACAGCACAGGGGTGCCACCATGATGGTATACCATGATGTGTCACCTGCCAAGCTACCTCTAGTGTTTTCTCATTTATAGATGTCCTTCTACACTTTTTTTTTGTATAAACGTGGGCTCATGTAGTATGCATACCCGTTTCTTAACAGTAGGCGTTCATGTTAGCGGTCTTCAACTTGTCATTCTCTCTGTGCCCTGCCAAATAGAGGCAAGGGTGCCAGTCTTGGGTTCTGTACCTGTCACCCACAGCCTGTATGCCTCGGACAAGTCATTCTGGGTCTCTGAGCTATGGGGGCCAGGACTAGGAGACACTGTGCTACAGCCATTAAGAATCCAGCTTTGAAGCCCCCAAAGACCTGGATTTGACCCCTGAGCATGCTGACATCAGCGGGGTGGACCTGGAAGATTCATTCCACCTGTCTGGCCTTCGGTTTCCTTACCTGTGAAGTGGGAATGATGTTCCTCCCAGTTGCTGTGAGCATTCAGGTTGTTCTGGAGAGGCTTCTCCCTGGCAGAGGTTTACAGGTGGACTGCTCGGAGGCTGGCCCAGTCACTTGCTGTAGAGTACAACTGGTCTTTGAATTTGGTAAATTTTGAGCTTAAAGGAAAAAAAATGGCCGTATTCTTGTCATTAATTATCTTTCTTTATAATTCTTATTATTTTTGTTGTTTCTTATCCAGTTTGGGATGTTAAGTGATATAATTTTTTTATTGCTTTACTTTGGATATTTTAGATTTCACAAGCGGCCATCAGGAATTTTAGGAGTGTGTATTTGGGCAGATGTATTTAGGGTAGAGGTGGGCAGGC
Source organism: Homo sapiens (assembly GCF_000001405.40). NCBI lineage: Eukaryota > Metazoa > Chordata > Mammalia > Primates > Hominidae > Homo > Homo sapiens. The sequence continues at coordinate 54,529,921 of NC_000003.12, forward strand.
AGACAGCTTCTGTGGCTGTAGGAATGTGTGTTGGAAATGGAGGGAGCTGGCTGCCAGGCTGCCTTTGCAGTCCATTGTAGACCCAGTCCTTCAGTATTGGGTGAGGTCCTGGATTCTAAGCAGCTTGCAGGAAAGAGCTGACAGTGCCCAGGTCAAAGTCGTGGGGGATGTGAACATCTTAGGCAAGTGGTCCCTCCTCCTTCACTTCTTGGGATTCCTTAGCACAGTTCAGTTTCTTTGTTGCTTCCTTCAGTGACACCAATGAGACTATGGGTCCCATCCATGCTACCTCCAGTGCCCTGTTCTTGCATGCACTGTACCGTATGTGGTCACAGCTGGGACTGTTCTGCCTGCGCTGCTGGTGGAGCTCTCCTGGCCCGGCACTTGGTGGGTGCTCCATAGTTGCTGGTTGAAAGATGCAAGATTTGATGAGCCCCGTGGAGCTGGAAAAGCTGACACTATGTACCTGTGATTAAGTTGAGAGGGAATGGGAAAGGACTGTGTTTTTCCCACTCCGAAGGGCAGTGAGCACATTTGTGTATAGAGCTAATCAGAAGCAAACCTGGGGAAATGTTTCCTTCATTTCCTCACAAGACCAGCCCAGACTTGGCATCACGTATCTTCAAAGTAAGATAGGAAAATTGGACTCAACTAATGTAACATTACTATTTTTGAAGGACTCACTATACACCAGGCACTGGGCTAAGTGCTTTAAATATATTATCTCCTTCAGTTCTCACAGCAGCCCTCTGAAGATCAGCTCTGTTCCATCCCCCTCATTTTATAAATGAAGAAGGGAACTCAGAGACGTTGTTTAACTGGCTGAGGGTTACACAGCCCATTCGTATGCTCAACCATATGCAATATTGCCTGAATGTGAAATCTTCTGTAGGAAATGAACATCTGGGAGATTGTGCTTTGTTGGCTAAGCTGAAAAAAGCTGTGTCCTCTTGTGGTCTCTCCCTGAGTCATACACACTGGCACCACTGAGACCGGCCTAGCTGTTTCTCAGGGCTCAGGTGGGCTGAACAGGCCAGAGAATACTTTCCTCCCATGCTATAGTTTTGAGGAGATGAATCTTCTTTTGGTTTAAAGAACACAGAGTTCAGGACACCCGGAATAAGCCCTTTAAGAGCCTGCAGAAACTTGAGCTGGCAACTGCCATGGCTTTTAAGATGTGATGGTTTGCTCTGTCTTGTGTGCTGGTCGAGGATGGATTATTCGAAGCTGTGGGAACAGCTGACATGCTCTAGCAATTTGTCTGAATCTTGTTTCTGCATTTCCTGCTTACAGAAGAGGATTTTTACATACCTACTGATTGTAGATTATCACGTCTGCACACCTGTTGGGGATAAACTTGGGCCGGGACTTACAGTGCTTCAGAATTACAGGTAGTCCTGGCCCAGCTGCCTCTTGGAGGAAGTTGATAGGGAAGTATGACGGAAGGATATTCATAGTTCCCTTTAAGTGGCAAATTGAAAAAACCCACTTAATCAAAAAAATGGCTGTGGTTCATCATGTTTCAATCTCGTTTTGAGCTGCCTCTATACCCTCAGAAGATTTTTTCCCCTTGTGCAAGCAGAACTTTTGATTTCTGTCTTCATTTATCAGCTTGCAGTGAATAAGCTTGTCTCTGAGCCTGGCAATGAGAGCCTGGCTATGGAAATGTCATTCTGGTGAGGGCGGCATCTCTTGCTGTGTGGCAGAGTCCAGGAGAAGCAAAGTTAATTGTGTTTCTGTGATGTCCGGGTTCGGAATGTCGGAAGTCATCATTCCAAGTCAGAGGGATTGGCTAGTTACTGAGAAACTTGAATTGCTTGGGTGGAATCCTGACCAAGAGGACTTTGAGGCAGAGGAGACAATTTTAGAAATTTGCAGCATTGGCAAAAATAAAAAACGGATTTTTGTCTATTCATTTGCCATGTTGTCACTGCGCTAGTCAGGTCAGTCTTCCTGTTCTAAACATAAAATTCCCTCTGCGGATGGTCAGGGTGCCTGGAGCAAGCAGAGCAGTTGCCTTTTTCATTTCACCCTTGGCTTGGCAGCCGGTGTCTTGCCTCTCCGCGAGCCCACACTGCCTCTCTCACCTCATTTTCCATCACTTGCCATCAAGTCTCCACAGTGAGGGTGGCTTTCTGCCTGACCCTGTGGATGCCCTGCCCATTTTCTTTTTTTGTTTGTATCAATGTAGGGGGTAAAAGTGTGGGGAAGAGAAAGAGAGATCCAATTGTTACTGTGTCTTTGTAGAAAAAGGAAGACATAAGAAACTCCATTTTGATCTGTAGAAAGAAAAATTGTTCTGCTTTGAGATGCTGTTAATCTGTAACTTTAGCCCCAATCCTGTGCTCACAGAAACATGTGCTGCATTGAATCAAGGTTTGAGATTTAGGGCTGTGCAGCATGTGCCTTGTTAACAATATGTTAACAAGTACAGTTTTGCTGCATGGATACATTGAGTAGTGGTGAAGTCTGGGCTTGTGATGTAACCATCACCTGAATAGTGTACATTATACCCAATAAGGAATTTCTCATCCCTCACCCCGCTCCAATGTTTACCATATCTATTATTTCATTCTCTATGTCCATGTGTACGCATCATTTAGCTATCATTTGTAAATGAGGACATGCACTATTTCACTTTCTGTTTCTGAGTTATTCCACTGAAGATAATGGCCTCTAGTTCCATCCATGTTGCTGCAAAAGACATGATTTCATTCTTTTTATGGGTGAGTAATATTCCATGGTATACATACCATACATTTTCTTTATCCAGTCATCCATTGATGGACACTTAGGTTGATTCCATATCTTTGTTATTGCGAATAGTGCTGCAATAAACATTTGGATGCATGGATCTTTTTGATATACTGACTTCTTTTCCTTTGGGTGTGTACCCAGCAGTGGGATTGCTGGATCAAATGATAACTCTATTTTCAGTTCTTTGAGAAATTTTCATACTGTTTTCCATAGAGGTTGTACTACTTTACATTCCCACTAAGAGTAGGATAAGCCCCTTTCTCTGCATCTTCACCAGCATCTGTTATTTTTTTGACTTTTTGATAATGGCCATTCTTACTAGTGTAAGACGGTATCACATTGTGGCTTTAATTTGCATTTCTCTCATGATTAGTGGCCATGCCCATTTCCTCCTCAGGGTTTCAGCAGACTTGCCCTCCTACCTGCCTGACATCCCATCTGTCCTTTTCCTGTCTGTCTAAACCCTGTCTGCTTTCAAAGCCACCTAGCCTCATTCCTGAAAGCTTCTCAAATCCTGTCAACCTTAGAGCTCTTACAGAAATTGGTGGTGGAATGATGCAGTCCGTGGTTTACTTTCTTGCATTGTTCTGAGTGTGCTGGTTCCTAGCTAGGTTGTACCATGGTACCATGGGCTAACGTATTTTCTTTTCTTTCCTTTTTTTTTTTTTTTTTTTTTGAGACAGAGTCTCATTCTGTCACTCAGGTTGAGTGCAGTGGCACGATCCAGGCTCACTGCAACCTCCATCTCCCAGGTTCAAGCGATTCTCTTGCTTCAGCCTCCCAAGTAGCTGGGATTATAGGGGCATGCCACCATGCCTGGCTAATTTTTGTATTTTTAATAGCGATGGGGTTTTGCCATGTTTGCCAGGCTAGTCTCGAACTCCTGACCTCAGGTGATCTGCCTGCCTCAGCTTCCCAAAGTGCTGGGATTACAGGTGTGAGCCACAGCACCCAGCCATCTGATGTGTTTTCTGTCAAGCATCATGCTCACTCAAAAGAGGCACTGCATAAATACAACAGGATGTACCAGGCTCGAAATATTGGTGCTCTAAGGTCTTTAGGGAAGAAGGGTCATGGTGTGTGCAGTTTGTCTTCTAGTGGTTTGAAATGGAAAATAGTGTGTGTGTGTGTGTGTGTGTGTGTGTGTGTGTTAATAGGGTGTGTAAATGTTGAAGCAAGTGGGATAAAGTGTTCAAAATAGGACAATCTAGGAGAAAAATATACAGGTGTTCTTTGTGCTATTTTTATTCTTGAAAATTTTCTGTGCATTTGTGAATGTTTCCAAATAAAAACATATTTATTAACCACTGTGGTTATCCTGGAGCCCTCTCTTGCACACACCCACATCCTGTCCCACCAGAAGTCTGTCAGCTCCCTCTGCAGGACAGCTTCCATTGCCACCCTCCTTGCACGCTCTTCTGGTGACCACCCTGGTCCAGGCTGCCGTCTTCTCTCGCCTGGCTGGCTGTGATTGCCTCTTAAGTGACAGTTCTTGCTTGCACCTCTGTTTCTGGACAGTCTTTTCTCGACATCTCAAAATAGCCAGGGTAATCTTTTTTGGTGGCAGAATTATGGGTAGTTTTTAATTCTTCTTTTGTTAAAATTTTTAAAATTGACAAATAATAATTGTGTGTAGTTCAAGGTGGTCTTTTTAAAACATGCATCAGATTGCATCACATCTCCACTCACAACTGTAACCTTCTGATAGAAGAGCTTCCCTGCCCTCCTGCCTTCTCAGAGCTCATTTCCTCCCCTGCTCACTCGGAGCTGTTCTTCACCATGTGAAGCTCATCAGCACATGGTGGTCTTCCCACGCGATGCTCCATCTGCCTGGAAGCCTTTCCCGCTGTAATGGTATATGGCCTCTCTCTCTTCATTCGTTCACTCCATTTGTTTAAATGCTACATCCTCAGAAATGCTGTCTCTGACCAACTTCTTAAAAAAAAAAAAGAAAAAAGATTCTGGCTGGGCATGGTGGCTCATGCCTATAATCCCAACACTTTGGGAGGCCAAGGCTAGAGGATTGCTTGAGCCCAGGAGTTAAAGAGCAGCCTGGCCAACATGACAAAACGTTGTCTCTACAAAAAAAAAATAGAAAAATTAGCCAGGCATGGTGGTACATGCCTGTAGTCCCATCTACTTAAGAGGCTGTGGTGGGAGAATTGCTTGAGCTAGGGAGGTTGAGGCTGCAGTGAGCTGAGATTGCACCACTGCACTGCAGCCTGGGTGACAGAGCTAGCCTCTGTATCAAAAAATAAACAATATAAGTAAAATAAATGATTCCTATCTTCTCCGTCATTCCCAATTCTTCTCTGACTTTATTTTTTCATGGTAAAAATGACCCATTTGCCACTACTGAAATTGTTTTATGCTTCATCATTCCAGTAGAATGCAAGCTCCATGGGGGAAGGGCTTTGGTTCATTCTCTGCTGTATTTTTATAGCCTGGAACAGTGGCTCACATATCGTGGTCCCAAAACAACAGCATCAATATCATCTGGGAACTTGTTAGAAATGAAAAATTCTGGGTCCTCCCCCAGATCTACTGAATCAAATACTCTGGAGAGAGTGCCCAGCAATCTTGTTTTTTTACAAGTCCTCCAGTTGATTCTGATGCATTTTAAAATTTAGGACTCACTGCTTTAAAATAGTGCCTCAAATAAAGTAAGTTCTAAGAAATATTTAAATGAATAAGCAAATATTCAGTGTCCTTTTGTGTCACACTGCCTATTTTTTGTTGTTTTCTTGATTCATAAACTTACCATTTTATTCTATAAAAGCATAAGTTTTTCATTATAACAATGTTCATGTGTCAGTTTTGGACTTTGTGAGGATTCAAGGTTAAAATATGACTTCTATTTTTATTCTCTCTGTGCCTGCCATCTCCTTTGTTTTATGTGGATGTTAAGCTATTATATCCTTCATTGATTTACATTTCCAATAATGGCTGTAATTGAGAAAACAGAATATTGAGAACTCTAAATTATTAATAATTATAGAGGTATCACTTTATGCTGTTGAATATTTATTAAGAGAATATATGATAGCAGGCTGTGTCCTGAGCTGGCAAACTGGCCCAAGCTGGAGTTCACATCAGGACATATTGTCCAACTAAAAGTAGAAGCTGCAAGATGGACAGGTCACCTGTCGGGAGGCTGAATTATGTCTGATGTGACTAGAGCCTGTGCTGGTCAATTTGTCAGTGTCAGCTCTGAACTCATTCTTGTCTGGAAAACAGATGAAGTGGCCACCAGGTAGAATGACCCAAAATAAAAGAGGCTAAAAGGTTATCTGTTGGAAAATTAGAAGTTTCAACTTACAGAGGATCTCTTGGAGATTTCACTGCTAAGAGCTATTTAGACGTGACTGTTAGTGGTTGTGTTTTATGTATTCCATCTAAAAATGTGGGCTTTCTACTTGAATCACCCTAAAGCAGCAAAAAGTTATTAAAAACATCCAGTGTTCAGCCTTGACCTCTAATCCTATGATATAGAGCTAGTGAAAAACTGCCAGGCTGATAGTGGCATGCCGCATACACGAAACAGGTCATTATATGTAGGGGGTGATAAAATAGACTGGCATTTATCAGTATAGAGGTGGTCGTCCTGGGTCATTGGATTATAGGTTGCCCTTTTCCTTCTCTCTTCCTGCACTTTTTGGATTTTATGCTGTGAACATTTTTGTGCATGTGTTTGGAATATTTATGGTTAGGTTGGAACACTTTCCATTTGTTTATGAATTGAGATATGCAGAGAGGGAGCAGGACAATCTCAAGGACGATGGGGACCCACCCCACAAGGGATTATCCATGCTCCTATGATGGGAACTCCTCCAGAAACCAGCCAGGCCAACAGCCCAGTAATGGGCAAATGTGTTCTCCACAGGGTGACCGCATGTCCCCATGTCACTCTTACTTCCATGGCTCACTTTGCTGCTGCTCTGTGAGCCAGCTCTGGGTAGGTGGCCAGTGAACAGACTGGCCCTGGGCCACAGCCAGCAGGCCCCAAAAGCAGAGAATGCCATGTGCTGGGGGAGTGATCCTAGCCAAGAATGGGGTGAGATGAGGACCCTGGGCATTTCTGCAGAGCATCTTTCCTCTGTCTCTTTCTCTCACTCTGATAGAATAGCTGAAGCCTATTCTCTTGCTATTATTAGAGCAGCTGCCATGCATCAAGTGTTCTTGGGTGCCCAGCGCTGTGTCACCTTTGGAGAAGTCCCTTCCCCTTTCCCACTTGTGAAAGGTGGCTGTCTCCACCTCACCTCGGTGGCGGAGATGCAGTGCCAGGCGCCAGGCAGACTGTTGCGCATGAATAAATGCTCGATAAATGGCTATCACTCCTGTCAATAACAATGACTCTCTCTTAGTCCTATCAGCTAAGTATTGTTATCCTCTTTTTACAGATAAGGAAACCAAGGCAGAGAGAGAGAGAGAGAGAGAGAGAGAGATGGAAGAAGGGAGGGACAGGCAGGCACAGAGACACACAGAGCAGAGGATTGCAGGCATGTTGATCATCTCATGAAGAGCTCCTCTTTGGCCATGTGCGCGATTAGGGTTAACTTTTCCTGGAACTTGCACACTGACTCTGAGGGCAGAGGCACATTATGTGGTGGTGAAGCAAGTGGGCTCTGGACTAGAGGGCATGGTTAAATTCTTGCCCTCACCTCTCCATGCTTAGGAACTTGGAGGAAATGCTTCAAACACACGTACCCCGTCCCTTGCTTGCCTCTCTGTGAAATGGGGGTGTAATAGCACTCCCTCATTGGAGTCACTTATTTTACAAACATTCAGTGAACACTTACTATGGGTCATGCACTTGCAGGGAAACAGCTCCACCATGGTTGTATCCAAACAGAATAATGGCAGCAATTATGTTTTGAGTGCCTACTGGAGCGAGGCCCTACGCTGAGCACCATTTCTACTGAGTTATCCCTGATACTCAGGTCACAGTGGGAAGAAGACATGGGATGCCACATTTTACAGGGAATCAGAGGGTTCCTACCTGTTCATGGACACTCGGGCATAGTCAAGTAGGGATTTGAACCTGGCTGTTTGTTTGCCTTGAGGTCCTCACTCCCTGTGGTTAGGCAGCACCTACAGAAACTGTGAGACAATGCTTGGGAAGCATACCAGCGGCTCACTCCGGACCTGAGCTGGGCACCATGTCTGTGGGAGAGCTACACCTTGGCCTTTGTTTCTGGCCCCGACTTGTACCTGGCTGAGACATCTCTGTTCGTTGCTCTCATCCTCCATGCAGAAATCTGAGAGGGCTCGTGGTTCCTCTCTGTGACCCACACTGGGACCCTGGCTGTGTGCTCTTCATTCACTAACATTTTTCACCCAGGAGTGCTCCACCCTGCACAGTCACGTGAGTGTCCACCTGGGGAGTAGAACTCAGGAGGTGATCTGGGCTCTGGTATCAAACCTGCTGAGAACCAGCTTCAGACAAGTCACATCACCTCCTTGGGCCTTTTAGATTACTTAAGGATCTGCCAACCCTGCCACTCTCCACCCCATGGGCTGCTCCCTAGCACCCCAAGGTTGCTTGACTGAGAGCAATATTTGGCAAGTTAAATTGATGTGGACATTAATCAAATACCACCATACTATCAGCCAATGAATCCCATACCAGCCTGCTATGAATGCCTTCCCAGGAAACTGAACAGCTCTGTTGTGTTCTGTGCTGTTCTGTTCTTTTTCTCAGTCTCTCTTTCCTCCCCCTCCTCCAGCGTCCCTTGGGGGAGTCCTCATCCGTTCATGAAGGAAGCTGTGTTAGGCATGCCCTCATGGCTAAGAGAAGACAGAGAGCACCCTTGCCCCTTCACAGCTTCTTTCCCTGGCCTTGTGGGCTGTAATGCTCCTCTGACAACACAAGGGGGATTTGAGGATCCAGGCAAGCAGAGAGAGAGAGGATGCCAAGCTTCTGGGCATTCACAGGGGCTACCTCAAGGGAAGGCCGGCTTTCTCCTAACAGACTTAGCCCGTGTTCTGAGGGATTCACTGTCCTCCCATGCTGCCTTGTCTTCATTGCCTTTGGCCCTGGTGCAAAGATGCGGAGAATTATGGGGGTGCTCCATAATTTCTGTACAAGGTGCATCCATGTGCATGAGTGACCCCTGGCCCATTTCTCTTAAGGGGGCGGGACCAGAAGAGTCCATACTATATGTATGAATTTGTCTTAGTTTTGAACTTTGGAAATGTGGCCCCAGTAATTTACTTATTCTCTCTTTACGTTGGTTTCTGTCAATAAAATGTGGTCAAGAGGACTTTTCTCGTGGCTCTGCTGCTAACTGTGTGACCTTGGACATGTTACTTGGTGGCTTACGTTCACTTTTGCCGTCTGTAAAATGAGAATTACATTAGTACTCACCCTAGAGTTGTTTTGATTCAATGTGTTGTCATCCATAGCTGTCTTAGGATAGCTCCTTGACACATCCTGAATGCTCAGTTGTGTCGGCCGTGTTCATGTTCCACTAGCTCCTAGTAGGGTCACCTAGGGCAAATTACTTAAGCCTTCTATGGCTTCAGTTTCCTCATTTGTAAGTGTGCATAATAGGACCTTTATCATAGAGGCTTAAGTGAGCCACAGCATGAAAGTGTTTAGCTGAGCAAATGGAGAGTGCTGTATACATGACCAGTGTTATTTTTTTAGGGAGATGTGTTATTGAAAGTGCCCCTATTTCTCCTTCTCCTGTGTTACTTCTTATTCAAATGCAGCCTAGTGAACAGTTAATGGTGCCTTGCCCAGGACCATCAGTATCCTGTTGCATTTTGAAGGGGTGTGTGTGTGTTGTATGTGCTAAATGTTTTCTTTTGCTTTGTGACATTTGTGTGGTGTGTACCCTATTTCCATGTGAAGGTGTGCGTCTCTTTGCCTTCCGCTACTTTTGCTTTCCTGACCAAAGTCATCTCAATCTCAGTTGACCAGGTCCTTGTGGACACACACATGACAGTGCTCACAGAAGTGAAGGGTGAGAATATGTTCTGAATAGTCATCTCTGTTTTCAAAGCTTTATTTTTTCAAAATTGGTAAAGCTCAAAGGCTGGGGCAGGCAGCTCACAAATTGTGAGTGTGAGGGGCTCCTCTGCTTGATTAAAGAAATTTCTGAAGAAAGAAATGTGTTTAACTGGGAGACTGGTGAGATGTGTCAGAAAGTATTCTCTGCGCCAGCCAGTTTGTGGCCGGGTATTTTAGGACCAGTTTTGCAAAGCTGCTGACGAGCAGGCCCTGCTTCTGGGTTGGAAGAGAGGAACCGCCATCCATTTTCCCTAAAAGAAGAAAAATAGGTGAGCCTGGAAAGTCTGTGGGTAGGAGTGAAATAATCACCAACTCAATTTGCAGCCGTCTTGGAAGAGATAAGCTGTTGTTTCTTCCCAAGTGAATTTCTGCAAAGAACAGATCCTACCAAGTGAGCCTCATCTCCTCTAATCAAGTGGTGGCCGGGCTATTGAACATGATGATTGTCCTCAGCATCCCTTTCACTTGGCCTGTGAGGCAGAGCTGGAGTCTTGGCAGTTTATGGAAATAATGATTTCCTGCAAGAACTTCCAATTCAGCGGCATCCTCAAACCCAGATGCCTCCCTGGATAACAGCGTTTCTCCCCTGGCTAACAGACTGATGACTGGTAAATGTTGACCTCAAGTAAGAAACAATAGTGAACTGCGAAGCTGCTGCTAAGCTTTTTAAAAATAATTGAAGTACCAAATATAAAGCTAAATATAATTTGCCGTTATCTTCCCCAAGATACCATGGGCATTTTGAATTTGATATTATTTTTCAGAAATAAAATAATCATTTTCATCTGCTAATGTTGTCTCATGTTAAGGTAACGTGGGAAATCGTCAGACAGGACTCACAACCCAGTCATTGTTCCATAGTATGCATTGGTCGGGTATATATAAAATGGTCGGGTAAATAGGTAGTGGTTGGATTCTGGTGAGGACTCTTTTCCTAGTTTGCAGTTGGCTGTTTTCTTCCTGTGTCCTCAGATGGCAGTAAACAAGCAAGAGAGGAAGCGAGCTCTCTTATGTCTCTTTTTTTTAAAGGCACTAATTTCATCATGAGTGTTCCCTCTCATGATTTAATTACCACCCAAAGACCCCATCTCCTAGTACCATCACACTGGGGATTGGGGATTATTGTAGGTATCCCCACAATCTATGAATTCTGTGGGGACATAAACATTCATTCCATAGCAGTAACCTTATATGAAAAATAGGGCCTTTGCAGATGTAACTAGTTAAGGATCTTGAGATGAAGTCATACTGGATTTAGAGTGGGTCCTCAATCTAATAATAGGTGTCCTTTTAAGAAAAGGGAGGCCGAGCGTGGTGGCTCACGCCTGTAATCCCAGCACTTTGGGAGGCCAAGGTGGGCAGATCACGAGGTCAGGATATTGAGACCATCCTGGCTAACATGGTGAAACCCCATCTCTACTAAAAATACAAAAAATTAGCCGGGCGTGGTGGCGGGCGCCTGTAGTCCCAGCTACTCGGGAGGCTGAGGCAGGAGAATGGCGTGAACCTGGGAGGCAGAGCTTGCAGTGAGCTGAGATTACACCATTGCACTCCAGCCTGGGCAACAGAGCAAGACTCCGTCTCAGAAAAAAAAAAAAAAAAAAAAAAAGAAAAGAAAAGAAAAGGAGAAAAGGGAAAGACACACAGAGGCACATAGAGAAGATGGTCATATAAAGATGGAGGCAGAAATGGGAGTCATGCATTTACAAACCAAGCAAAAAGGACTGCCAACAACCACGAGAAGCTAGGAGAGGGGATTAGGACAGTTTCTGCTTGACAGCCTCCAAAAGGAACCAGCTCTGCAAATGACTTTACTCCAGGCTTCTGGCCTCCAGAACTAAGGAGTAAGTTTCTGTTGTTCTAAGCCACCCTGGTGGTGGTAGCTTTGTTATGGCAGCCCTTGGACACTTATTTAGACATGCTACAAAATAACTAGCCAGGGCTCTTCTGAGTCTTGTTGGGCAGTTTCTCAAGTTACCGTCACGTGGTGCTGCCGGAGGAAGTGGAAAGCATCAAGAAAGATCATGAAGGATGAAGAAAGACTGAGGATCTGTCCTGAATTAGAGACTAGAGAGGCAGGCAATGTGTAGTCCTGGATTGAAGCTAGGCCCAGACAAGGACATTGATGAAATTTAAATAAGATCTGTAGATTTAGGTGATGGTTTCATAGCAGTGGCAATGTTGTGGTTTTGATTCTTGGCTGTGGTTAAGTAAGAGGTTAACATTTAGGAAAGGGTGTGTGTGGGTTTTTTTTTTTTTCGTACAATTTTTGCAAGTTTTTTGATGTTTGAAATGTGTATTAGTCAGGGTTCTCTAGAGCGACAGAACTAATATGATATATGTATATGTGAATGAGAGTTTTTTTTGTTGTTGTTGTTTTTGTTTTTTGAGACAGAGTCTCACTCTGTCTCCAGGCTGGAGTGCAGTGGCGTGATCTCGGCTCGCTGCAACCTCCGACTCCCTGGTTCAAGCAATTCTCCTGCCTCAGCCTCCCGAGTAGCTGGGATTACAGGCACGTACCACCACGCCCAGCTCATTTTTATATTTTTAGGAGAGATGGGGTTTTACCATGTTGGCCAGGATGGTCTCAATCTTCTGACCTTGTGATCTGCCCACGTTGTCCTCCCAAAGTGCTGAGATTACAGGTGTGAGCCACCACACCCAGCCTGAAAGGGAGTTTATTAAGGAGAATTAACTCACATAGGCACAAAGTAAAGTCCCACAATGGACCATCTGCAAGTGGAGGAGCAAGGAAGCCAGTGGTGGATCAGTCTGAGTCTCAAAACCTCACAAGTAGGGAAGCCAACAGTGCAGTCTTCAGTCTGTAGCCAAAGGCCCGAGAGTCCCTGCAAAACCACTGGTGTAAGCCCAAGAATCCAAAAGCTGGAGAACATGGAGTCTGATGTTGGAGGGCAGGAAGCATGCAGCACAGGAGAAACATGAAGGCCGGCAGACTCAGCAAGTCTACTTTTCCACCTTCTCCTGCTTGGTTTATTTTAGTCACACTGGCGGCTGATTAGATGGTGCCACCCAGATGGAGGGTGGTGGGTCTGCCTCTCCCAGCCCACTGACTCAAAATGTTCATCTCCTTTGCCAACACCTTCACAGTCACACCGAGGAACAATACTTTGCATCCTTCAGTCCAATCAAGTTGACACTCAATATTAAGGAACACAAAATTATTTCATAATGAAAATTAAAAACAGTATTTCTATTTGTTTATAGGAAAAAGACAAGAGAGAATGAGGTTTGGGGGAATTATCTTGGTCATATTCGTTGGAATTACCTTGACAAGCGAACACCTCATGTGTCCACTTTTATAGTGAAGACACAGGCTTCACCTCTCAGTTCCAGCCTTTTTCTCTTTACATTTGTGAGGAAGTTACATTTATTCCGATTAATACATATCCCTTCAAATACTCTAGGTACTAAAAATCTCACTCATGAAAACAGACCCTTTTACTTCTCCCTACTTGAAATGGAATGCTATACTGCTGTTACAGATCAGAGCGATATGCACATGGCTTGGGAAATTGATAAATGGAACAAAAAGGTCGGAGGGTGGCGTTAGGTTGTAATAATCCCATCTTAGTACAAACAAAATGTCTTTCCATAGTTAGAGGAGGAAGTAAACTGTTTCACATCAGGATTTTAACAGTGGTTCTCAATTGCATAGGGTGACTTTAATTTCCTTTCTGATCATTTGATTTTTTTAACAGCGGATATTTTTGTTAACCAATTAAGAATTTATCTTTTAAGGGAAAGAATGAAACTATTTTTAAAGGGTGATTTCTACTTCCTGGCCCTCCAAAAAGAGCTGTATGTCTGGTTTAAGATGAAATGCGCTCAGTGAAGACTTACTGCAGAATTCATTTATTATTCCACTCTCCTGCCATGTCGCGGCTGAGGCTTGGCCTCTCTCCCTGTTCTTGGAGGTGGCCAGTGTGACAGCACAGCTTGTGTTTTGGTGGTCCTGTCAGGCTAGAGGACCCCACTGAGGAATAGTCCTTGGCTCAGGACCTCAAGATTTTTTAAAAATACTCTTGCATTTTCTTTATCAAAAGGTCTTTCTTGTCTTTCTCTTTGGCACAATTAAATAGATTTTAGAATTTGCAGTTGAGGGTCCTCAATATATTCACCCCAAGATGCCTCTGTGCATCTGTTATATATTTCCATGTTGTTTTTGCTAATAGTTTTGGAGAGATTTAAAACATTTGAACCTTTTTTTCTTGCTTTAAAGACAATGTCTGGAGAAAGTTAAGGACCTAGAAAGTTATTAATTTTTTTGTTCCCCTTGTTGTACTGTGTAGTTAGCTGCTTTCAAAACAAAAAAGCCTTGTTTTTCTTTGTCCTTCTTTTCTTTATAAATAGGCTTTGAGTTATTCAAGAGGATTGAATTGACCCTCTGGTATGAATTTTTACTGATCCCATATGCTAATTAACTATGTTTTATCTATAATTCAATTGTAAGAGATAATATCTCCATATATAGATGATAAGTACATAATACATTTAGAGAGTGAATATTGAATAACTTAATATTGAATTAAATATCTGTTTCAAGTGACATGTTTGCTCTTAAATAATTCTACCTTTTAATGGTGGGTTACTGTTTTGAAACAGGCTTTATTATTCTATCTTTATATCTTTTGTTATTGTTGTTCATTCCTCCAATCTTCTGATCTTACAGTGACCAAACTAGCCTTTTTTTTTTTTTAATGTTTTTAAAGATACAGGGTCATATTCTGTTATCAAGACTGGAGTGCAGTGGCATGATCATAGCTCACTGCAACCTCCAACTCTTGGGCTCAAGGGATCCTCCCGCTTTAACCTCCCAAGTAGCTAGAAGTATAGGTGTGCACCACTGTGCCTAGTCTAGATTTTTGTAGGGATGGGGGTCTCACTATATTGCCCAGGCTGGTCTCAAACTCCTGGCCTCAAGCGATCCTCTCATCTCAGCCTCCCAAAGCATTTGGATTACAGGCATGAGCCACCATGCCTGACCTCAAGCCAGCTTTTAAAATTTTTACTTTGTAACCCTTGACCTGGCATCATGGACGGTCCTTGCTTTGAGACATTCTATGAGTAACAGAGTTTTCAGTTCTTAAAAAAAATTTATTATATTTTAATTATGTAAATGCTATTGAAATAGCAACTTTAAATTGACATGTCCATTAATTCATATACAAAGTAAAACCAAGCTGTTTAAAAATAATCATCAAATAGATCAAATGGTAAAATCGTGGAGGATTAAATTAAAAAGGTGAATTGGATACTAGCTGCATAGATAGCATGTCTTGTTTCTAGTTACCTGCTGTAATAAAATTAGTCATCAAATGCGTTAGGACTCTTAAATGTTACCAAGGTGTGATGTGCTGTGTACTTCTGGCCATTTAAAATATGTTCCAAACTAACAAACTGATAAAATAGAACAACACCATGATACACAAGTTTTAGCACCTATATTGCTAGAAGATCTTTCTGAATTAGTTTATTTTTTCAAATTTGAAAATAATAAAGTTTGAACTACTCAAAATTTTTAAAAATATTTCCAACCCTTGACTTTAAAGCATGTTCTTTTTAAAACAATTTCAGCTAAAATTTCTAAGTAGTTCTGTCCTTGAAGATACTTGGAGCTTAACTTCCATTTCTGAAGGCCTGTCCTTGTCATATATCATTTTTGTAGCAGCTGGCTTGTTCCACTCTTGGTGTACTTCCTGTTAAATATGTATGGCTTGCTTGGTTTTATTTTAGTAGCAGTAACATTTTCCCCTTTTTCATTGTTATTTGCAGCATGTAATCTGCTGGACTTGCAACATTATTTCCCACGAAGCACTTCTTTCTTTTTTTTCTTTACATCCCAAGAGATCTGTGTCTTGCATTAAACTTTCCTTGCTGGTGACTGATACAGTTCCTTTTATCTGCCATGCAGTTTTAGAATGCCAACAAATTTCTTGTACAACAATATGGTATGGAAGTGCTTCACTTGGGGAATGATCCTGACCAATTTAAATCCCTTAACTGAATTAGTGACTTGGTTAAATCCTAGGTTCCTTGGGTTGTATGACCTCTGAGATGACTCTGTGGGTGTTTGTGACAATACTGGAAACTTGGAAGAGATGTTTATGTTTGGTGACCTTATCTTCTTCTTCCCTGTGGTCTTTATTCTGGCACCTTGAATTTCGTTCAGGAACCCATCTTTCAGGACTGCTGGGCTTGCATTCAGATCCAAGGCTTAATAGGTTTAAGCAGGTTGGCATGCTCCATCACCCTCCTGTGCTGACTAGTTGAGGGATGGGCATACAATGGTCACCGTCCATGCAGTCAGAAGACATCTGAAGATCCCCTATTCTGCCTCGGTAGGGTTAGGAAAAGATGTGATGACTGTAAGTGCTATGGCAATTTTGTGGCCCTATAAGGGGAAAGGCTGGAACTACCGGACAACAGGGGTCGGGGGAAGGGCCTGGATGTGTGAAAGGAAGAACCTGAGCATGGAGGCAGCCCTGCAGGATGCAGAAAAGAAATAAAGACAGAAACCAGGTCACTGGTGAAGCCACGGGCAATGTCTGGATCATTTTCTCCACAAAACCATTTTTACCCCTCATTTTTGTAGTTCCTTGGGCTAATATTTTGAAAGGTATTTTGAGTAGGTGTGTTTGGTTCCTTATATTGGGAAGACACCTAACTTGAAGAAGTAGAGAGCACTGACATAATTACAGTAGAAATGCTTAAGTAGCCTCTACCTAAGCAACTTAGTAGATTAATTAATGTTCTTCCTTTCTTCTTCCATTGATAAAACACTTTGGAGGGCTGGTGTCTAGAGCATGCAGAATGCCCGCAGCTGGTAAACCTCCCCCAAGACTCAAAAGGTCATGATCCTGCATGTGAAGGCTGGCTAATTATTAAAAGAAGGTGTTTAATGTTTTTTGAAAATGACTCCTTGCTATAATCTTTTTTGGTTAACCAACCAACTGCGTATCATGATTACACCAGAGATCAACACATGCACACACACACGCGCGCACACACACACACACACAGACGGTCAACCAGTTCCATTCTTTATGGAGTGGAGTGAATTATAAATGGAAGGCCCATTCATCTTGGTTTGCTCAGAATAAGCCTAATTTGTACTCTTTGTTTCTGTGTTAATTAAAAGACTCCCATTTCTTCTCAAAAGTGGTCCAGTTTGGATGATCAAACATTTAGTCATCCTGGTTATAAGTAGTTTAATAGAGTTAAATTTGTACTCTTTTATTATTTTTAATGAACCATTTATATGACAAGAGGAGGGGATCTTCAGGCACTTGTCCGTGCCACTCAGGAGTTAGCAGTTAGTATATAGGAGCTACAGAGGTCCATAAGCTGAGTCATTTGGTCTCATTTAATTTGGCTTCACTGCTGTTGTTCAACAAGCCAAAGAAATAGTTGATAAAGGAATTTATAGGGTGAATGAGGTCCAGCGCAAAGATGGCTGGAGTCCTTGTTAATAGTTCTTGGCTAACATTACTGGAAGTTGGCATAATTCCTAGCGTGTATCATACCCTTTGGAAGCAGTTTAAACTTCCAGTGGTATAGTTCAGGGAGGTTTACAACCTGTAGATCTTTGCATGAAATTGGGCATGTACTTACAATGTTCTAGCCATGAGAACCCAGGCCCCTGGCACCATGTCCATCAAAACCACCTCAGCACAAAATTGGCTCCCTCCCTGGAACTCTGGGAGGGGCCAGATCTCTTGTGAGATTTGCTCACAGATGATATTGCCCACTTCTTGGAACATCTTTCTGAACTTTCTCAGGCCAATTTCTGACTCCTGCTTACACTCTCCCGTGGGTAGAGAGCTAGAAATGCCCTTTGTTACGTGGCCACATCTACAGTTTTATGTTTTGGGGGCTGAATGGATTCAGCAGTTTGTCAGTTGCAGAGCAGGAAGACATAGAGGATTTATTTATATTTTAAAGAAGAACCTCCCCCAACCCTTTTTTTTTTTTTTTTTTTTTTTTTTAAGAGAGACAGGGTCTTGCCTTTCTGCCCAGACTGAAGTGTAGTGGCACAAGCATGGCTCACTGCAACCTCAAACTCCTGGGCTCAAGCAGTCCTCCCACCTCAGCCTCCCTAGTAGCTAGGACTACAGGGATCCACCACTGCAGCCAGCTAGTTTTCTAAACAATAATAATAAATGCAGACATGGAGTCTTGCTATATTACGCAGGCTGGTCTCAAACTCCTGGCCTCAAATGATCCTCCTGCCTTGACCTTCCAAAGCACTCGGATTACAGGCATGAGCCACTGCACCCAGCCTAAAACCTCATTTTCTTTATACAAGTGATGTGTTCACATGACACCTGCCACTCCACACATTGTTCTGGACAGTGTTAAGGCTTTGGTGTGGAGTGACTGAGGAGGGGAACTGGGAGGAGCTGAGAAGCTTTGCTGCTCTGAGCTATGGGAACTGTATTTCCCCAGTCCCAGCAGGTCATGGGCCACACTCAGGACATCTCCAGTCCTGCCCAACACCTGTGTGATTACTTTAAGCTTTTCTCTAAATGACTTACTCTTTATTTTCATCTAAATAAATGTAGCCACATTAGGAGCAAGGGATTTTGAGAATTAAGAGTTAGATGTGTTGGTTAAAATTTCTCCAACATCATGAAATACATAACTGCTAAAATCTTTAAAAGGTTGTGTTCTACCTGAAATCACTGACATAGGAGGGAGGAGCCTTTTTCCACCCATGGTTCAAGCAAGAGATCAAGATTTCTTTATTCTACTACCCCATTGGCTATTTGAAGCTCAGACCTCTAGCAGCAGTTCCTTTCCTAGGCATTTAAAAACAAATTAAGGGGCAGATGCTCCCATTACCAGACCTGGCCATTCTGATCCCCAAACCCAGTACGTTCAGTAGACACCACCTTCTTCCTCACCCCACCTCTTCCAGTTACAAAAACCAAGGCTCCCCAGCGTTTCAAAGGATGACAGGGGATCCTGATCCAGGGACCGTCTCCATTACTACTACCACTACCACCATGGTGCCTGTTAAACCAATGACAGCAGACCTGTGGGCAGGACTTGCAAGTGCATCATGGCACAAAGGCATTCCTTTACCCTCCTCAAGGCCGACTTCAAATTCCCACTGTGTTGGACGTGGCCCTGCAGTGGTCCATCTTCTCTTCTTCCTCACTCAGAGCTGACCTCTCCTCCTAATTCATCTGGTGTTCCTCATCCCAATACAGGTTTTCAGGCTGGTGACGCTGTGACAGATGTTAAAAGCAGCACGTAATGCAAATTCCAGCTATACCTCAGTAAAGCTGTTTAAGAAACAAAGCAAATTCCTTTTCCCTGTCCCCTTGGCTCCCCATCCAGACCTCTCTTAGAAGCAGGCTCATGGTTGCATATTGTCTCTCCAATATAAATCTCATATTAGAGGCAGGAGAGTCAGCACTTGGCCTTTTGCTGTTAAAAACAAACAACAGGCCAGGCATGGTGGCTCCCGCCTGTAATCCCAGCACTTTGGGAGACCGAGGCGGGCGGATCACGAGGTCGGGAGATCGAGACCATCCTGGCTAACACGGTGAAACCCCGTCTCTACTAAAAATACAAAAAATTAGCCGAATGTGGTGGCAGACGCCTGTAGTCCCAGCTACTCTGGAGGCTGAGGCAGGAGAATGGCGTGAACCCAGGAGGCGGAACTTGCAGTGAGCCGAGATCGTGCCACTGCAGTCTGGCCTGGGCGAAAGAGCGAGACTCCGTCTCAAAAACAAAAAAAACAACAAACAAACAAAAAAACAAACAACAAACCTGAACTTGCCCCCGTTCCCTTTTTCAAATGTCCATAATCCCCTGATCTCCCTGCGTGCCGTGTCTGGGCCCACGGAAGCCGTGACTGTGTAGTGACGTGTGATGCTGCTCCCCATTCCTTTCCCACAGCCCTCTGCTGCCCACATGCCCCCAGCTGCAGCCCCCGCCTTTCTTTGTCCAGTCTGCGGCTTCTATGTCTTTGCTCCAGCAGTATCCGTGACAGCTCCTTAATTGCTACACGCATTTGTACAGTTCCTTGGCAATTATATTTCAGACCCTGTCAGGGTACCTGCTAGCCTCGGGGCTGTGTTTATATTAAATATCAATAAAAAGCTGATAGCATCAGCCCAGATGGCAGGCTCACAAAATCATATTTTACTGGGAGCCAGGCCTGTCTGGAAGATGGAAGGAAGGAATGTTTAAATTTCTTTCTCTCTTCCGAAAGGTTAAAATGAGAAGAGACTTCCCTGAGTGAATATCAGGAATCGGTTCTTGCTAAATGATGACAGCTGTGTACTCTCTAACTGGGTGTTGTCCTTTATTGTAAATGACTTGTCATCTATCAGTTCTTTCCAGAATTGTTTCTTTTGTCCCCCCGCCCCCACAGAGCATAGGACAAGGCTTCAAATCCCATAGGTATTTTTTAAATTCTGGTTGACGGAATGGCTAAGAGTTTATTTGGCTTTACTTTATGAGGAGGGCTTAGGACAAACGCCAAGGGTTAAGTGGCCCTGAGCCCACCCCATCCTGCATCGCCCGTCCCCTGCATCCCCTCTGCTGAGGGGGCCATGAGAGAGGAACCCACGTTACTCACTGGCTGTGTGGTGTTTCCTTGCTGGGCCTCGGTTCCCTCATCCTCCAGAAATAGCCTGGGCCTTCCCCGGAGCTGTGAGCGTGATGGAGTGCGAGGGGGCCGAGCAGCTGGCACCGCGTGGCGCAGTGGCTCCCGCCAAGAAAGCACCCCCTGGAGGTTTCACACCCCCAAATGTGGGCGGTCAAGGATACCACTTCCCTATGGTTTCCACTCTTTCATGCTGCTGATGATACAGTTCTGTCTATTGGAGACAGACGGGAAGAATGGCTTGAAGGGATTGCATTTTGAGGACAGTTTCAACAGGGAAATCAGTTTTAGTCTGCAAATCTATGACAAGACAGCTTTTTGGGGACACGTTTCCCTGTTGCAGTCAACAGAATTTCCCATTTACGTGTGATCTAAGGGGCATGCCCCTCCCCTTGGCTCATTTCCCCGTGGTATAGTGATTCTGCAGCATGGTTGTCCTGGCTTCCTGCTGTGGGGGATTCCCCACATGGATGCTGGGACAGTGCAGAAGAGAGCTTCAACAGCTGGCACAGCACCTGCCTTCAGTGCAAAACCTCGACCAACACGTGTTTGCAAGCACATCCTCTCTGTGTCCCACTGGCTTCTCTCCCTCTGCCACCCTTGTACAGGTGCCCTCATGTATCCCATGGATGACTGCAGGAGCCTCTAAACACTCCCCTCCACCCTTCCAGCGCCACTCACCTGCCACCACTTGGTTGCTCTCTCAATGGCAAAGGAGGAATCCACTCCTCTTGAGATTGAGGACAGACTGCAGACCCAGGTCTGCAAAGCCCTACTTGGTTCCCCCTGTCCCCATTTCTCACCCCAGCCTCCTTTTTATTTCCTGCATTCCAGGCACTTAGACTTCTTTTGGCTCTGCCAGGACCACTCTACAACCTGCCCACCCCATGCCTCTGCGTTCTGCAGATTCCATTTTACCCCAATGAGCTGTGCACTCCACTAGGTCAAAGGCCGTGTCTGGTTTTGCCCACTGTTTTGTCTCCAAATCCTAGCAGGTGCCTGGCACACAGTGGGCATTCAGTAAATATTTTCTGAATGAATGAATAAATAAATGCATACTATATCCAGTATAGGTGCTAAATGCTTTGGGGATATTAGAAAATATGACATGATTTAATACCCTTTGGGTGGGTTGTTCAATAGTTGTAAGAGTTAACGTAAAGGGAACAATCAGACGATGTAAAAGAGAAAGCCTCAGTGAGCTTGACCAGTGCAGATTTGGGTGTATGTTGGGAGCTGGAGGGAAAGTGGATTTGTTTCCAAAAGGGGTCCTGGGCCAGATCAGAATGGTGTGAAGCCTCAGGCAGTGGGATTAATCTCTCTGTGATGAGTTTTCAAAAACTACTGATGCTTCTGGAACAGCGTGGGTGCTCTGGCCGTCGTGTTCAGCACAGATTTTCAAGCAAAATGCTTGAGTTCCAAAGAGCTGCTGTGACAGTTTTGCAACACTGGCATTGTTCTAGTATTTGCTGGTGGGAAAAGAGGGATTCTGTGCTCACCCCATTTCTGAACCTTTCCAAAATGAGCCTTATGTCCTTTCCAGCCAGAGCCAAAAGGAAGGAGTGGGTTCCTCAGCATTTTGTTAGAATGGAAAGGTGACTTAGTGATGGCGAAGTATCATGTATCAAAAGAGGTGTTTTAAATTAGTGAATATTAGCTTAACTACAGCCAATCAAATGCCATTTTAGAATCAGAAGCCTCTTGGAATGTGCCTAAGTTCACTCTACAGTATTTTAGCCATGATTTTATGCCTTGTAAATGTCCCCTCTACCAGCATACCTCAAGTCCAAATGCTGATAGTGATGCAGTAGCCTCACTGGCCTGCTTTGCAGCAGAGAACCTGGGCTGGATGCATCTAGGAACTCTCGGAGGGGGACTCCAAATTGGTACCCAGTACTACTCTATCTTCATCCATCCTGCCCTCTTTAATGTACGCGTATATCCTGAGTATTAAGTACTAAGATGTCCTGTCAGGGCCCCAGGAAAGCCTGAGGGAGCCCCCTCTTCTAGGTGTCACCTAATTATTTGATGATGGCTAGGAGCTGGCAGCCTCCTCTGAGCCACGTGTTACCCTGGTCCGTGGACTGCGCCTTCCCTGCCATTGCTTTCTCCCACCCCCTGTGTACTGTCTGGTAGCCAGTAAATAGAGTTCAAGTCCTCTGTTATCTAGGAGTTTTTACAGGAACTTAGCAAACTTCCGCTTTGAGCAAGGTAATGTACTATAGCAATGGACTTCAAAGCTTTGGGGATAGATTTCCTCATCTGTAAAATGTGGCTAGGAAAAGTAGTTCATGACTACCTGGAAAGGGCCACACATAGTGTGTGGCACATTGTAAGTGCCCCCTAAGTGGCCATCTCTGCCGCTATCATCATCAGCATCATCATGATTTCTGTGATACAATTTTCTTCTTAATGTCTCTAAAGGAGACTTGTGAATGGTTTATTCCAGGAGAATGAGGAAGAGGAAATGCAAGTCTCTCCACAAAATTTAAAATATATGAAGGGAGAAAGACTATTTAAAATTGATATATTTATGGCAAAAGAAAATTCTAATCATTCACCTGAATTCTAATTAGAATTCTAATTCACATGAATTCTAATCATTCACCAGGGAATGAAGCCTGAAGTGTAGCATACCAAGGCAACAGGCTGAGGGAGACTAGAGCATTCTCTGGAATTTGCCAAGCCATTTGCTTCCCAGCTCCATCCGGAGTGGTTCAACATTGGGCCATGAATCCTCCTTGTCCCTCTGGTCCCAGGGCTGCCAGAAAATGGCTCCAGCTTTGTGAAAAGCAACCTGCATTTCATGTCTAGCATATCACTAAGTTTAGAGGAAGGGTAAATGTTTGGCAAATAAACCTATTGTATAATTCAGCACACATTAAGGACTATTTTCCAATAGATATAAGTGCTTGATAATTAGCATCAAAACTGTTCATTATTTAATCTATGATCTACTTAGAATGAATGGGAGAGATGTCATTTACTTGCTGAAATGGGAGACATGAAAACTATCCAACCATTCTCGTCTTGAATTTGGTCCAACACACGGCACAGAAGAAAACTCCTGCGTGGGCTCAATCCCCAGGCTCCCCTGCCTGCTATAATTTCATAGCCGAGAGGTGCACAGCTTTGAAGACATTTAGGAAAGACAGAGATCCTTTCTCCAGCCTTGTTTAAGGCAGGCATCTGCACAGGGGCCACACTTTAAAAATCCTGTTGATTCTGAGCTGAGTCCCTTCCCTTCCATCAGTGGTTTTTGGGTAAATGTAGTTTGTCTCTAATTCTGTGTTAGCTTATAATTGTTCTTCTTCATTCAGATTCCCTAGAAGCTGACCCATTTTTTGTGGTAGAAAATGGCAAGTTTAAATTAATACAGTTCTGCTAATTCGGTGGAGAATAAATGGTATTGGGGAAAAAAATCAAGTGTGTATCAGATGACTGAGGTCTGGAGTGGAAACTCAAGCACTAAGGCATCCATGAAGTTTCTGATTGCCTGTCCTGGGAAGAGGAAGTAGGCCATGCTCGCTACAGATTTTGGAAAATAAATTTGATTTTGGAGCCATGCAGAAAGGCATGATGGACCTTGGCATGGGTGGAATACAGATTATGTCTGCTACAAAATGCATTGTTGGCAGGAAACTTGCCTATCTGCTAAAATCCTTGCCACGACCTCCCCACCTCTCCAGCCTCATCTAGTACCTCTCGCCAAGACACCAGATTCTTCCCAAGTCAGGGTTTTTGATCTTGCTTATTCACTCTGTGTACAAAGCTCTTGCTAGCGTAGGCATTTGGGAGCTGGTGCCATCTCAGCATTCAGGTCATCTATATGACCTCTGGGAGGGTCATCTTTGACCACCCAATTTGGGTAAACCCCCTCCCCACTTTCCACAGACAGTAACTCTCTGGCTTATCCCAGTTTATTTTCATTACACCTATTTCTACTTGAAATTCTCATTTATTTGCCATTGTTTCTCTCCTCATACTGAAATGTCAACTTCATTGTCTGGCATAATGTTGAATGCCTGATACAGTAGGTACTCAATCAATATTTGTCGAGTAAACAAATGAATGAAAGCGTCATCACAGTACCTTGCCCTGATAATTTAAGGAAGAGAGAAAGAGACTTGCATAAAGTCTACCCTGGATAGTCTCAGGACAGCTGAACTGCTGCGGGTGGGGAGTTGGAGGCTTCCACTGTTCTGGGACTAGTGAATGGGCCCTGGTGGTGTATGCAGTCCTCCCACCACACAGCAAGTTCTTTGCCTTGTCTCAGCTACCTTTGAGGAAGAGCCGCTCTCATCTGGCTTCTACAGATGAAGGCACTGGGGCTGAGGAACATTAAGTCCAGGTCCAAGGCCATCAGCTAACCAGTGGTAAGTGAGATCTCATACCTAGGACTCAAGCTTCAAGGCCAGAGTCCTGACTGCCGTGCTGCTGTTCAGGTGCTACCCAGCAACCCTGATGTGGAGAACATGGTGAAAGTTGGAAGCCCCTCTTGAGACTTTATTTATTTCTTTTCTTTTCTCTCTCACTCTCTTTTTTTTTTTTTTTTTTTTTGGAGACAAGGTCTCACTCTGTCACCCAGTCTGGAGTCCAGTAGTGCAATCTTGGCTCATCGCAGCCTTGACCTCCCAGTTTCAAGCAATCCTTTCACCTCGGCTTCTTGAGTAGCTGGGATTACAGGAGCACACCACCCCGCCTATCTACTGTTTTGTATTTTCTGTAGAGATGGAGTTTCGCCATGTTGGCCAGACTGGTCTCAAACTCCTGAGCTCAAGTAATCCACCCACCTTGACCTCCCAAAGTGTTGAGATTACAGGTGTGAGCCAGTGTGCCCAGCCAAGACCTTATTTATTTATTTTCTAATGAATGGAGTAAGTAACAGCCAGTATTTATGAAGCCTTTTGTATGTGCCAGTTGCTGTGCTAAGTGCTTTACATCCATTAATTTGCTTGGATCTATGTGGGCTGACCATCTCAGGCACTGCTCAGGATGGAACATGTAACTAAAATACAGTC
Organism: Homo sapiens; assembly: GCF_000001405.40. Taxonomy (NCBI): domain Eukaryota; kingdom Metazoa; phylum Chordata; class Mammalia; order Primates; family Hominidae; genus Homo; species Homo sapiens. The sequence goes on from NC_000003.12 coordinate 54,555,353, forward strand.
ATAAGAGGGAGTACCTTATTCAAAGATGCAAAACTAATCTGGAAAGGTATGCAAGGGTGTATAGGAGTGTGCAGAGAGAGAAGACCCTATGTAGCATGTGCA